>NC_000021.9:36744341-37054295 GCF_000001405.40 Homo sapiens | reverse complement strand
CATTGTAGAGAATTTTAAAACTATAGAGAATAACAAAAAATTCAAATCACCCATAATCCATCACCCAAAGATAATTACTCTTAATAGTCTTGTATAAGTCCTTATAAGCGTATGTGTGTGTTATAGATGTATATTTAACAAAAAAACTGGGATCACACTGTAAATATAATTTTGTGTTCCTCATTTTAAAAATAATATGATATTGTGAACAGTTAACAGCTATATTATAATTGCATCAGGTGGATGCACTAACATTTATTTTACAAAGTCTCTATTATTAGACTTTTGAGATGGTTCTAAATTTTCATTTTTATAAATGTCCTAACAGCAAATATTCTTGAACAAAAATCTTTATCCTTATCTCTGATTTGTCCTTAGGAAAGAGTTTTAGAAGGATAACGGGATATAAAATTTCTGAAACTCTTATGGATTGCCAAATTGCCAGGAAGGTAGCCTCAATTTTACATTCCCACCAACAAAGCATGACTGTTCACTTGTCCACATCACGTATTGATTGTTTATTTAATAAGCATTTTATGTTTTAATTTTTCAAGAAAATGACAGTAGATCTTCCATGATCATTTTGAGAATTAATGAAATGAGTTCAGAGAAATTACAAAGTATGGTTTGGATAGCTGACAGGCTACGGTTTCACAGGAATTTACTTAGCAAACTTATATTAAGAGCTTCCTGGCAGCCTAGGAGGCTGAAATCACTTATTTGTATGACACGACTTAAACTTTCAAACTCATTTAGGAAATTCCCTTCACAGGCCAGGTACGGTGGGTGGCTCAGGTCTATAATCCCAGTGATTTGGGAAGCTGAGGTGGGAGGATTGCTTGAGCCCAGGAGTTCAAGGCTGCAGTGAGCTATGATGGCACCAGCCTGGGTGACACCACGAGACCCTATCTCTTAACAAAACAAGAAAACAAGGAAATAAAAGAAAATTCCCTTTACACACAAGGTAATTCTTTTTCAAGAATAAAAATGGCTATGGAGTTGCCTAATTTATTATTTTTTGTCTGTGTTTCTTCTTTTTTTTATGTTAACTTTATTTATTTATTTATTTATTGACAGAGTCTCACACTGTTGCCCAGGCTGGAGTGCAGTGGCACAATTTCGGCTCACTGCAACCTCCGCCTCCCAGGTTCAAGCGATTCTCCTGCCTCAGCCTCCTGAGTAGCTGGGATTACAGGCGCCTGCCACCGCGCCCAGCTAATTTTTGTATTTTTAGTAGAGACGGGGTTTCAGCATGTTGGTCAGGCTGGTCTCAAACTCCTGACCTCATGACCCACCCGCCTCGGCCTCCCAAAGTGCCAGGATTACAGGTGTGAGCCACTGCGTCGGGCCTGAAAATGCTGTTAATGCATTCCTTTTTATGGCTGAGTAGTATTCCACTGTGTGTGTGTACACACATACACACACATATATATATAAAATAGTTTCTTTATCTACTCTTTGATGGGCATTTGGGTTGTTTCTATGACTTTGCAATTGTGAATTGTGCTGCTATAAACATGCGTGTGCAAGTATCTTTTTCATGTAATGACTTCTTTTCCTCTGGGTAGACACCCGGCAGTGGGATTGCTGGATCAAATGGTAGTTCCACTTTCAGTTCCTTGAGGAGTCTCCACACTGTTTTCCATAGTGGTTGTGCTAGTTTACCTTCCCAGCAGCAGTGTAGAAGTGTTCCCTGATCACCGCATCCACACCAACATCTACTGTTTTTCGGTGTTTTGATCATGGCCATTCTTGCAGAAGTGAAATGGTATCGCATTGTGGTTTTAATTTGCATTTCCCTGATCATTAGTGATGTTGAACATTTTTTCATATGTTTGTTGGCCATTTGTATATCTTCTTTTGAGAATTGTCTATTCGTGTCCTTAGCCTACTTTTTGATAGGATTGTTTTTTTCTTACTGATTTGTTTAAATTTGTTGTAGATTCTGGATATTTTATTTTTATTTTATTATTATTATTATTATTTTTTGAGATGGAGTCTAGTTTTGTCGCCCAAGCTGGAGTGCAGTGGCACAATCTCAGCTCACTGCAACATCCGCCTCCCAGGTTCAAGTGATTCTCCTGCCTCAGCCTCCCGAGGAGCTGGGATTATAGGCGCACACCATCATGCCCAGCTAATGTTTTGTATTTTTAGTAGAAATGGGATTTCACCGTGTTAGCCAAGCTAGTCTCAAACTCCTGAGCTCAGGTGATCTGCCTGCCTCAGCCTCCCAAAGTGCTGGGATTACAGGTGTGAGCCACCGCGCCTGGCCTGTGATTTCTTTCAGCAGTGTTTTGTAGTTCTCCTTGTAGAGGTCTTTAGACTCATTGACTAGGTATATTCCTAGGTTTTTTGTTTTTTGTTTTTCCCAGCTATTGTAAAAGGGGCTGAGTTCTTGATTTGATATTTGCGTGGTCGCTGTTGGTATATAGAAGAGCTACTAATTTGTGTACATTAATCTTGTATCCAGCAATTTTGCTGAATTCTTTTATCAGTTCTGGGAGCTTTCTGGAGGAGTCATTAGGGTTTTCAAGGTAAACGATCATATCGTCAGCAAACAGGGACAGTTTGACTTCCTCTTTACCAATTTGGATGCCCATTATTTCTTTTTCTTTTTTTTCTTTCTTTTTTTTTTTTTTTTGAGACAGAGTCTCACTCTGTCACCCAGGCTGGAGTGCAGTGGCACGATCTTGGCTCTCTGCAACCTCCATCTCCCGGGTTCAAGCAATTCTCCTGCCTCAGCCTCCTGTGTAGCTGGGATTAGCACACCACTACACCCGGCTAATTTTTGTATTTTTAGTAGATACAGGGTTTTACCATGTTGGTCAGGCTGGTCTCAAATTCCTGACCTTGTGATCCGCCTGCCTTGGCCTCCCAAAGTACTGGGATCACTGGCATGAGCCACTGCACCCGGCCTGCTCTTTATTTCTTTCTCTTGTGTGATTGCTCTGGCTAGGACTTCCATTACAATGTTGAAGAAGAGTGGTGACAGTGGGCATCCTTTTCTTGTTCCAGTTCTCGGGGGCAGAGAATGCTTTCAACTTTTCCCCATTCAGTACTATGTGGGCTGTGGGTTTGTCATAGATGGCCTTTATTACACTGAGGTATGTACTTTGTATGCTGATTTTGCTGAGAGTTTTAATCATTAAGGGGTGCTGGATTTTGTCTAATGCTTTTTCTGCATCTATCGAGATGATCATGTGATTTTTTTTTTCTTTTTGAGACGAAGTTTCACTCTTGTCGCCCAGGCCAGAGTGCAATTGCATGATCTCGGCTCACTGCAACCTCCACCTCCTGGGTTCAAGCGATTCTCCTGCCTCAGCCTCCCATGTAGCTGGGACTACAGGCGCCCGGCACAACACCTGGCTAATTTTTAAATATTTTTTAGTAAAGACAGAGTTTACCATGTTGATCAGGCTGGTCTTGAACTCCTGACCTCAGGTGATCCACCTACCTCAGCCACCCAAGGTGCTGGGATTACAGGCATGAGCCACTGCACCTGGCTGTGATTTTTGTTTTTAATTCTGTTTATGTAGTGCATCACATGTATTGACTTGCGGATGTTAGACCATCCCTGCATCCCTGGTATGAAACCCACTTGATCATGGTGGATTATCTTTTTGATATGCTGTTGGATTCGGTTAGCTAGTATTTTATTAAGGATTTTAGCATCTATGTTCATGAGGGATATTGGTGTGTAGTTTTCTTTTTTGGTTATGTCCTTTCCTGGCTTCGGTATTAGGGTGATGCTGGCTTCGTAGAATGAATTAGGGAGGGTTCCTTCTTTCTCTATCTTGTGGAATAGTGTCAAAAGGATTGGTACCAATTCTTTGACTGTCTGGTAAAATTATCCTGTGAATCCGTCTGATCCTGGACCTTTTTTTGTTGGTAGATTTTTTTATTACCATTTCAATCTTGCTGCTTGTTATTGGTCTGTTCAGGGTATCTAATTCTTCCTGATTGAAGCTTGGAGGGTTGTGTTTTTCCAGGAATTTATCCATCTCTTCTAGGTTTTCTAGTTTATGTGCATAAAGGTGTTCATAGTAGCCTTGAATGATCTTTTGTATTTCCATGGTGTCAGTTGTAATATCTCCTGTTTCATTTCTTAATGAAGTTATTTGGATTTTTTCTCTTTCCTTGGTTAATCTTGCTAATGGTCATCAATTTTATTTACCTTTTCAAAGAACGAGCTTTTTGTTTCATTTATCTTTTGTATGTGTTTGTTTGTTTGTTTGTTTCAATTTCATTTAGTTCTGCTCTGATCTTGGTTATTTCCTTTCTTTTGCTAGGTTTGAGTTTGGTTGTTCTTATCTCTCTAGTCCTTGAGGCGTGACCTTGGATTGTCAGTTTGAGCTCTTTCAGTCTTTTTGATGTAGGTGTTTAGGGCTATGAACTTTCCTCTTAGCACTGCCTTTGCTGTATCCCAGAGGTTTTGATAGGTTGTGTCATTATTGTTGTTTGGTTCTAAGAACTTTTTAATTTCCATATTGATTTTGTTTTTGACCCAATGCTCATTCGGGAGTGGGTTATTTAATTGCCATGTAGTTGCATGGTTTTGAAGGTTCCTTTTGGAGTTTATTTCCAGTTTTATTCCACTGTGGTCTGAGAGAGTGCTTGATATAATTTCAAATTTTCTTAAATTATATGAGGCTCATTTTATGGCCTATCATATGGTCTATCTTGGAAAAAGTTCCATGCGCTGTTGAATAGAATGTGCATTCTGTGGTTTTTGGATGAAATGTTCTGTATATATCTGTTAAGCCCATTTGTTCCAAGGTATAATTTAAATTCATCTGTTTCTTTGTTGACTTTCTGTCTTATGACCTGTCTGGTGCTGTCAGTGGAGTACTGAAGTCCCCCACTCTTATTGTGTTGATGTCTATCTCATTTCTTAGGTCTGTTCTTAATTGTTTATAAATTTGGGGGCTCTAGTGTTACGTGCGTATATGTTTAACATTGTGATATTTTCCTGTTGGACAAGGCCTTTTACCATTATATAATGTCCCTCTTTGTCTCTTTTAACTGCTGTTGCTTTAAAGTTTGTTTTGTCTGAAATAAGAATAGCTACTCCTTCTCACTTTTGGTGTCCATTTGCATGCAATGCCTTTTTCCACCCCTTTAAGTTTATGTGAGTCCTTATGCGTTAGGTGAGTCTCCTGAAGGCAGCAGATGGTTGGTGAGTTTTTATCCATTCTCCAGTCCTGTAGCTTTAAAGTGGAGCATTTAGGCCATTTACATTCAATGTTAGTATTGAGATATGAGGTACCATTGCATTCATCATGCTATTTGTTGCCTGTGTACTTTGGGTTTGTTTTTTGTTTTTTGTTTCTGCTTTTTAACTTGTATTTTTGTTTTATAGGTCCTGTGTGATTTATGCTTTAAAGAGGTTCTGTTTTGATGTGTTTGCAGGATTTGTTTCAAGATTTAGAACTCCTTTTAGCAGTTCTTGTAGTGGTGGCTTGGTAGTGGCAAATTCTCCCAGTATTTGTTTGTCTGAAAAAGACTGTATCTTTCAGTCACATGTGATGCTTAGTTTCTCTAGATACAAAATTCTTGGCTGATAATTGTTTTGTTTGAGGCGGCTGAAGATAGGGCCCCAATCCCTTCTATCTTGTAGGGTTTCTACTGAGAAATCTGCTGTTAATCTGATAGGTTTTCCTTTATAGGTTACCTGGTACTTCTGTCTCACAGCTCTTAAGATTCTTCCCTTCTTCTTAACTTTGGATAACCTGATGACTGTGTGCTTAGGGAATGATCTTTTTACAATGAACTCTGCAGGTGTTCTTTGTGCTTCTTGTATTTGGATGTCTAGGTCTCTAGCAAGGCTGGGGAAGTTTTCCTTGATTATTCCCCCAAATATGTTTTCCCAACTTTTAGATTTCTCTTCTTCCTCAAGAACACCAATTATTCTTAGGTTTGGTTGTTTAACACAATCCCAGACTTCATGGAGACTTTGTTCATATTTTCATATTCTTTTTTCTTTGTCTTCGTTGGATTGGGTTAAGTCGAAGACCTTGTCTTCAAGCTCTGAATTTCTTTCTTCTACTTGTTCAATTCTATTGCTGAGACTTCCCAGAGCTTTTTGCATTTCTATAAGTGTGTCCAATATTTCCTGAAGTTTTAATTGTCTTTTCTTTAAGCTATCTATTTCCTTGAATATTTCTCCCTTCACTTCTTGTATTGATTTTTGGATTTCCTTGCACTGGGCTTCGCCTTTCTCTGGTGCTCCCTGATTAGCTTAATAACTAACCTCCTGAATTCTTTTTCAGGTAAATCAGAGATTTCTTCTTGGTTTGGATCCATTGCTGGTAACTAGTGTGATTTTTGTGGGGGGTTTAAAGAGCCCTGTTCTGTCATATTACCAGAGTTGGTTTTCTGGTTCCTTCTCATTTGGGTAGGCTCTGTCAGAGGGAAGGTCTAGGGCTGAAGGCCGTTGTTCAGATTCTTTTGTTTCACGGGGTGTTCTTTTGTTGTAGTACTCTCCCCCTTTTCCTATGGATGTGGCTTCCTGTGAGCCGAACTGCAGTGATTGTTGTCTGTCTTCTGGGTCTAGCCACCCAGCAAGTCTACCCGGCTCCAGGCTGGCACTGGGGGTTGTCTGCACAGAGTCCTGGATGTGAACCATCTATGGGTCTCTCAGTCATGGATACCAGCACCTGTTCCAGTGGAGGTGGCAGGGGGTATGCAATGGACTCCGTGAGGGTTCTTAGCTTTGGTGGTTTAATGCTCTATTTTTGTGCTGGTTGGCCTCCTGCCGGGGAGGTAGCACTTTCCAGAGAGCATCAGCTATGGTACTGTGGAGAGGAACCAGCCGTGGATGGGGCCCTAGAATTCCCAAGAGCATATGCCCTTTGTCTTCACTACCAGGGTGGGTAGGGAAGGGCCATCAGGTGGGGGCAGGGTTAGGTGTGTCTGAGCTCAGACTCTCCTTGGGCGGGTCTTGCTGCAGCTGCTTTGGGGGATGGAGGTGAGTTTCCCAGGTCAGTGGAGTTGTGTACCTAGGAGGATTGTGGCTGCTGCTGAGTCATGCAGGTTGTCAGGGAAGTGGGGGAAAGCTGGCAGTTACAGGCCTCACCCAGCTCCCATGCAATAAAAAAGGGCCAGTCTCACTCCCACCATGCACCACTAACAGAGTCTGTTTCCAAGCAGTGGGCGACACAGGCTTGAGAACTTGCCCCGGGCTACCTGCCTCCCAGCTGCGAAAGAAAAGGGCATGGTTCTTCCCCTGCCTGTGGAATCTGCACCCTGGATTCATGCCCTCCCCTGAGTTCTGACGGGGAGGCTTCTCGCCCCAGTTCAGCTGGAGATTTCCTTCTCCCTGTAGCATATCCCCCCACTCTAGCTGCTCTCCCAATGGGTCCCTGCGGTGCCAGGCAGCAATGGCCTGCTTGGGGACCCAGCGAGTTCCCAAGGCCTTTCCCAGTGCTTCCTCTACCCCTGTATTTCGCTTGGCTCTCTAACTTGACTCAGCTCCAGGTAAGGTCAGAAACTTCTCCCGCAAACAGACCTTTAGTTTCTCCAGTGGGGGTGTGTGTTCAGGGGAAAAGGATCTCCCTTTCCCACTTCTGCAGTTGGGGCGCTCACAGTATTTGGGGTGTCTCCTGGGTCCTGCAGGAGACAGAGAGTCTGTGGGTTCTCTCAAGATTGCCGATTTGTTCTTGCAGTCAATTTGGAGCTAAAATTCACTATGCGAGCCTCCGCCCATTGCTCTGTCCATTCGAGTTGGAGCTACAATCTAGTCCTGCCTCCCATCCGCCATAATGATCCCTACTCGAGTTGCCTAATTTAAACCTGCCTAAATCATCTTTTGTAAATGATTTGCAGCAACTTTCTGTAATATGTAAAGACCTTCAGCAACAATGAAAGTAGCCTGGCAAACTCTTCTATGTCAGGGTAGCAAAATGCAAAGAGAAGAAATATATTACTCAGATTGTAGACATACACCAATTTGTAAATAGGTCTCAATTGCAGCTTACCACATTTTTTGTTTGTCTGTTTTGAGATAGGGTCTCACTCTTTCACCCAGGCTAGAGAGTTCAGTGGCATGATCATAACTCATTGCAGCCTTGAACCCCTGGGCTCAACTGATCCTCCTGCATCAGCCTCCTGAGTAGCTGGGACTTACAGGCATGTGGCACAACACCCAGCTAATTTTTGTGTGTGTTTGTGTGTGTAGAGATGCGTCTTGCTATGTTTCCCAGACTGCATATTTTTTTTAAAAAAGAATATAGGAAGCACAATTCTTAAATTACGTAAAATAATGTGCTTTTCCTTTTGGAGATTTACAAGATACTTTAGAAACTTCTGGAGCATCCGTATCATTGGCAAGGGCACCCATTGCCACTTTTTTGTAGCCCGCAAACATCAACTGATAGAAGGCCAGATAAACCAACGTATCTATGAATCAGACCCTACTCTTATTTCTCAGAAAAATTATGAGTTCAAATTCCCTTTTCCGTGCTTTAGCTTTTCTTTTCCGGTTGCACAACATAGTATCTTTGAGGAAATCCTTCCATAAAGAGAATTCCATCTTGGCAGCATCTTATCTCAGTCAGTAAGTGTCCAAGGCATAAAAAGTTTCTTTAAAAGTCGTTTGCATGCTAAACCTTTGCAAGAAAGCTGCTCTTAAAAACCTGTCTCAGGATTGGACTTTTTTTTTTTTAATGTGGAGCGCTTCATGAATTTGTGTGTCATCCTTTCACAGGAGCCATGCTAATCCTCTCTGTATCATTCCAGTTGTAGTATACGTGCAGCTGAAATGAGCAGGGGCTTGGACTGTTGGTGAGATGTTGCTTTATCATGATGTCCTTCTGAATGGGACAATTGAGTACCCCAGTGGAGTCAGGATGCATCTGCCTTTTGCTTTGCAACCAGAAAAAGGAAGGATGTGCAAACCACACATGTCTGCTCTGGGCTCACCCCAAACCTGGGCATCTTTTACTGCACGTGAACACTTCCTCCGAGAATCCCTCAGACACTTACCCCCAGCTGCTGCTGCTGATAGGACCGTGCCCCTGCTTGTTGGCCTGTCTTGGCTTCACCTCGTAGCAGCAGAGGAAGCCGAGATCACCCCACTGCACTCCAGTCTGGGCGACAGAGTGAGACTCCATCTCAAAAACAAACAACAAAAAAAAAGAATTGCTAGAAAAATAAAATTAAAAAAAGACAAACAATAGAAACCTGATTTTTTTTTTAAACTAGACTCAATAAACAAAAACTTTCCCTGTCAAATTCCTATAGAAGTTTCTCAACATTTCTCTCAACTCCTGGCCACCTCATCGCAGGCTGGTAACACAGGCCATGGCTAGGCCCCAGTACGCAGATCCCACTTAGAGGATCATTGGTTTCATTACTTGTGTTCCCACTAGACTTTGAGCTCTGGGGGGTGGGGGGAGGGTCACCTGCCCTATTCACCACTATGTCCCTAAGGCCTAGAATGGTACCTGGCACATAGTAGGTATTCAATGCATTCTTAGTGAATGACTCAAGTGGTTCAATGAACAAGCAGCCAGTGACAAAGGAGGGCATATGGAAAGAGGGGTCCACGGGATGTTTGGCCAGGTTGGTCACTGTTGGCCCAGTGGCAGGGTACAGGCTGTGAAGACTGCAAGCATTCTGGGGACCCACAGGGGTGCAAGGACAACTCCTGCTGTCCAGGCTCGTGGCAGTCAGGAGAGGCCCAGGGCAGTGGCCGCTGCCCAGGCAGAAGCCACCCCTTATCTCAGGACAGCTCAGCATGGGCTGTGCCCCTGTTCTGCCTGGCAGCCCCTCTGATCTCTAACCAGATTCCCTGTGAGGGCCCTGGATGGAAATTCCGACAGGGCCCATTGATGGGGGTCCCTGGGTAGGGGGCAGGCACCTGAGGAGAGATGGAAAGTGACCCTGAGGAGGCAGGTTTCGGGGGGGGGGGTGGCCAGCTGTCCTCTGTCCTTGCTAGTGCAGGGCCCTAAGCAATGTGCAACCTGGACTGGGTATCAGAGCAAGGCCAGCAGGGACTAATGCCTAAAATAGAGACGGCCTCTGCGGGGGCTCAGGAACAGGAGAAAGACAGGAGGCAGCAAGTCAAGTCAGCCAGGCTTCCAAGGTTGGCCCCTGCCGTGTAAGACACCTGACTTCAAGAGAAAGCCACAGCGCAGGTAAGGAAACTGAACTTTTCTGGACTTATCAGCCTGGCCAGAAAAATGTTGTGGGCAAAACACTCAGGACAGAGAGCAGTGGGCCAGGGGTGGTGGCTGGACCCAGGAGCCTCCAGGACACAGGGAGGAAGTGACCGCAAGGTCAGACAGGAAGCCTGAGCCGTGGGACTCCTTGGGGGCATTCATGGGGAAGGCAGAGAGAGGCAGGGCAGGGCCAAGAGAGAGCTGCAGAATGAAAGCACAGCCAGGAGAGACCAGAAGAGGGGAACCAGAGACTGAGCCCCAAGATGGGGATTCTACGAGCCTGGGCCTGGCCCGCCTGCTGTCCCTGGGAAGCCATCTGGTCCAGCCAAGTTGGAAGGCGTGGTAGCCTTGGGAGACATCCCCAAAGTTCCCTAATTTTTTTTTTTTTTTTTTTTTTGAGACGGAGCCTTGCTGTGTCGCCCAGGCTGGAGTGCAGTGGTGCAGTCTCGGCTCACTGAAACCTCTGTTTCTCGGGTTCAAGTGATTTTCCTGCCTCAACCTGTGAAGTAACTGAGATTACAGGTGTGCGCCACCATGCCCAGCTAATTTTTGTATTTTTAGTAGAGATGGGGTTTCACCATGTTGGCCAGGCTGGTCTCGAACTCCTGACCTCAGGTGATCTGCCCGCCTCCGCCTCCCAAAGTGCTGGGATTACAGGCGTGAGCCACCGTGCCCAGCCACAAAGTTCTCTATTAATAAAAGGCCCCAGGAAAGGCAGGCCCAGACAGAAAAAACTATGCTTTACCATCTCTAGAGAGTCTATATGCCCACTATTTTTATTTTTGTTTCTTTCTGTTTATTTTCCTATCACAATTAGTAGGAAGATATTTCAAATAAAAAGGACTATATACAGGCCAGGAGCGGCGGCTCACTCCTATAATCCCGGCACTTTGGGAGGCTGAGGCAGGTGGATCACTTGAGCCCAGGAGTTCGAGACCAGCCTGGGCAACATGGCAAAACCCTGTCTCTACAAAAAATACAAAAATTAGTCAGGTGTGGTGGTATGCGCCTGTAGTCTCAGCTACTTGGGGGGCTGAGGCAGGAGAATTGCTTGAACCTGGGAGGCAGAAATTGCAATGAGCCAGGATCACACCACTGCACGCCAGCCTGGGCGGCAGAGCAAGACACTGTCTCATAAAAATAAATAAATAAATAAATAAATAAATATAAGAAAGAAAAGAAAAAAGACTGTATCCAAATTGACCTATGGGAAAGTCATTTTTATAGGTCAAACTGGTCACATATCAGCATTGCACAGGGTTCTGCCTGATGTATCTGGGTCCAGGACAGAAGGCAGTGGGGGCAAGGGCCACAAAGCTCTTCCTCAGACAGCTCTGGGTGCGGAGCAGAGCGGTCCCCAAGATACCAGAGGCTGATGGCAGCTGTGAAGAGAGAAGGACGGCTGCTGCACCCCCAGAGCAGAGGGAAAAGGGACGGTCACAGGGAAATTGACTCAGAAAAGCAAATGGGCCGGGTCATCCCTCGGGGAGGAGGGCCCTGGGGCCGACTCTCAGGCGGTCTGTGTCCCCAGCCAGGTCTTTCCAGGCAAGTCTTAGGATGTACTCAGCCAGTTCTCAAGATAGTCACCAACCTGAAAACCTCAGGGCCAAGCCGGCCCAGGCAAACACACTGTGCATATGGCCTGGTGAAGCTGGCCCCGTGCCATGTCCGTACTGTTTGAAATGTAAGTCTGTGTTGGTTTCAGCTCAGGGTTTTGTTTTAGTTTGATGTTTTTGAGACAGAGTCTCACTCTGTTGCCCAGGCTAGAGTGCAGTGGTGGTGCAATCTCGGCTCACTGCAACTTTCACCTCCCGAGTTCAAGTGATTCTCCTGCCTCAGCCTCCCGAGTAGCTGGTATTACAGGCATGCGCCACACCTGGCTAATTTTTGTATTTTTAATAGAGACAGGGTTTCTCCATGTTGGCCAGGCTGGTCTCAAACTCCTGACCTCAAGTGATCCACCCGCCTTGGCCTCCCAAAGTGCTGGGATTATAGCCATGAGCCACTGCACCTGGCCTAGCTCAGGATTTTAAGTGGATTAGTGAGTTGTTTGTTTGTTTTTCCCCAGGGCACCTCAGCTTTTGAATGTGTGGCCACCCCCACTCTCATGTCCCTGGGCAGCTCAACACTAAATATCCAACCACCCCTTCTGGTGTGATGAGGCTGCCTGGCCATCCTAGGTGGAATCAACCACACTCAGCTCTGTGGAAGAAGGAATGCCCAATACTGTTCCCCAGAGCCGCCTGCAGCAACTGACACCTGCCCCACCTCAGCTGCCGCTCCACCTGCTCAGGCCTGCCTCCAGAGTTGTCAGGTGAAAGGGGCCAACTTTGCAAGGGCTGTGGCAGGAGGGACAGGCCTCCCCAGGCCAGGAGGCCCTCACCCAGGCCTGCTGTGGGGAGAGGCTGTAACCACAAACCCCCTCTCTGGTTCCAGACCTGTCCTTTCCAGCCCACTGATTGGGGGGGATGGTGGGTGGCAGTGAGGACAGAACAGTGACACTAACACTTACTTGGGGAATGCTCATTTACCTGGAGACATGCTCTTGTTCCACCTCTGGGGACGTCCCTCAGGCTAATACACAGCTGTGGGGTCCCTGCTTCTCCCTGAGCATCCTCTGGCAAGGCCACCTCTCCCGGATGCCACCCACAGAGCCCTGGGGACCTGGATGCTGAGTAGCTGGGATTATAGGTGTCCACCACCACGCTCAGCTAGTTTTTGTATTTTTAGTAGAGGCAGGGTTTCACTAATCCTGTTGGCCAGGCTGGTCTCAAACTCCTGACCTCAGGTGATCTGCCCACCTCGGCCTCCCAAAGTGCTGGGATTACAGGCATGAGCCACCGCGCCCAGCCTAGATAAGTAGACTTGTGATTGCTTAGGGTAGGGTGGGGGAATAGAGGACTGAGGGCTAGCAGACATGAGGTTTCTCTTTTGAAGTGATGACATGTTTTAAAATTGACTGTGGTGGTGATTGCACGTATCAGTGAATATACTAAAAACCATTTAATTGTATACTTTAAATGGGTGAATTATAAAGTATGTGAATTCTATCTCAATACAGCTATTTAAAAAAAAAACGAATGAATGAAAACTGGTAACAACAATCAAAAAGCTACCTAAGTCACCCATATAAGGATCATCCCAAACGTATCCTGAAACTGACCTAAAATCTGAGAAAATTGACCTGGTTGGTCTCTTGATAAAGCCATGCCCCCTCATATTGCCTAATTAGCCTCCTAATGCTGAGTGATATGTATTCATTGTATTGCATCTTATGCAATCAATACACAATACTCTTTTTTTGAGACAGGGTCTCGTTCTATCGCCCAGGCTGGAGTGCAGTGGCACAATCTCAGCTCACTGTAGCCTTCGTCTCCTAGGCTCAAATGATCCTCCCTCAGCCTCCCAAGTTGCTGAGACTACAGGCACACACCACCACACCTAGCTAATTTTTGTATTTTTTGTAAAGATGGGGTTTTACCCAGGCTGGTCTTGAACTCCTGAACTCAAGTGATTTGCCTGCCTCGGCCTCCCAAAGTGGTAGGGTTACAGGCATGAGACACTGCGCCCAGCCTGCAATAAATAATACTTTTAAAATGTTAAGTTATCCCAAAATATAGAATCCAAAATAATTTCTTTCCATTTTAAACCTAAGCAAGTAGGTGATTTGTTGTTCTATACGTTTGTAGTGAATATTTGCCATTTGACCAATGACAAGTTTTTTGCAAGTCATGTCCCAAGTAGTTTTAGTACATGTCAATGGTTTATAAAAACATAAAAAGTAGGGCCAAATTCAGGAACCCCATCTGAGCTTGGAGAATATAAGTTCTTCTCTACTACTAACAAATAACAATGACAAAAGTTGTGGCAACTTTTAAAGCAAGCAAAAACAGAAAGTAAGGAGCATATGGTAAGTTCTCCAATGCTAAAAGCAGGCATTGCAGCTGCTCTACTTGCAGCCTTAGAGTATGGTAGAAAATAAATAAAACAGGCCAGGTGCAGTGGCTCATGCTTGTAATCCCAGAACTTTAGGAGGCAGAGGCAGGAAGATTGTTTGAGGCCAGGAGTTCAATACTAGCCTGGGCAACATAGCAAGACATCCTGTCTATAAAAAAAAATTTTTTTTTTTAAATAGCTGGGCGTGGTGGTGCGTGCCCGTAGTTCCAGTTACATGGGAGGCTGAGCTTGAGCCTCAAGGATTGCTTGAACCTAGGAGTTCTAGGCTGCCGTGAGCTATGATCACACCAGTGTACTCCAGCCTGGGCAACAGAGCAAGCCCTGTGAGACAGGAAAGGAAAGGAAAGGAGAGGAAAAGAGAGGAAAGGAGAGGAAAGGAGAGGGAAGGGAAAGGGAAGGGAGAGGGAAGGGAGAGGGAAGGGAGAGGGAAGGGAGAGGGAAGGGAGAGGGAAGGGAGAGGGAAGGGGGAAAGGGGGAAGGGAAGGGAGAGGGAGAGGGAGAGGGAGAGGGAGAGGGAGGAAGTCATTGTCATTTAAATGCGAAGCTATAATGGACATTATTCAAGAAGCTGTTTCTTGTGTATACTAACAAATACCCTAGAGACATGGAAGAGAACAAGCAGCTACAGAAGGAATCCAACTTTAAAGAAAAGTTAAAAGAAAAGAAGATAGAGCCCTCTCTGCAGCCTGGCCCATTAGGGTGTAAAAGCGTCTGAGGTCGGAATTCTGACTAACGCTTCAACTTCCACGGATAGGCAGCAAGCCAAAGGGATCCTTGTTTTCATAGAAAGTCTTCCCCAAACCCAAGTGGACACCCAATTCAGAGACCATGAAGTGAAACTGATGTAGAAACTCCCTGGAAGGTTTCACTGGGGACAAACACTGGATTATTAAGATTAGCCTGGGCCATGAAAATATCCTACTAGAAGCATTGTGAGCTGAATCCAGCTGCCCTGGCTTCAAATCCTGTCAGAGATGGACTCTGACATGGGGTAGATTATGAGCCCACAGCCACCAGGAAGAACCAGTCACAGGCAAGAGCTTTTAGCCCTGCCCAGAGGTAAAGGACCACCAAGCTCCAGAAAGCAGCAGACAAGTGTCCTCCAGGAACTGAGAGACTCAGCCTGCAATTGTGTGCTAATAATTACCCCTGGCTTTTTTGTTTTTTAAAGAAAATAAGTTGTAAATCTCAGCACTTTGGGAGGCCGAGGCAGGTGGATCGCTTGAGCCCAGGAGTTTGAGACCAGCCTGGACAACATAGTGAAACCCTGCATCTATTAAAAAAAAAAAAAAATCAGCCAGGTGTGGTGGCACGTGCCTCTAGTCCCAGCTACTCAGGAGGCTGAGGTGGGAGGACCACTTGAGCCCAGGAGGTTGAGGCTGCAGTGAGCCAAGAACGCACCACTGCACTCCAGCCTGGGTGACAGACCTTGTCTTAAAAAAAAAAAAAAGAAAAAGAAAAGGAAAAGAAAGAAAAAAGGTAAATTGATTTCCAGACCTTAGAGGGAAATTGAACACACCTAATATTTTCCTTTGTATCAAAGCCAAGGCAGGGCTATGAGCCTTGTTCATCCAGACTCCACTGAAAGGAGCTGGCAGGAGTGCCAGGAAGTTCATGTGGGGCTCATTTCCCAAGGCCCGAACCCCACGGAGGCGATGGCTTCCGAAGTGATGTTGGTGAGACATCACACTCCACTAACTTCGTGACTGATACTCAGTTGTCCTGCCTGTGACAGTGTTTGCTCCATCAGTTCTGATGAAGAATGAACGTGTGTTTACATTTAGGAAATTTCTCCATTTAGGTATGTTTACACTTACATCACTTCAAGTGGCTTTCTAGATTTTGGCCAAATAAAATGATGTATACTAAAGCTAACCATACACATACCCTAGCAGCCAACATCCACTCCTAGATATATTCTCAACAGAAATGTCCACAGATAATGCACAAAAAACAAACCCAAAAGTGTTCATAGCAGCATTATTCATAACAGCCAAAATCCCTGGAAGCAATACAAATGTACATCAATAATAGAATGAATAAATAAATAGTTGACATATTCCTACAAGAGACTATGGTTGACTTATGTACAGTGTAAAATAAACCAGACAAAAACGAGTGCATACAGTGTGGTTGATTCCATTTATATAAAGTTCAGAACTGGGCAAACAAATGTATGGTGTTAAGAGTCAGAATAGTGGTTATCTTTGAGGAAGAGAGTGAGTGTGGTAGCTGGGAGGGGCTTTGAGGGGCTTCCAGGGTGATGGTGATCTTCTATTTCTCAACCTTGTTGGTGTTATAGAAGGGATGTTACCTTTGAAAATTCATTGAGCACTTAAGATATGCTTGCTTTTCTGTATCTGTTGTATATTGATAAAAACTGCATTTTAAAATAAAAATTTTAGTGTCTTTTAATCATCTATATGGTAACTGTTGCTAGGGACCAGTATATTATTGTAGAAAATTCTGGAAAACGATGGACTTTCCAGGTGTACTGTTGATATATCTGGAGAGCACCCACTTTATGACAATGGTGACTATTATGGTTTGGTATTGTTGACATCTGAAGCCCTAAGTCTTACACCTAACTTAAATTTGGGTAGTGGTCTTACCATGTTGTTTAACAACCTAATCTTGGAGTTTCAAGTAATTCCAGATACTCACTTTGAACGCAGGACAGGAAGGTCTAGCCTACTGATGACCTGGATCTAGGCAATTGGTCCTCCCTTCATGTCTTACTTTGGAATTGAACCCATTATTCTAAAAGTACACCTGGGACCTCTTTACCTTTAAGTGATTGATGACTCAGAGGTCACTGCACATCTTCAGAAGACAGGGCCTTAATGAATAAACCCAGGAGAGTAAAAAAACTCAGAGGTCTCAGGGAAGAAACTGAAATATTTCTTTAGAATGTTTTCCTTTGGGTTACTTCTTAAAAATTTAAACTTTGTCATGCCCTCCACCCCCAAAAAATGTATTATTCCTGTAGCGACTCTGTAGCTAAATAAAAGATACAAATATTGTCTTAATAATAAGAGTCTACGCTTTAAAAAAAAAACAACTTATTGGGATGTAATTTATTTACTATATATTTACCCATTGGCACTGTACATTTCAAAGATTTTCGTGCATTTCTAGAATTATGCAACTAACACCATAATCCAGTTTTAGAATAATTCTATCACCCCAAAAAGTTTTCTTGTGCTGATTTACAGTTAATCCTTGCTCCCACTCCCAGCACTAAGCAACCACTGTTTTGTTTTCTGTCACTAGAAATTCGCCTTTCTGTGGACCTTTTATATAAATGGACTCATACGGACGGGCGCAGTGGCTCACGCCTGTAATCCCAGCACTTTGAGAGGCTGAGCCGGGTGAATCACGAAGTCAGGAGTTCGAGACCAGCCTGGCCAACATGGTGAAACCCCATCTCTACTAAAAATACAAAAATTAGCCAGGCATGGTGGTGGGTTCCTGTAATCCCAGCTACTCGGGAAGCCGAGGCACGAGAATTGCTTGAACCCGGGAGGTGGAAGTTGCAGTGAGCTGAGATCATGCATGCCACTGCACTCCACCCTGAGTGACAGAGTGAGATTCCGTCTCAAAAAATAAATAAATAAAAATTGAAAAAGAAAATGGACTCATACAATGCAGTCTGTTATGTCTGGTTTCTTCCACTTAGCACGCTGCTTCCAAGGTCCACTCGTGTTTCCACATGTATCAATACTTCATCTCTTCTAATTACTGAATAACATCCCATTGTATGGACATACCACATTTTATTTATCCAGCCACCAGTTAATGTATATTTGGATGATTTCCAGTGTGAGATTGTTATGAATAGCGCTACTATAAACATTCACGTACATGTCTTTGTGTGGACTAATGTTTTTATTTGTCTTGGGTAGATTCCTAGGAGTGGAATAGCTAGGTTCTATGGTGAATTTATGTTTAGCTTTTTTATTTTCTTTCAGACAGGGCCATGCTTTATCACTCAGGCTGGAGTGCAGTGTTGCTATCATGGCTTACTCCAGTCTTGACCTCCCGGGCTCAAGTGATCCTCCTACCTAGGACTACAGGACTCACCACCATGCCTGGCTAATTAAAAAAAAATTTTTTTTGGCCAGGTGCGGTGGCGCACGCTGGTAATCCCAGCACTTTGGGAGGCTGAGGCGGGTGGAATCACAAGGTCAAGAGATCGAGACCATCCTGGCCAACATGGTGAAACCCCATCTCTACTAAAAATACAAAAATTAGCTGGGCGTGGTGGCGCGCACCTGTAATCCCAACTACTCGGGAGGCTGAGGCAGAAGAATCGCTTGAACCCAGGAGGCGGAGGTTGCAGTAAGCCGAGATCATGCCATGGCACTCCAGCCTGGTGACAGAGCAAGACTTCGTCTCAAAAAAAAAGAAAAAAAATTTGTAGAGATGGGGTCTCCACATGTTGCCCAGGTTGGTCTGAACTCCTGGGCTCAAGCAAACCTCCTGCTTCAGCCTCCCAAAGTGCTAGGATTACAGGCGTGAGCCACAGTGCCCAGGCAGTTTTAGCTTTCTACTGAAACTGCCAGATTGTTTTCCAAAATGGTTGTACTGTTTATACATTTCCACCAATAATATAATATGAGGATTCTAGTTTCTCCACATCCCTGCCAACACTTCTTATTTAAAATTGTGATCCAGGTTGGGCATGATGGCTTATGCCTGTAATCCTACCACTTTTGGAGGCCGAGGCAGGCAGATCACTTGAGGTCAGGAGTTTGAGACCAGCCTGATTAACATGGCGAAACCCTGTCTCTACTAAAAAAAAAAAAAAAAAAAAAAAATTAGCTGGGTGTGGTGGTGCATTCCTGTATTCCCAGCTACTCAGGAGGCTGAGGCAGGAGAATTGCTTGAATCTGGGAGGCGGAGGTTGCAGTGAGCCGAGATCACACCACTGCACTCCAGCCTGAGTGACAGCAAGACTCCGTCTCAAAAAAAATAAAATAAATAAAATAAAACAAAATAAAATTGTGATCCAGCATTCTCATTTCTGGGTATTTACCCAAAAGATTTGAAATCAGTATGTCAAAGAGATGTCTGTGCTCCCATTTTCACTGCAGCACTATTTACACTAGCCAAATTATGGAACCAATCTAAATGTCCATCAATAGATGAACAAATAAAGAAAATGTAACATATATCCACAATGGAATTTTAGTCTTAAAAAAGGAAAGAAATTCTCTCATTAACAACAACATGGATGAAATTGGAAGACATGGGCAGGACGCAGTGGCTCATGCCTGTAATCCCAGCACTTTGGGAGGCAGAGGCGGGTGGATCACCTGAGGTCAGGAGTTTGAGACCAGCCTGGCCAACATGGTGAAACCCTGTCTCTACTAAAGATACAAAAAAATTAGCCATGGTGGTGGGTGCCTGTAATCCCAGCTACTTAGGAGGCTGAGGTAGGATAATCACTTCCGGGAGGTGGAGGTTGCAGTGAGCCGAGATCATGCCATTGCACTCTAGCCTGGGGAACAAGTCTCAAAAAAAAAGAAATCAGAAGACATGACGTTAAGTGTAATAAGCCACACACAGAAAAACAAATACCACGTGATCTTACTTATGTATGTGTGATGGTTGATACTGAGTGTCAACTTGATTGGATTGAAGGATGCAAAGTACTGATCCTGGGTGTGTCTGTGAGGGTGTTGCCAAAGGAGATTAACATTTGAGTCAGTGGGCTGGGAAAGGCAGACCCACCCTTAATCTGGGTGGCCACCATCTAATTGGCTGCCAGTGTGGCTAGAATATAAAGCACGCAGAAAAATATGAAAAGACTAGACTGGCCCAGCCTTCCAGCCTACATCTTTCTCTCATGCTGGATGCTTCCTGCCCTCAAACATTGGACTCCAAGTTCTTCAGTTTTGGAACTCCAACTGGCTCTTCTTCTTCCTAAGCCTGCAGAAGGCCTACTGCGGGACCTTGTGATTATGTGAGTTAATATTTAATAATCTCCCTGATATATATATATATATATATATATATATATATATATATATATATACACACACACACACACATACACACACACACACTATATATATACTATATATATACACTATATATACACTATATATATACTATATATATACACTATATATACACTATATATATTCTATGTATATTCTATATATATATTCTATGTATATATTCTATGTATATATTCTATGTATATTCTATATATATTCTATGTATATATTCTATATATATTCTATATATATTCTATGTATGTATTCTATGTATATATTCTATATATGTATTCTATGTATATATTCTATATATATATTCTATGTATATATTCTATATATATATCTCCTATTAGCTCTGTCCCTCTAGAGAACCCTGACTAATATAATGTGGAATCTAAAACAATAGCCTCATAGAAGCATAGAGTAGGATGGTGATTACCAGAGGCTGGGGGCTGGAGGGAATGGGTAAATGATGGTCAGAGGCTACTACAAAGCCTCTGTTAGGCAGGAGAAATAAGGGGTTTTTTGCAATCTATTACACAGCATAGTAAGTTTAGTTAATAATAGTGTATTGTACATTTCAAAATTGCTAAGAGAGTAAAATTTCAAATGTTCTCTCCACAAAAGAAGTTTGAGGTGATGAATAGTTAATTCACTTGATTTAATTATCCCAAGTTGTATTTGTAAATCATAACATCACTTTGTACCCCATAAATATGTACAACTATAGTTTGTCAATTTACAATAATAATATTTTAATAAATAAATAAATAAAATTGTATCCATTCTAACAGTGATGTAGAAGTATCTTACTGTGTTTTAATTTGCATTTCTGTAATGGCATTGAACATCTTTTTGAAATATTTGAAACTATAAAATCAAATCTGTTTGTAATGATTACCAAGTAATGATGCAATAGAATATTAAAATAGTACTGTATTTTTTATTTGTCCAGCAACTGCCTTCTAAGGCAGTCAGAACTGTTTGTATCTTTTTATTATCCATCATTTTCATGATCATCATCACAAAGTACCTATTTATGCATTGGCCTTTCACCAGCAGTTCTGCAAAAATGAGTCACGCAGACATGATTCATGCTCTGCAGGACAGTAGCAAATTCTTCCTCTGGTGGTTTCTGTATAGGACAGTTTTTCTCTTCTTTGATATATTACCCTTCTATCACAGAATAAACAGGTGACAAAAATAAACTGCTCATGCCAGGCACGGTGGCTCACGCCTGTAATCCCAGGGCTGTGGGAGATCGAGGCAAGAGCATCACTTGAGTCAAGGAGTTTTGAGACCAGCCTGGGTAACATAGCAAGACTCTGTCCCTACAAAAAATAAAACGATGAGCAGGGCATGATGGTTGCACCTGTAGTCCCAGATACTCAGGAAGCTGAGACGGGAGAATCACTTGAGTCTAGGAGTTCGAGACTACAGTGAGCTGATTGCTCCACTGAACTCCAGCCTGGGCGATGGAGCAAGACCCTGTCTCTAAAAATTAAATAAACTGCTCAAGGAAACAAACATAAAACCTCTTTCAGTTCAGTCGATTGTTCAGGGTCCAAAATAATAGAAAACAATCTTAGTAAAATCTATAATTGGCATGGTAGGGATGTACGATAGAAGCAGATAAAGAGTAGCGACAGGTGGCCCGTGGTCAGTGTAAGTAAAACCTGGTGAAGGATGCTACCCCAGAGGAAGGGAGGTCAGGGAGGGGGGGCCATGCTCCCTGCTGAGAAGGAGCATTTGTAGGATGTGGGTTCTGTTCTCCAATCTGACGCTTTCTGTAATTAAATTTTCTCTGTATGTAAAGAGATGAGATGAGTTGAAGCCTTGGTAAGTTCATAGATCCTTCAGAAGAGAATTATTAGACTTCTCCAGGATCTTCTTAAGAGATTGAATTCCTAAGCCAGGCATGGTGGCTCATGCCTATAATCCCAGCACTTTGGGAGGCCGAGGTGGATGGATCACCTCAGGTCAGGAGTTTGAGACTAGCTTGGCTAACATGGTGAAACCCCGTCTCTACTAAAAATACAAAAATCAGCCAGGCATGATGGTGCATGCCTGTAGTCCCAGCTACTTGGGAGGCTGAGGCAGGAGAATTGCTTTAGCCCAGGAAGGGTGGAGGTTGCACTGAGCAGAGATCTCACCACTGCACCTTGGCCTGGGCAACAGAGTGAGACGGTGTCTAAGAAAAAATAAAAATACAAAAATTAGCCAGGCGTGGTGGTGCATGCCTGTAATCCCAGCTATTCGGGAGGCTGAGGCAGGAGAATTGCTTGAACCCAGGAGAGGGAGGTTGCAGTGAGCCAAGATCATGCCACTGCACTCCAGCCTGGGTGACAGCACAAGACTCCATCTTAAAAAAACGGGGGTGGATTGAATTCCCAGGTCCCCTTTCACATTTCCAAGTCACATCCGATTCCCAAATGAAGTAAGCTTCTATATCTTGTTACAAAATCCCAATTTAGGAAGAAGAAAGAGCCCACTGACTCTGGTCACTTTCTGGACACAACAGCACCCCTAAGCTCTGGTTCATTAGTAAAGATCGCAAAGAAAAGAACAGCCTGTTTGGTAACTTTGTTCTTTTCCTCTAAAACTTCGTGGTCCATGCCCTCCACTCTTCAGTTTTTAAACTATTTTCAGGCTGAAGGACACCAAACATATGAGGGGAAGACATAAAAACTATCTTCTTGCTACTTCTCCTAGAAATACACCAAATGGCCGGGCGCCGTGGCTCATGCCTGTAATCCCAGTACTTTGGGGAGGCTGAGGCAGGTGGATCACTTGAGCTCAGGAATTCAAGACCAGCCTGGGCAACATGGTGAAAACCCATCTCTACAAAAAATACAAAAATCAGCCAGATGTGGTGGCACATGCCTTTAGTCCCGGCTATTTGGGAGGCTGAGGCAGGATGATCGCTTGAGCCCGGGAGGTGGAGGCTGCAATGAGTTGTGGTGGCACCACTGCACTCCAGCCTGGGTGACACAGTGAGACCCTGTCTCAACAAAAAAAAAGAAAGAAGGAAAGGAAGGAAGGAAGGAAGGAAGGAAGGGAAAAGAAAGAAAGAGAAAGAAAGAAAGAAAAAAAAAGAAAGAAAAAGAAAGAAAGGAAAGGAAGAAAAGAAAGAAAGAGAAAGAAAGAAAGAAAGAAAGAGAAAGAAATAAAGAAAAAGAAAAGAAAAGAAAAAGAAATGCATTCAGTATGGGTCCATATGTCCACCAACAGCCATCGACAGGAATGGTCAAGGCAGTGTTATTTCTGATAACCACAAACCGGAAACTAACCAATTGTCAATAGGACAGTGAATACATTGACACAACAGAGTTCTACTCAGCAATGAGAACGAGCTGCCTACAGCTTCACATCACAGTTTGGCTGATTCTCCCAAGCACAATGTTAAGGATGGAAGCCAGACACAGAAGAGCACATACCATTTGGTCCCTTTGATACCAAGTTCAAAACCAGACAAATCGTATCTACGGTTTTAGAGGCATGGAGACTGGAAGAGAGTGCAAGGGGTTATCCTAGGCGACCAGTTGTGCTCTGTTTTTGATCTGGGTACTGCTTACATGAGCATATTAACTTTGCAAATTATATCAAGTATACGATTTATGTAGTTTCTATAGGTGTATTATTCTGTAATAGAAAGTTTACATTGGGCCAGGCCCAGTGGCTTATGCCTGTAATCCCAGCACTTTGGGAGGCTGAGGAAGGCAATAGCTTGAGCCAGGGAGGTCAAGGCCACAGTGAGCTGTGACTGCACCACTGCACTCTAGCTGAGGTGACAGGGTGTGACCCTGTCTGATATGATTTGGCTGTGTCCCCACCCAAATCTCATCTTGAATTGTAGTTCCCATAATCCCCACTTGTCATGGGAGGGACCTGGTGGGAGGTAATTGAATCATGAGGGTGGGTACCCTCATGCTGTTCTCGTGATAGTGTGTTCTCACGAGATCTGACGGTTTTTGTTTTGTTTTGTTTTGTTTTGAGACAGAGTTTTGCTCTTGCTGCCCAGGCTGGAGCGCAATGGCACGATCTTGGCTCACCACAACCTCCGCCTCCCAAGTTCAAGTGATTCTCCTGCCTCAGCCTCCCAAGTAGCTGGGATTACAGGCATGCACCACCACGCCTGGCTAATTTTGTATCTTTAGTAGAGACAGGGTTTCTCCATGTTGGTCAGGCTGGTCTCAAACTCCGGACCTCAGGTGATCTGCCCGCCTCAGCCTCCCAAAGTGCTGGGATTACAGGTGTGAGCCACCATGCCCAGCTATCTGATGGTTTTATAATGGGTTTTTCCCCATTTGCTCGGCAATTCTCCTTGCTGCTGCCATGTGAAGAAGGATGTGTTTGCTTCCCCTTCCACCATAATTGTAAGTTTCCTGAGGCCTCCCCAGCCATGCTGAACTGTGAGTCAATTAAACCTCTAACCTTTATAAATTACCCAGTCTCGGGTATGTCTTTATAGCAGCACGAGAACGGACTAATGCTGAGACGCTGTCTCGAAAAATAAATAAAATAAAATAAAATAAATACAAAATATAAAAAAAATTAAAAGTTTACATGGAAAAACTAGCCTAGAAAGAAGGATGGTTTTATTTCCTTGATGTTAATATTTGTAACAAAATTGCTATGACTTTCCCTCTAAAAAATGTGCTCTTCAAATACACCTCTGGAATATAAAGAGAAAGAATAATCTTATATATAATTTCAGGGAGCAGTTTTATACCTTACTTTAACATATAATTTCAGGGAGCATTTTATACCTTACTTTTCATGCCTTACTTTAACATCTACCTGAAATAGTCTAAAACTCCTCTGTGTGGTGCCCACCAGAATTTACTCCTAAGTCCTAAAAAGAACAGTTCGTGAGTGAATTGGCTTGTTGGTGGTACAGATTTTACTTTTTTGCAGTCTTCTTTGATAACAAACGTTCTATTCTCTCTGCATGAAGACAGTGCTACTGAAAACGCATGTGCCCCATGCAGTGGAGCGTTCCTGCAGAGCATAATGAGTGGGATGCTTTGAGCCCCTGCTGGCCCATCTTTGGGGGCACTGTCACTCTCTAGGCCAACAGCAGAAATTTGCAAAACAAGGATTTGCTTATTTCTTTATTCAGAATAAATTGTTCTCTGAGCCGAGGTAATTGGATTGTAACGAAATCAAGGCTGTGCTGGTGACAGCATCAATGCTGTGCCCTCACCACAGTCGACGTGCACAGCCCAGGCGAGTGTGGAAAGGGACCATGGTTTGGTGGGGACAGGGTGCAGTATTGAGACTTCTGGGCTTTTTTTTAATCTAAATTTTTTTTTAAGTTTTAAAAGATAATTTAGAAGCCAAATTAAAAAAAAACATATTTTATGATTCCACTTTTATGAAATGTCCAGGAGAGGGAGATCCAGAGAGACAGAAAGTTGAGTGGCTGCCAGGGCCTGGAGGATATGGGAGTGTCTACTAATGGATATGAGATTTCTTTCTGGGATGATGAAAATGATCTGAGATTAGTGGTGATGCTCGTACACTTCTGTGAATACACAAAAAAGATGCTGAACTGTACAGTTTTTTTGTTTTTTTTTTGGAGATGGTCTCAGTCTCACTCTGTCACCCAGGATGGAGTGCAGTGGTGTGATCATAGCCCACTGCAACCTCAACCTCCCAGGCTCAAGCAATCCTCCCACCTCAGCCACCCGAGTAGCTGGGACTACAGGCTCACACCACCACACCCAGCTAATTTTTGTATTTCTTGTAGTGACAGGGTTTCACCATGTTACCCAGGCTGGTCTCAAGCTCCAGGTCTCAAGAGATCCTCCCGCCTCTGGCTTCTGAAGTGCTGGGAGTACAGGCATGAGCCACTGTGCCCAGCCTGAACTGTACACTTTAAAAGGGTGAATTTTGGCCGGGTGCGGTGGCTCATGCCTGTAATCCCAGCACTTTGGGAGGCCAAGATGGGTGGATCACCTGAGGCGGGGAGTTTGAGACTTGCCTCACCAACATGGAGAGGCCCCATCTCTACTAAAAATACAAAATTAGCCAGACATGGTGGCGCACTCCTGTAATCCCAACTACTTGGGAGGCTGAGGCAGGAGAATCGCTTGAACCTGGGAGGCAGAGGTTGCTGTGAGCCGAGGTCACGCCATTGCACTCTAGCCTGGGCAACAAGAGTGAAACTCGGTCTCAAAAAAAAGGTGAATTTTATCGTATGTGAATTACATCACAATTTAAAATTTAAAATTTTTCTGGGTGAATGTGGTGGCTCATGCCTGTAATCCCAACACTTTGGGAGGCCAAGGCAAGAGGATCACTTGAGGCCAGGAGTTTGAGACCAGCTTGCACAACATAGTGAGGTCCTATCTACACACACACACACACACACACACATACACACACACAAAATAATAAGGCATGGTGGCACATACCTGTAGTACCAGCTACTCAGAAAGCTGAGGTGGGAGGATTGCTTGAGGCCAGGAGTTCAAGCCTGCAGTGACCCGTGATCGCACCACTGGACTCCAGCCTGGACAACACATTGAGACCCTGTCTCTCTAAAACAAAACAAAACAAACAAAATTCTTCCCAAGAAACTGGATTGAAAATAATATAGATAATGCAAGCTCAAGCAAACCACAAACAAATGTCAAGGCTAATATTTCTGTCTTTATTGCAAGCTCATCATCAGCCACATAACAAGCTAAAAGAGATCTGGCAAAAAGTTGGCAAAAAGTTAGCAAAAATAATTAACATTATCAAGAAAAATAATTGAATTGTTAACATCTTTTATCATTGGACCTCAAGCAAAGCATACATTTTACTGTAGATACTGTCAATTGTGTTTAAAAATCATGTGATCCTCAACACCAGATCACACAAAATTTCACTCAACTTAATGACAAATGTTTAACGGTGTGTTAAACAGCATGTTTTGCAATTCCATGTTTATTATAGAAGTTTAAAAAATATTAGAAAACACTGTCTTCCTACCACAGTAAAACTGGTTAAAATAGCAAATAGGAAACACTATGGCAAGAAATTGAAATGCATTCTTTTGTAAGAAAATCTATTGGAAGACTCAAAGAAGATGTGGCTGGAGATTTGAATAAACCATTATTACATCAAATCACGCAGCGTAGGAGGTTTGAGTACAGCTGGGTGAAAGTGCAGATATTTCTAGCATGTTCCAGCTTGTGGTATTTGCAAAATTCTGTTTCAATAATGAAATTCATTAGGAGCTACTTTTTGTGAGCCACTGAAAGAAAGATGTGTCAAACGAGTCAGCCTCAACCATAAATTACCTTTTAAAAAATGGATATTTTATAGAAAACCTAGCTAAGTATAACCATTGTTGGAGCAGCCATTTTGATTAGAATGCTAAAATGATTCCAGAGAAAACACATAGAGATGTCACCACGTGTGAAATCCATGTACTGCACCGTTATTAGGCAAGCTGTTGCAGGAAAGAAATGGAAGGGGATGGAGGAAGATGCAGACTGTGGAGAGTGGGGAAGGCTGGGCTGTTTAATGCCAACAGCCGTTCCTCAGCTCCAGCTGATTGATTCCTTGCAGGAACACATGCAAACACTGCCAGAGATCCAGATTTTTAAAGAGAAATCACCTGATTTTTAAAATCCAAGAGATAGGAACCCAAAATTGGTCTTTCGAAGAGCAGTCTTCTCTCTCTCTCTCCCCATTCGTGTTTTGCTGTAGAATGATAGGCTAGTGGTAATCTTCTGACTTCTTCAGGAAGGTTATACAATGGGGTTCATTTTAAAACACTTTGGGAGGCCACAGAGGGAGAATCACGTGATGCCAGGAGTTGAAGACTAGCCTGGTAACACAGAGAGACCCCCATCTCTGCAAAAATGTAAAAATTAGCTGGGCATGGTGGCGAATACCTGTAATCACAGCTACTCAGGAGGCAGAGGTGGGTGGATTGCTTGAGCTCAGGAATTTGAGGTTGCAATGAGCTATGATATATACATATGATCTATATAGGCTGGGTGCAGTGGCTCACACCCGTAATCCCAGCACTTTAGGAGGCTGAAGTCAGCGGATTGACCTGAACTCAGGAGGTAGAGACCAGCCTGGGCAACATGGCGAACCCCATCTCTATTAAAAATACAAAAAAAAAAAATTAGCTGGGCGTGGTGGCAGGTGCCTGTAATCCCAGCTACTTGGGAGGCTGAAGCAGGAGAATCACTTGAACCTGTGAAGCAGAGGTTGCAGTGAGCCGAGGTCACACCACTGTACTCCAGCCTGGGCAACAGTGAGACCCTGCTTCAAAAAAAAAAAAAAAAAGAAGAAGAAAAAAAAAGAGTAAAAAAGGAAAAATAAATAAACTTGGATTCACATCAAGAGAAGATTTATTCATCAACTTTCAGTAAAAACTTCTTCAAAATTGGTGGATGTGACTGAAAAGTATAATTTAGTAAGTGCATGCTATATTTCTTTTATTTGAATCCATGCTTCTCTGTGAGGTGGCTTAAATATTATATATATGTACACAGTATACATTATTTAGTATATATATTTATTTCATGAGAATAAAAGGATTTAAGAACTATTAATAATTTAAATGCTTATCAGGCAAGATAAAGAAATAAAGAGCATCTCCAAATGGAAAGAGAGGAAGTCAAGCTATCTTTGCAGATGGCATGATCCTGTATCTAGAAAACTCTAAAGTCTCGGCCAAAAAGCTCCTTCAGCTGATAAACAACTTCAGCAAAGTCTCAGGATACAAAACCAATGTGCAAAAATCACCAGCATTCCTATACACCAACAACAGCCAGCAAGAGTCAAATTGGAATTCAATCCCATTCACAATCGCCACAAAAAGAATAAAATACCTAGGAATACAGCTAACCAGGGAAGTGAAAGATCTCTGCAATGAGAATTACAAAACCCTGCTCAAAGAAATCAGAAATGACACAAATAAATGGAAAAACATTCCATGTTCCTGGATAGGAAGAATATCATTAAAATGGCTATACTGCCCAAAGCAATTTCTAGGTTCAACGTTATTCCCTTTTTTTTTTCTTTGAGACAGAGTCTCATTCTGTCGCCCAGGCTGGAGTGCAGTGGCGCGATCTCGGCTGACTGCAAGCTTTGCCTCTTGGGTTCACACCATTCTCCTGCCTCAGCCTCCCAAGTAGCTGGGACTTCAGGCGCCTGCCACCACACCCGGCTAATTTGTTGTATGTTTAGTGGAGACGGGGTTTCACCGTGTTAGCCAGGATGGACTTGATCTCCTGACCTTGTGATCCACCCGCCTCGGCCTCTCAAAGTGCTGGGATTACAGGCGTGAGCCACCGCGCCCGGCCAATTCAACGTTATTCTATCAAACTTCCAATGACATTCTTCATAGAACTAGAAAAAACTATTTTAAAAATTCATATGGAACAAAAAAAAGAGCCCAAATAGTGAAGGCAATCCTAAGTAAAAAGAACAAAGCTGGGGACATTACCCTACCTGACATCAAGCCAAACTACAGGGTTACAGTAACCAAAACAACATGGTACTGGTACAAAAACAGACACATAGACGGATGGAACAGAATAGAGAGCCCAGAAATAAGGCCACACACCTATAACCATCTGATCTTTAACAAAGGTGACCAAAAAAAAAAAAAAAAAAAAAAAGCAATGGGGAAAGGACTCCCTATTTAATAAATGGTGCTGGGATAACTGGCTAGCCATATGTAGAAGATTGAAACTGGACCCCTTCCTTATACCATATACAAAAATCATCTCAAGATGGATTAAAGACTTACATGTAAAACCTAGAACTATAAAAACCCCGGAAGACAACCTAGGCAATATCATTCTGGACATAGGAATAGGCAAAGGTTTCATGACAAAGATGCCAAAAGCAAAGCCCAGTGTGGTGGCTCATGCCTGTAATCCCAGCACTCTGGGAGGCCAAGGCAGGCAGATCACTTGAGGTCAGGAGTTTGAGACCAGCCTGGCTAACATGGTGGAACCCCATCTTTACTAAAAATACAAAAATTAGCTGGGTGTGGTGGTGGGCACCTATAATCCCAGCTACTCAAGAGGCTGAGGCAAGAGAATCACTTGAGCCCAGGACGCAGAGATTGCAGTGAGCCTAGATCACACCACTCCACTCCAGCCTGGGTTACAGAGCAAGACTCTGTCTTAAAAAAAAAAAAAAAGAAAAGAAAAAGAGATGCCAAAAGCAATTGTAACAAAAGCAAAAATTGACAAATGGGATCTATTAAACTAAAGAGCTTCTGCACAGCAAAAGAAACTATCATCAGAGTAAGAAGACAACCTAGAGAATGGGAGAGAAATTTTGCAAACTATACATTGGACAAAGGTCCAATATCTAACATCTATAAGGTACTTAAACAAATTTGCAAGAGAAAAAAACAAACAACTCCATTAAAAAGTGGGAAAAGGGCTTGAATAGACACTTCTCAAAAGAAGACATAAATGTGGCCAACATGAAAAAAAGCTCAACATCACTGATCATTAGAGAAATGCAAATCAAAACCATAAGATACCATCACACACCAGTCAGAATGGCTATTGTTAAAAAGCAAACAAAACAAAACAAAACAAAACAAAAACAGATTCTAGTGAGGTTGCAGAGAAAAGGGAACGCTTATACACTGTTGGTAGGAAAGTAAATTAGTTCAACTATTGTGGAAAGCAGAGTGGAGAATCCTCAAAGATCTCAAAACAGAACTACCATTCGACCCAGCAATCCCATTACTGGGTATATACCCAAAGGAATATAAATCATTCTACCATAAAGACACGCACTGGAATCAGTCTAAATGCCCATCAATGGCAGATTGCATAAAGAAAATGTGGAATATTATGCAGCCATAAAAAAGAACAAGATCGGCTGGGCGCGGTGGCTCACGCCTGTAATCCCAGCACTTTGGGAGGCTGAGGCGGGCGGATCACGAGGTCAGGAGATCGAGACCATCCTGGCTAACACAGTGAAACCCCGTCTCTACTAAAAATACAAAAAAAATCAGCCGGGCCTGGTGGCAGGCGCCTGTCGTCCCAGCTACTCGGGAGGCTGAGGCAGAATGGCATGAACCTGGGAGGCGGAACTTGCAGTGAACTGAGATTGTGCCACTGCACTCCAGCCTGGGCGACAGAGCTAGACTCTGTCTCAAAAAAAAAAAGAACAACATCATGTCTTTTGCAGGAACGTGGATGGATTTGGAGGCCGTTATCCTTAGCAAACTGACACAGGAATAGGGAAGAAAGCACGGTATATCCTCACTTATAAGTGGGAGCTAAACGACGAGAACTCGTGCACACAAAGAGGGGAACAACAGATGCTAGGGCCTACTTGAGGATGGAGGGAGGAGGGAGAGGAGCAGAAAAAATAATTATTGAGTACTAGGCTTAATACCTGGACGATGAAATAATCCGTACAACAAACCCCTGTGACACGAGTTTACCTGTATAACAAAACTTCACATGTACCCCAAACCTAAAATAAAAATTATTTTAAAAAGACACAAACACGTGTATGTTCATTGCAACACTGTTCACAGTAGCAAAGACATGGAATCAACCTAAATGCCCATCAATGGTAGACTGGACAGAGAAAATGTGGTACATATACACCATGGAATATTTCGCAGCCATAAAAAGGAACAAGATCATATCCTTTGCAGGAGTGTGGATGGAGCTGGAGACCATTATCCTTAGCAAACTAATGCAGGAATAGAAAACCAAATACTGCATGTTCTCATTTACAAGTGTGAGCTAAATGATGAGAACACATGGACACACAGAGAGGAACAACGCACATTTGGGGCCCATAGGAGGGTGGTGGGTGGAAGGAAGGAGAGGATCAGAAAAAATAACAAATGGGTACTAGGCTTAATACCTGGGTGATGAAATAATCTGTATAAAAAGACCCCATGATATGCATTTACCTATGTAACAAACCTGCACATGTACCTCTGAACTTAAAATACAAGTTTTAAAAAGTGATGAAATTGCTTATTTGCTTTTTTTTTTTTTTTTTTTGTAGAGATGTGGTCTTGCTATGTTGCCCAGGCTGGTCACAAGTGATCCTCCAGCCTTGGCCTCCCAAAGTGCTGGGATTACAGGTGTAAGCCACCATGCCCAACTTGGGCTTTCCTTTAAAATATACGTCTTGTGTATATTTTGTAATGCGCAATATATTATCCCAATAGTACATGTTGGTTGAACCATATGAAATTGCCTTTTTTTGTAGGTTAAAAATGGTAAAGCATCAGCAATTTCAAATGGCTCAACATAACATATAATTCATAAGTGAATATATGTTAGGGGGCAGGCACACATTTTTAATTTTGTATTTTGTTGAGGTGGAGTCTCACTCTGTTGCCCAGGCTGGAGTGCAGTGCTGCAATCATAGCCCACTGCAACCTTGAACTCCTAGGCTCCAGCATCTCCCACCTCAGGCTCCTGAGTTGCTGGGACTATAGTAACACACCACTGCACCTGGCTAGCTTTTTAATTTTTTGTTGAGGAGGAGGTCTCCCTCTGTTGCCCAGGCTGGTCTCAAACTCCTGGGCTCAAGTGATCCTCCTGCCTCAGCCTCCCAAAGTGCTGTTATTACAGGCATGAGCTACCATGCTCAGCTACATTTTTTAAGTGAGAGGGATACATGACCAAAACCCTGGAGCTCTTAGGTTTGAGACTTTTAGTTAATTCACGTAATTGTAACAATCAGAGAGCTAAGGAGGCCCCAAGCTCACCATATCCTTGCTATCAAAAATGTCTGACCCACAGTATATGTGATTCCATTGCTAGCCATAGCTAAAGTGCCTTGTTTTGTATTTGCACTAAGCTGGCCAGATTCTAAGTAATTTAGAATTAATGTAATGTAAAACTATCATACAGCATATATTAATCAACTTTTTTGAGCAGGGTCTCTTTCTGTCTCCCAAGCTGGAGTGCAGTGGTGTGATTTTGGCTCACTGCAGCCTCAACCTCCCCAGGCTCAGGTGATCCTCCCACCTCAGCCTCCCAAGTGGCTGAGACTACAGGCACGTGTCACCACGCCTGGTGAATTTTTTGTATTTTTAGTAGAGAAGGGGTTTCACCATGTCCAGGCAGGTCTCGACCTCCTGGACTCAAGTGATCCACCTGCCTCGGTCTCCCAAAGTGCTGGGATTACAGGGGTGAACCATCTCACCTGGCACACGCAGCATATTTTAAACTGTGGAGGTTGATGCCATCAGAATTTGGACTATGTTTGGTTTATTTAGGATAAACTCATTATTGGACCAGGCTTTATTTGTCAATAAAACTGATTTATCAAGAAAACTCAACAAAGTCAGATGTGATTATTTAGTTTTTATCTTAAGCATCACATGAAGGAGTGAGGATAAGACTTCTAGCATTTTTCTGTGAAAAGCCAGCAAAATTCGGGGTCATCTTAAATCCTTTCTGAAATTGACCCAGGTTTAATTGTTTTTAAGTCTGAAAAGATGTACTTTAAACAAGTAAAAGAAACAATAAAATATAATTTTTAATTTTTAAATGAAAAAGTAGCCAAATTTGTTCAAAACACAAAAAAGTAAACATTTTAAAAGAAAAAAAGGCCCAGAAAAGAAAAACACACAAAAAAGGAATTTTTCAAAAGACTGAAGCCATAAAACACAATTGATGTTTGTTATCTTTAGACAAAGGAAAGGGGGAAGAGCAGAATGTGATTTTACTTTGCAATGTGTACTTTCTATAGTGTTTGGATTGCTGAAAGTATTTCCATTCATTACTCCTACTTTTTAATATATTGGGCCTAGTATGGTGGCTCATTCCTGTAGTTCCAGTGCTTTAGGAGGCCTAGGTAAGACGATAGCTTGAGGCCAGGAGTTCAAGAGCAGCCTTGGCAATGTATTGAGAACCTGTATCTACAAAAAAAAAATTTTTTTTAATTAACTGGGTGGCTGGGCATGGTGGTTCATGCCTGTAATCCCAGCACCTTGGGAGGCCGAGGTGGGTGGATCACCTGAGGTCAGGAGTTTGAGACCAGCCTGGCCAACATGGTAAAACCCCATCTCTACTAAAAATACAAAATTAGCCAGGCTTGGTGGCACGTGCCGGTAATCCCAGCTACTCAGGAGGCCAAGGTAGGAGAATCGACTGAACCTGTGAGGCAGAGGTTGCAGTGAGCCGAGATTGTGCCATTGCACTCCAGCCTGGGTGACAAGAGCGAAACTCCGTCTCAAAAAACATTGCTGGGCATGGTGGCTCACGCCTGTTGTCCTACCTACTGCGAAGGCTGAGGTGGGAGGATTCCTTGAGCCCAGGAGTTCAAGGCTGCAGTGAGCTATTATTGAGCCACTGCACTCCAGCCAGGGACGGAGCAAGACCCTGTGTCTAAAATTTTAAAAAATAAAACAGAATACTGAAATAAAATAATAGGTTATAATTTTAAAAGAATTATTTTTAAAAACCATGAAAAATGAAAAAACCTTAAAGCAGAAACTATTTAATTCTAAAAATGTCTTAAGCAAAAAAGGGTGATTATCAAACATTCTTTCAAAATATTTATTTCAAGTAGAAATTGATATAATGTACTATATACAGGAAGACACCACATGTAAGATAAGTAAGTCAAAAAGTTTCAGGAATACACGTTTATCAAAATATTAAAAACTCAAAATAATTTTACATCAGATACTTTAATTAAAAATAGTGTTCATGGGTTAAGGGTAGGGTTAAAAAAATAAAAAATTAAAAAAGTAGTGTTCATCTATTAAAATACCAGGCCCCAAACAGTCACCAACTAAGAAGAGAGACGGTTCTACTCCCTATAAATTCATACACACAGGCCTCCTTATACAGTCATCACATACATTTTTATCTAATTGTCTCCTAAAAATCCCTATCTTTCTGTTACTCTTTTCTTTCTTTTTTTTTTTTTTTTTTTTTGAGACGGAGTTTCGCTCTTGTTGCCCAGGCTGGAATGCAATGGTGCGATCTCGACTCACGGCAACCTCCGCCTCCCGGGTTCTAGCCATTCTCCTGCCTCAGCCTCCCGAGTAGCTGGGATTACAGGCATGAGCCATCACGCCTGGCTAATTTTGTATTTTTAGTAGAGACAGAGTTTCTCCACGTTGGTCAGGCTGGTCCTTTTTGTTACTCTTATGGGAATTATTCGGCGGGTTAAAAAAATTTTTTTTTAATAAATACATTTTTTTTTGGCCGGGCTCAGTGGCTCACGCCTGTAATCCCAGCACTTTGGGAGGCCAAGGCGGGTGGATCACCTGAGGTCAGGAGTTCAAAGCCAGCCTGACCAACATGGTGAAACCGAGTCTCTACTAAAAATACAAAAAATTAGCCAGGCGTGGTAGCTCATGCCTGTAATCCCAGCTACTTGGGAGGCTGAGACAGGAGAATCACTTGAACCCAAGAAGTGGAGGTTGCAGTGAGCCGAGATTGTGTCACTGCACTCCAGCCTGGGAGACAAGAGCAAAACTCCGTCACAAAACCAAACCAAACCTTTTTTTCTTTTTTTTCCAAAATGCTACTAAGCAACTACATCTACCCTTGGATGATAGATTAAAATTGGAGTTTAATATCTGAATTATTTTTACAAAAGCAGAAATAGCTAAATAATGAGTCTCAGGTTAAGTAGGAGGTGGAGTGGGCGACTATCTAGGAAGAATTCATCACCTGATCAGTGAGTGACAATGCAGAAGGAGCTTTGAAAACTGGCTCTATGAGATAACAACTCTGTTGACATAGACCTTCTCTTTCTCCTAGAATCCTTTCTCAAAGGCATGCATGAGTGCACCAAAAACGAATTGCCAGGGGAAAGAAAAGTAAAAGCTGACTTTCTGTCATGAGTAGTGTGCAGGCCAGGGGCTGCCCGAGAAGCCTCTAGCCTCTGCACACTCAGCAGGGATGCGTAGTGTCCTGGCTCGGGTGTCCCCAAGAGAACGTGAGGGGCAGGTCCCAGAGCAGGGCCCAGGAGACAGAGACTGATTCATTTGGATGAGGAGCACTTGCCACCCCTTGAGGAGACACCTTGAGGGAGCGGACCCTCCCCCCAGTGGTCACCCCCTCCTGAGGATCGCTGCCCTTGGTTGATGCCCTGGTCTCTGCCCTTTCCCCCTGGGCCATTTTCCTGCCGACCTCCCACCTCCTGGGGCAGAAGATGGAGGGGTGGGGGTCCTTCCTCTGGCTCTTCAGCTTCGGAAGCAGACTCAGTAGACTCATCGTCGTAGAAGTCAATCGTGGCTTGCACTGGGAAACTGGCCAGTACTTGCTCCCCGGAACTCCGCAGGTATTCTTGACGCTTTGACATGGGTAAATAGACTCTAATATTTAAGAAACAAATATACCATTAATCAACCTGAACCTCGTCCTAAATTGCTTCTAGAGGGTGCTTTTTCCCAGAAGCAGAGAACTCCCCAGTCTTCCTTTCTGGTCTTTGCCTTCACAACACACAGAATTTAAGTCATCAGAACAGAGAACTCTAGGCACCTATTGGAGGCACCTGGTGATAAACCTACCCCGGTTCAGAAGTGAGTTATAAATCTGACTGAGCCAGTCAATTCAGACAGTCGCAAGGAAGAGGGTGTGCTTCAAGGAAGGTAAAAGGCAACTGAAAACACTGAGTTCCAAGATTAGGAGGCTCACTCTGATCAAATAGCGGACTTGACTCTTCTTGGATAATTGATGTCCCATTTAGGTGAAGCCCCACTCTCCCACCCCACCCTCTGTCCCCTGCAGCATGGGAAATGCTGTAACCCCTTGGGTTCTGGAGGAAATTTACTCTGACATCTCTGAAACCCTGGTCTAGAGAAGCAGCTAATTTTTCCAGATGTTGCCATAAAGAAATTGGAGGCACAAGTCCTTTGCTCTGCCAGAATAAAAAAGATGTGCTTAGGAAAAAAGGAAATAGAAAGAAAAAAGAAAGTGCTTAAGTATGTAAAATTTGGAACCCCTAAATTCCAGGTTTTATAAGATTTTGGATTTGCTCATACATGGCAAGTATTAAGATACCCCCTCCCTGTAATCTTTTTTTTTTTTTTTTTTGAAAGGGAGTCTTACTCTCTCACCCAGGCTGGAGTGCAGTGGCGCAATCTCAGCTCACTGCAACTTCTGCCTTCTGAGTTCAGTGATTCTCCTGTCTCAGCCTCCCAAATAGCTGAGATTACAGGCACCCACCACCATGCCTGGCTAATTTTTGTATTTAGTAGAGACGGAGTTTCACCATGTTGGTCAGGCTGGTCTCGAACTCCTGACCTCAAATGATTCGCCCAGCTCGGCCTCCAACAGTGCTGCGATTATAGGCATGAGCCACCACTCCCGGCCATAATCTCTTATCCTTCACTTACTTTCTTTCTTTTTTGTTTTTGAGAAAGGGTCTCATTCTGCCACCCAGGCTGGAGCACAGTGAGGCAATCATAGCTTACTGCAGCCTTGAAATCCTGGGCTCAAGCATCTCCCACCTGAACCTCCTGAGTAGCTGAGACTACTGGTGCATGCCACCACATCCAGCTAATTCTTTATATTTTTCATAGAGACAGGGTTTCGCCATATTGCCCAGGCTGGTCTGCAACTCCTGAGCTCAAGTGATCCTCCTGCCTTGGCCTCCCAAAGTGTGAGATTACAGGTATGAGCCACCATGCCTCGACCTGCTTTTCATTCATTAACTTATTTGCATTTTTCTCTGTGGTCTTCTGAAGAAGTGAGTTTGTCAATTGATCACTGCTTATTTGCAAAGCTGATTTCAATATCCTTTTTTTTCAGATAGAAGAGAAAAGGGAGAGAGAAAACACCCTTCTATAAATAATGGATGATAGTTTTTTACTTCATAAGATATCCAATAGACCAATGGTTCTCGACCTCGAGGGGACATTTGGCAATGTCTGGAGACATTTTTGGTTGTCACAATGGAGGGTAAGCTACTGACATTTAGTGAGTAGAGGCCAGGAATACTGGTAAACACCCTACGAGGCCCAGGATAGTTCCCACCGTGAAGAATTATCCAGCCCAAAGTGCCAATAGTGCTGAGGTTGAGGAATTCTGCAGCAGACAGAATGTGTATGTTCATCTAAGACAGAAATATGAGCATAGTTCCATTTTTAGCCATGTTTACAATTAGGTATTTATGCTGAAGTATTCACAGGTGAATTCCTAGCATGTCTGAGATTGGCTTTAGAATATGCTGGGGTGGGACACAGTGGCTCATGTCTGTAATCTCAGCACTTTGGGAAGCCAAAGCAAGAGGATCACTTGAGCCCAGGAGTTTGAGACCAGCCTGAGCAACATGGCAAAACCCCATATCTGAAAAAAAAAAAAAAAAAAAATTAGCTGGGTGTGGTGGTTTGTACCTGTAGTCCCAGCTACTCCAGAGGCCGAGATGGAAGCCTGGGGAGGTGGAGGCTGCAGTGAGCTGGGATGACACCACTGCACTCCAGCCTGGGCAACAGAGCAAGACCCTATCTCAAAATAAAATAAATAAATAAAATAAAATATGCTAACAACAACAACAACATAGTTGCGGGTGATAAATATGATGAGCTCAGAACATTGATAACTATTGAGGCCGGTGATGGGTACATGGGGTTCACTGTACTATTCACTCCACTTTTGTGTATGTCTGAAATTTTCTGTAATAAAAATATAAAGTGAAATTGTATATCCAGTGTGCAGTGCATGGCTGCAGCTCATGCTTTGTCAGTCACAGCATTTTCAACTAATCAAAAACAGAATGGCCGGGTGCGGTGGCTGTGATCACAGCCTGTGATCACAGCACTTTGGAAGGCCAAGGCGGGTGGATTACCTGACATCAGGAGTTCAAGACCAGCCTGGCCAACATGGTGAAACCCCACCTCTATTAAAAATACAAAAATTAGCCAGGCATGGCAGCACGCACCTGTAATTCCAGCTACTTGGGAGGCTGAGGCAGGAGAATTGCTTGAATATGGGAGGTGGAGTTGCAGTTGAGCCGAGATCGTGCCACTGCACTCCAGCCTGAGTGACAGAGCAGGACTCCATCTCAAAAAACAAAAACAAAAACAAAAACAAAACAAAAAACAGATGCATGGGTCTTTCCCTAGAGCAAGCGAATCCGAGTGCCTGGGAGAACCACCCAGGCATCTGTATTTTTAAAAGCTCCACTAGTAATTCTATGAGGATTGAAAACCATTGGTGTGGCCAGTAGCAATGGCTCATGCCTGTAATCCCAACGCTTTGGGAGGCCGAGGGAAGAGGATAGCTTGAGCCCAGGAATTCAAGACCAGTCTGGGCAATATAGTGAGACCTTGTCTCTACAAAAAAATTACAAAATTAGCAGAGCATGGTGGCACATACCTGTGGTCCCAGCCACTTAGGAGGGTGAAGTGGGAGGATCATTTAAGCTCAGGAGGCAGGGGTTGCAGTGAGCTGAGATTGTGCCACTGCACTCCAAGCTGGGTGACAGAGTGAGATGTCAGAAGAGAAAAGAAAACTATTGGTGTAAGGCATACAAGGGAAGCTTCCTTCTGACCAGTCTGAGGAGACTGAGCTTTATGCCTACACATGAGTGTCTTTGGGTTGTATTAAGCTTTCCAGTCTTCTTGGGTAACCAGGGCAAAGGCACCTGGTGGAGGCGGCCCAGGCAAGGTTAATTTTGGTAAAGGAGATCGAGCGAGACAGACAGAGAAAAAGAGAGAGACAGAGACAGAGAGACAGGCAGAAATCCTGAACGTGAGCCACTTGTCTAAAATGGACAGAGTGTAGATGGATACAGCAGTGAGAATCCTGGTCACCACCAGGACCATGACACACACTTAGGAGGTGGGAGGAAAAGGCTCTCTCAAAGGTGCACGGCACCCACTGTGCTGGAGACAACCATTTACTCAACACATAGATTTTTTTTTTTGGAGACAGAGTTTCGCTCTTGTCGCCCAGGCTGGAGTACAGTGGCGTGATCTCGGCTCACTGCAACCTCCACCTCCCAGATTCAAGCGATTCTCCTGCCTCAGCCTCCCAAGTAGCCGGGATTACAGGTGCCCACCACCATGCCCAGCTAATTTTTTGTATTTTTAGTAGAGACGGGGGTTTCACCATGTTGGTCAGGCTGGTCTCGAACTCCTGACCTCAGGTGATCCACCTGCCTCAGCCTCCCAAAGTGCTGGGATTACAGGCATGAGCCACCATGTCCACCCTCAACACATAGATTTTGAAGGTCGACTTTGCACTAGACAATATACTAGCTTATATCCTGGTAGAACAATAGAAATATACCTCAATATATAAGTTTTTGTATATGCATATACAATTCACATGCAATTATATAAATATAATACAAGGCACAATTTGTAATGAGAAGTAGAAATAACAGGTATAAAGAAAAGAGAGAGGCCAATTGCACTTTGTAGAAAACACTGAATGAATGAATACATGAATGGATTCCAGAAATCCAACAAAATCTCCTTGGTATAAGGAAACTAAACAATACCAAAGAATACATTGAATTATTTTCCACTTTGTTGACAATCTATGTGGTTGAAGACACTAAAGCATATTAATGCCTATATTAAAAGGAAATTACAGATTACTTATTGTGAAGTCGTATATTACCTTACAGGATGCTGAAACCCAAAGGCTCCCTTTGATCCAAAAGTGTGTTGGTCAGCCCTAGGTTCAAGCTGTAACGACAGACACATACAAACACAGAGACAGTGCAGGAGTGTCGGAAGGTGACATCCTGAGGTTTTAAACCACAGAACGTAAGTCATCTGCAGTTGGTCATATCAATACCAATTTTAGAGAGTTTAGACACCTTATCAGTATTCGATAAGCCCGTGTTCCTGTTACCGCGGCCCAAAATGTCCCAGGCACTGTGAAGAATTCAGATGGAAGGAGTTGGACACAGTGCCTCAGTCCAGCATTTTACAATCTAATGGACAGAGACGCACATGTATGCTAATAACCAGCTACAAAGCATCACACGGTAAGATACCCATGATTCTAAGCATGAAGGAAGGTCAGGAACGGGTTCATGAAGGGCCTCGCAGAGACATCTGTGGCATGTGGGTTTGCAATTCTAAGACTATTTTGGCAGAGGAGAGCATCAAATTCAGAGTGGCAGTACCGGGAGTGGTAGCTCATGCCTGTAATACCAGCATTTTGGGAGATTGAGGCGGGTGGAATCTGAAAATTTAGCTAGGCATGGGCGTGGTGGCGCATGCCTGTAATCCCAGCTACTTGGGAGGCTGAGGCACAAGAATCACTTGAACCTGGGAGGTGGAGGTTACAGTGAGCCAAGATCCTGCCACTGCACTCCAGCCTGGACGACAGAGCGACACTCCGTCTCAAAAAAAAAAAAAAAAAAATCAGAGTGGCAGGAAAACAGGGGGTGCAAGTGGGGAGCCATGAGGAGCCTTGTGTGGAACAAGTGAGACCCTGTGATGGGCAAAGGGCTCAAACGGTGACATATGCCTGGAATACCCACTGTTGAGTTTAGGTTTGACTCTGGATACAGGAACTGGAGATGGATTTTTGAGTCAGGGAGTCCAACTATCAGATCTGTATTTCAAGGAGAGCAGCGGCCGCAGGGAGCTGTGCACAGATGAGGCTGGTATAGAAAGGGCTTGGAGGAACCAGTCTTGAAAATTGATGGTAAAGAGCTTCTGGATGAGGGCAGGATGTGAACTCAGGCTGGGCACGGTGGCTCACTCCTGTAATGGCAGCACTTTGGGAGGCCCAAGTGGGCAGATCACTTGAGGTGAGGAGTTCAAGACCAGCCTGGCCAACACAGTGAAACCCAGTCTCTACTAACAATACCAAAAAATTTAGCTGGGCGTGGTGGCATGTGCCTGTAGTCCCAACTACTCGGGAGGCTGAGGCAGGAGAATCGCCTGAACCCGGGAAGCGGAGGTTGCAGTGAGCTGAGATTGCACCACTGCACTCCAGCCTGGCAACAGAGCGAGACTCCGTCTCAAAAATAATAATAATAATAATAATAATAATAATAATAATAATAAATAAGGAGCGGAAATGGTCTGGGGCAGTGCATCAGAAACCCCAAATCTTCAGATTCCAAAGTTCAATTGGAACCAGATGAGAAACAGGACAAAACTTACTATGGCCTGACAAGGAAGGACTTTGACACCGTGAATCTCCACGCCATTCCATCCTGCACGGACGCTGGGGCGGGTGGCGGAGGGAATGTGCACATGATATATATGAGCAAATTCGCCTGTAAGGAGCCTCTGCAGACATTACATTTTCCCTGCCATTTTTTTTTTTTTTTTTTTTTTTTTTTTTGAGACGGAGTCTTACTCTGCTCACCCAGGCTGGAGTGCAGTGGTGCGATCTCGGCTCACTGAGATTCTCCTGCCTCAGCCTCCCGAGTAGCTGGGACTACAGGCGCATGCCACCACGCCCGGCTAATTTTTTGTATTTTTAGTAGAGATGGGGTTTCACCGTGTTTCGATCTCCTGATCTCATGATCCGCCCGCCTCGGCCTCCCAAAGTGCTGGGATTACAGGCGTGAGACATCGCGCCCGGCCCCAGCCATATTTTCATAATTCACTGTGATGAGCTAAGAAAGTGATGAGGCTCTTTGAAACCAAATCTTTTCCATAAAGTTGTTCACTCTTTGGGGGATACAGGAAGCTGCTTCTTTGTTAAGCTCTGTTCGTGATTATAAAACACTCCTATTTCCTCAGGCCCTACTTTATGGCCACAAGCAATCTTGCCCTGCTAACGGCTATTTGGCGCCCTGCGATCAGACAGGGCCTAACTCGGCAGTGGCAGGTGTCAGAGAAAGAATAACTTCTGTAAATCGTCCAGTTCTAACTGGACCCTGTTAAAACATTCAGCACACCTTTATCCACTTTAAAAACCTTACCCCACAAACATATGCAGCTTTAAAAGTTTTATGCCAGGCAGGGCGCAGTGGCTCACGCCCGTAATTACCAGCACTGTGGGAGGCGGAGGCAGGAGCATCACGATCTGAGGTCAGGAGTTCGAGACCAGCCTGGCCAACATAGTGAAACCCCCGTCCCTACTACAAATACAAAAATTAGCCGGGCGTGGTGGCGCACGCTTGTAATCCCAGCTACTTGGAGGCTGAGGCAGGCGAATCGCTTGAACCTGGGAGGCAGAGGCTGCAGTGAGCTGAGATTGCAGTGAGCTGAGACTGCACCATTGCACTCCAGCCTGGGCGACAAGAGCGAAACTCCGCCTCAAAAAAAAAAAATGCCATAAATATCCTGATTGTTTTCCAAAAGGATCCTTTGTCTGCTGAGGGAAATGTCTAAATATTCACATTTTATAATGAAACACGAGAACAGAAATGTGCACAACGCAAGCACTGCGTTTAACATATGTGCGAGTGTGTTTTCCTATGAGCCTGAGGACTGACAGGTGCAGAGAGGCTTTCAGTGGGGGTCAGCCTTCTCCTCCCCGTTCGAGTCTCTGACCGGGCTAGGGCTAAGAAGTGGGAGCCTGGCAGATAGGGCAGGCCCAGAAGAACAAACAGTCCCTGATGTTTTCCAGGAAACTGCCTCCCTGACAGTGCCCGCAAGTGGCCAGGAGGGAAACGCAACAGAGATCAAGAAAGGTGCAGGTAGGGGAGGGAGATAGCTCCCTAAGTGTTGTAGGGGCATGAAGTGGGTGAGGGTGACCGTGCTGCTCAGAGTACAGGGCCTTGAGGCCTTCCCTCTGCTTGAGGGTTTTTTGGGTTTTATTTTTGTTTTTGAGACAGGGTCTCATTCTGTCTCCCACGCTGGAATGCAGTGTCCCGATCTCAGCTCACTGCAACCTCTGCCTCCCAGGTTCAAGCGATCCTCCTGCTTCAGCATCCCGAGTAGCTAGGATTACAGGCGCACACCACCACTGCCTGGCTAACTTTTGTATTTTTAGTAGAGACAGGGTTTCACCATGTTCGTGAGGTCAGTCTCGAACTCCTGACCTCAGATGATCCGACCGCCTCGGCCTCCCAAAGTGCTGAGATTACAGGGTGAGCCACGCGCCCGGCCTACTTGAGGTTTTATTCTAGTTTTGCTTTGCTTGCCGGGAGCCCTGGTACAGGTCACCAGGCGTTAGTCCTCTTCACCGCCACTCCAGCCAATGGCATTTTTGAGAAATACAGAAGAGGGCTTGGGAGCTGGGGAATTGTCCTGCTTTGTCGGGCGAGGGCGCTGTTGAGCAAGAAGCGTTCCTTCCCTGCGCTGGGCAGCTCTCGTCGGTGGACTGCAGGGAACCCAGGGCGGTGCACAGTACCAGAGCACAGACTGGCGCTGGTCGCTCTGCGCAACCAGCTGGGCTCTGCAAAGAGCGGGCTCCGGGCTAGGGGTGAGGATTGGCGGGCTCTACAGCCCCCAGGGAACAACCACTCTTCCCACACCCACATCCGTGGACAGAACTACTTCAGCGTGACAGGCTACCTGCTGATCAGCGAGAAAGTTAACGTTTAACATTTCTCTGCAAGTAAATTTTTCTCACAAACGGCCTTATCAAAACAGAAAACAAAACCCAAAACCATCTGTCTTACTTAGGGAGCGTGCTATCGTATTTTTATTCCTGCAAGAAACTGATAGGCTCCACATCCATTTCATTTAAAAGAAAACTGGATAATTGTAAACATCTATATTCTCACACAAGCACCTTTAAATTTTATGTTTAAGAACTAAGTTTGAATGCAAAAGAAGGGATTTTACATTATTTAGATATATGTATAAATAATCGGGGACTAAAAATCATCTCTTGTTAATTGATTTATCTTTTATCTGCTTCCTTCTTTGAAGTAAATTAAAATTCCCAATATTCAGATTAATTTAATAAAGTCGTGTAAATATCAAAATACGGTGAAGGTCTGTTTTCCCACAATCAAGTTTTCTTACCATATTACAAATAACTGCACGTTAGTCCATATAACACGTGTTACGTAAATTCAATACATGGTCTTTCCCAGCCTAATTCTTCAGTGTTTTAAGAGTCATCAAAAAAAAAAAAATTAAGTAAAAGTCATCAATTTATATTTTAAAATGTAACAAAGGAAAGGTAAATTCTATGAAAGCAAGTCATTACATCAGTAAGTATAAAGCAACTGAGTTACCAATGCAGAGTAACAAAAGAATGGTGGAGGTCATTAATCTTGCCCACAAAGCCCTCTGCTTGAGTGTATTTGCTCAGACAACATGAGATACCCCAGGAGTGCTTGACGGGGCTGAAAGTGCTTCAGAAAGGGCCAGACGCGGGGTGGGGGCTTTTAACGGCAACTCTGGGCACCTCAGATGGGGCTCAGTCCTATTTGCTCTGTGGCACCGGCCCAACGCTAATGGTGCTCTAAGCTTTTCTCCAAGGCAAGCGATAGTGGCAGCCTCTCCCCTCCCCTCCCGACCTGTTGCTTTGCAGAAGAAACCGCAACAGGGAGGACATTCCTTATAATTCCCATGAAACGACTACGGTTTTTTTTTTTTTTTTTTTTTTTTGAGATGAGTCTTGCTCTGTCGCCCACACTGGAGTGCAGTGGCATGATCTCGGCTCCCTGCAACCTCCGCCTCCCGGGTTCAAGCGATTCTCCTGCCTCGGCCTCCTAAGTAGCTGGGATTACAGGCGCCTGCCACCATGCCCAGCTAATTTTTATATTTTTAGTAGAGACGGGGTTTCGCCATCTTGGCCAGGCTGGTCACGAACTCCTGACTTCAGGTGATCCACCCGTCTCGGCCTCCCAAAGTGCTGAGATTACAGGCCCGAGCCACCGCGCCCAGCCTACGATTATGCTTTTATAGTGGGTATGCTTTTTTAGGAAGGAGAAGCCACCAGGAGCCCAATCTATAATGCGAGTCAGGTCTGATTAACACCTTACTCATTCAGGTTCCAACTCCCAGACCCCGAGGCGCTCCTGGGTTAGACGCCCAAGGGACGGCCCTGCGCAGAAGGCCATTCACGGTCCCTGTATTTTAAAAGACGATGCCACTTTCTGGCTGGAAGGGTTACCTACAACGCCCGCACTGAACCTTACCGGCCTTCCAGTTCTGGTCAGCTCAGCATCTCCAGGTGTCTGGATCCAAGGTCGCCACGGCGCGGGGCTGGAACGGCAAGCGCCAGGAGAGAGTGAACCCTGGGCACTTCTGCTGCCTTCAAACTATGCCATGAGAGCTATTCTTAGTTCCAGTGTCTGCCTGAAAAAGAGGCACCGGACCCCCCAGGAACTTTCCCTGGAGTTCTCAGGGCTGTGGATAAATTACTGTCATTTGTGTTTTTTCTCTCCTGCTACGTCCCCAGTTCTCTGTCTCCAGTTAAGCTTTGAGAAGGGAGGTCCCGAATCTCACACAATTATCAGGGAACCCATTAGTTGAGAGATTTCTCTCCCTGCAAATCCTGGCTGAATTGTTCAATTCGGGGTTCCCCAACTATAGCTGTCTACTTTGTCCCCGGTTAATTTCAATCACACCACCTTGGTCACGGAAGGAGATTGATTCTACAGAGATGATTTTACAGAGTTGTAGGATGAAAAACAAACAAACAAAAAAAGGGGGCTGGGCGCGGTGGCTCACACCTGTAATCCCAGCACTTTGGGAGGCTGAGGTTACTGGATCACTCGAGGTCAGGAGTTCGAGACCAGCCTGGCCAACATGGCGAAACCCAGTCTCTACTAAAAATACAAAAATTAGCCGGGCGTGGTGGCAGGCGCGTGTAATCCCTGCTACTCAGGAGGCTGAGGCAGGAAAATCGCTTGAACCCGGGAGGCGGAGGTTCCCGTGAGCCGAGATCACGCCATTGCACTCCAGCCTGGGCGACACAGTGAGACCCTGTCTCAAAAAAAAAAAAAAAAAAAAAAAAAAGAGGGAATCTTTCTCCTGCCTGGCTACCTGGCCCATCCGGCCTACCCGGTCCCTTCCCTACCTCCCTGGCTAATTTGATTTCCTACAACGTTACTGTCTTTAAAAGGGTTGGTGCCCAGGGACAGCGAACGCCGAGCCCCCAATCCAGGGACAACAGAAACGGCTACCGAGAAAGTAGCAAGGTGAGAGATTGCCTTTGCAAGGCTGGCTTAGGAGCCCGAGACTGCAGTGTCCCCGGCTGGCTAACTGAGATCTCCTCTACACGGAAGCGTCGGCCCCTTTCCTGGCCAGCTACATCCTGGGCCTCCGCACTTCAGAGCTGTGCGTTGGAACCGGAGAACTGAGCGCCCCTCCCGGGAACCCGGCTGCCGGCTCAGGAGCTTGCTTGGCGTCGCCGTCGAGCTCCGGAGCTCCGCTGGGGATCGGGGGTTCAGCAGCGCCCCAGCCTCCCGCTCGCTGCGCTCCCCGCACCGCCACCGCGCACGCCTCTCAGCGCGTCCACCGGGGCGCGGGGCCACCCTCACCTCTCCGGCCCGCGCGGTGGCGGAGGCCTCCAGGGAGCGTCCCCGGGGCAGTGACAGCCGCGCCCCCGCGCCTTCCGGGCTCCGGCCGCCGCTTCGGGCTCCATGGTGCCGGCGGAGCCCGCGCCCCTTGCTGCGGCGCCGGCCTACGAGCGCGCCTAGATCCACTCGGGCTAACGCGCTCACCTACCCGCGCGCCAGGTTTAAAAACGGGGGCGGGGCGGCGCGGGCAAGCGCTGGGAGGGGGCAGGACCCGAGGAGCTCCGTGAGGGGTGCGGAGGGGGCCGCAGGGTACGAAGGAAAAGCCCGGGTCGGAGGAGCGGAGGGGACCAGAGAAGTTCCGGGAGGGGACCAGGGAGCCGGGGATGGGGAGGAGACGAGAAAAGCTCAAGGAGGTGGCGCCGGGTGTCAAGGAGGGGGGTCCGGCAGGCCCGGGCAAGGGTGGGGACGGGACAAAGAAAAGTCGGGGAGGGGGCACCAGAGAAGGGGTGACCAGAGGATGGAGGTACCAGGGATTGGGGCCACGAGCTCGGGCTGGAGACAGCGGGAAGTGACCCAGGAACCCGGGAGAGGAAAGCGAGGCCCGCGGGCTAGGGGCGTTTCCGTCGGGCGCACTCCCTCGGGGACTGGGGGGACCTGCGCTCACCTGCTGGGCTTCCCCTGCCGGATGTGGGATGTGAGGAGTCCCGGCTTCTCCGTCCCTCTGTGGTCCCCGCGGCCTCGGGCTTTGGTCCTGTGCGAGCATCGGATTCCCTGGGTTTCCGGAGAATCTCGCTTCCACCGCCTTAGAGCGGCAGCGGGTCTTCGGGGACATCTACCGAATCCTCGGGTCCGCGTGCACCGGCCTTGCCTTCGGTGCTGGACAGTGGGCTCCCGGACGCCCCGACGCCAGGGCTCGAACCCGTGGCGAAGCGGGTGGGGTGGGGCGCGGCGACCCTTCCAGGAGACAGAAGGCCAGGAATGGAACCGAGCAAGAGGGGTGCTACGAGCGCACCCTTCCCACCGATGGCGGCCTTGGAAAGAATGCGAATTTTTAATAAAGCCTGGAGCGGCGGGCTTCTCCTTCGGTTAGCCCCAGCCAGGCTTAGAAAGGGCCTCCCGACCAGCAGAAGCGACCTTGCCCGACCCTGGGGACACTTCCCCGGGCGTCGCTGGAGCGCCGCTGCCACCATCACCAGCGCACGGCCAGGGTGGGAGAAAGCGGTTTCACACGTAGAGCACTGCGACAGAACACCGAAGGCGCTGGAGGGCCTTCAACTACCCCGGGCTCCTCAGGGGTAGTTACTTTATATAATTTAAGTTACTGTGATGGATGTTAAAAAATCGAAGAACTAGGCCAGGCGCGGTGGTTCTCACCTGTAATCCCAGCACTTTGGGAGACCGAGGCAGGTGGATGGATCACTTGAAGTCAGGAGTTCGAGATCAGTCTGGCCAATATGGTGAAACCCGTCTCTACTAAAAATAAAAAAATTAGCCGGGCGTGGTGGCAGGCTCCTGTAATCCCAGCTACTTGGGAGGCTGAGGCAGGAGAATGGCTTGAATCTGGGAGGCGGAGGTTGCAGTGAGCCGAGAGTGTGCCACTGCACTCCAGCGTGGGAGACAGAGAGAGATTCCCTTTCCAAAAAAAAAAAAAAAAATCGAAGAACTTCCGCAAGGCGCGGTGGTTCATGCCTGTAATCCCAGCACTTTGGGAGGCCCAGGCGGGTGGATCACTTGAGGTCGGGAGTTTGAGACCAGCCTGGCCAACATGATGAAACCCCGTATCCACTAAGAAAAATACAAAAAAATAGCCGGGTGTGGTGGCGGGTGCCTGTAATCCCAGCTACTTGGGAGGCTGAGGCAGGAGAATCGCTTGAACTCGGGAGGCAGAAGTTGCAGTGAGCCGAGATCGCGCCAGTGCACTCTAGCCTGGGCAACAAGAGCCAGACTCTGTCTCAAAAAAAAAAAAAAAAAAAAAATCGAAGAACTTCAGACATTAAAGTGTTTTCACATTTTTTTAATTAAGATTTTGAGCAACAATAATTAAATCTAAATAAAGGCAAACATTTAAGAGGGGGGAATTAATGGGAGGAGGCTAGAAGGAGGCAAAGAACATTAGTGGGCCATATTGCAACAATAAGGTACCATATTTAATCTAAATGCAGAATGGGGTTTTACAAGAACACTGGGCAGGGCGCGGTGGCTCAATCCTGTAATCTGCACACTTTGGGAAGCAGAGGCAGGCAGATCACTTGAGGTCAAGAGTTCCAGACCAGCCTGGCCGGAGTGGTGAAACCCCGTCTCTACAAAAATACAAAAATTAACCAGGCGTGGTGGAGTGGGCCTGTGGTCCCAGCTACTCAGGAGGCTGAGGTGGGAGGATTACCTGAGCTCGAGGAAGTTGAGGCTGCAGTAAGACATGATCACACCACTGCAGCCCAGCCTGGGCCACAGAGTGAGACGCTGTTATTTTTCTCAAATATATATATATATAATTTTTTAAAAAAAGAAAAGAAAATGAAAGAACACTGGGCAACTGGGTGCAGAAGGGGTGTTTTCGTTGTGTTTTTTGTTTGTTTGTTTTTTGAGACAGAGTCTTGCCCTGTTGCCCAGGTTGGAGTGCAGTGGCATGATCACGGCTCACTGCAGCCTCAACCTTCCAGGCTCAAATGATCCTCCCACCTCAGCCTCCCAAGTAGCTAGGACTACAGGTGTACACCACCACGCCTGGCTAGGTGTGGATGTTTTTAAATGAGTGTCTTCTAGGTAGCTGGTGGCAATGCAATGAAAAAGTTTGATAAGGTGTATTGTGTGCCATAAAAATGTTCACCCAGGCCGGGTGTGGTGACACATGTTTGTGGTCCCAGCTACCCAGGAGGCTGAGGTGGGAGGACTGTTTGAACCCAGGAGTTGCAGGCTGCAGTGAGCCATGATCATGCCACTGCACTCCATGTTGGGCCACAGAGCAAGACCCTAAGACCCTGTCTCAAAAAAAGCACAACAAAAATGAAAGTTCACCTTTTGTCCCAGTAATTCTACTTGTGTCTATACTGTAGATGTATTCTGAAATGGGAATGAAGATGTATTTAATCAGAGAGCGCTGCTTACACTGTTGAAAAACTATGTCCAAAAATATGGCAATGATTAAACAAATGACGGTAGAATAGTATGCAGTTAATAAAAATATGTTTACAGAGTTTTGGACAGCATAGGAAAAACATGACCATGTGGAAAGAACAAAACTGTATGCATAGGATGTGAACTATATATTCAAAGGCTACAAATAAAACAGAAGTGCCTGCTGAGTGCTGACATTACCAAAGATTTGGAGGGGCTTTAAAACTTGTTTTCTAAATTTTCAACAATGAATATATTACTTTTTATTGTGGCAAAAGGTACATAACATAAAATTTACCATTTTAACCATTTTCAAATGTACAATTCAGTGGCAATAAATCCACTCACATTGTTGTGCAACCGGCCCCCCATCTCCAGAACTTTTTCATCATCCCAAACCAAACTCTGTACCCGTGAAACAGTAACTCCTCATTCCCCACCCCCTGCCATTGGTAACCACCATTCCGCTTTCTGTATCTATGCATTTGACCATTCCAGGCACCTCACAGAGGTAGAATCATTTGGTCTTTTCTGGAGCATACATTAATTTATAATCCTCCCTCTAACCCTGCAAATCAGGCATTATCCTCAGTTTACAGATTAAGAAACTGGACTTCCCAGAGGTTAAGTAACTGGTACAGAGAAGCAGGACTCGAGTTCCTGTCAGATACCTGGGCTGTAGAAAGTGAATGCCACGGCCAGGCGCGGTGGCTCACCCCTGTAATCCCAGCAGTTTGGAAGGCCAAGGCGGGTGGGTCATGAGGTCAGGAGTTCAAGACCAGCCTGGCCAACACAGTGAAACCCCGTCTCTAATAAAAATACAAAAATTACCCGGGAGTAGTGGCACACGCCTGTAGTCCCACCTACTCGGAGGGCTGAGGCAGGAGGATCGCTTGAACCCGGAAGGCAGAGGTTGCAGTGAGCTGAGACCGCACCATTGCCCTCTAGCCTGGACTGCACAATGAGACTCTGTCTCAAAAAAAAAAAAAAAAGAAAAGAAAAGAAAAAAAAGAAAGTGAGCGCCACTAAAAATAAATTTGAAGGGCTGGGCATGGTAGCTCACGTCTGGAATCCCAGCACTTTGCGAGGCCGAGGCAGGTGGATCACATTAGGTCAGGAGTTTGAGACCAGCCAGGCCAACATGGTGAAACCCTGTCAGTACTTAAAAAAAAAAAAATACAAAAAATTAGCCAGGCGTGGTGGTGTGCACCTGTAATCCTAGCTACTCCGGAGGCTGAGGCAGGAGAATCGCTCGAACCCGGGAGGTGGAAGTTGCAGTAAGCCAAGATTGCATCACTATACACCAGCCCAAATGACAGAGTGAGACTCTGTCTCAAAAAATAAATATAAAATAAAATAAAAATAAATTTAAAGAGCAAAAAGACCAAACTCAGCACCTGCAGGCAGTAGACAGTCTATTTTCTCTCTCTTTTTTTTTTCCTTCGGCCAAGTACAATATAAGACCACCATGGCCAAAGCTGGGACAATTTGAGCAACAAAATAAAGTAATATTTGTTTATAACTCGAGGTATAAAATAAATACTCTTGAGCTTATATTGATATCAGTAAATATTGAATAATTGAAAATATGGGGAGAATAGACAAATTTCCTTAGTAGAAGAATTCCAAATAATTTATGTGGATAATCTGTCCTCGGGGAGGTAGAATGTAGCTACATAAACCATAATTAAAATCCATAATTATGCGTGTTTTTGTTGAAAATGTGTTTAATGAAAAATAAATTTACTGGTAATGTAAAATGAGAGTTTTTTGTTTGTTTGTTTTTTAGTTTTTCTTTTGCAGGTGCAGGAATTAAAATACAGTGAACAAAATAAATTGCCATTGAGGTAGTTGGGAATTCAAAGACCTTTTGTGTTACCAAGTATTTTAAACTATTTCTTAAACTTTGTTTGAGTCCATGGGAGGTCTTTATAATAGAGGAAGTAATTTGGGGAAGGGGTAGAAATCTTAAGAAACTTAATTAGGCCCCTGGCTTATAAACTGGGAAAAATTGCTGAACTTCAAGTGTGTGAAACCCTCTCTGCCCGGGAGTTAAATAAAATGGAGATTCTATTTCTTCTCCTGCTGTCTTTAATTAAAAATTCTTTTTCATATGCTGACTCTCCACTGTTGCCTGGAAACAAAAAGTAAAGATGTCAGCCCTGAAGGTTTCCGGCCTGCCTAGGAAGAGGATCCCAAAACTCAGAACATCTAAGAGGTCAGAATATTTTTACATAAACAGTGCTGAAGACAAGCAGGGAAATGATAATTTCCTTTTCTTCTGTTTAGTTAGACCGTATTTCCTGTTATCTGCTCCTAAGTGTTCTGCAACTCTGAAAGCTGTTTTAGAAGCTACAAGAGGTTGTTACTGCTTTTGATGTTGTTATTTTCTAAAATATTTAAGACCAAAAAAGGATATTTGTATATTTGTTCCATGGGAATAAGAGATATATTTGTTTGGGGTGTTTTTTTTTTAAGTTTTTTGTTTGTTTGTTTTGTTTTGTTTGAGATGGAGTGTCATTCTGTCACACCGGCTGGAGTGCAGTGGCGCAATCTCGGCTCATGGCAACCTCTGCCTCCCGGGTTCAAGCAATTCTCATGCCTCAGCCTCCTGAGTAGCTGGGATTACAGGGGTGTGCCACCACACCCAGCTAATTTTTGTATTTTTAGTAGAAACGGGGTCTCATCATGTTGTTTAGACTGGTCTCAAACTCCTGACCTCAAGAGATCTGCCCGCCTCGGCCTCCCAAAATGCTGGGACTACAGGTGTGAACCACCATGTCCAGCCAAAAGTTATTTATTTTTATTTTTTACAATTGTGGTAAAATACACGTAACATGGAATCTAGCATCTTTACCATTTGAGGTGCACAGTTTAGCAGCATTAGGTACACTCATGCTGCTGTGCTCCCATCACCACCATCTACCCAGAGAACTCTTCATCTTGCAAAGCTGAAACTCTTCAACAGTAACTTCCCACTTCCCCCTTTGCCAGGCCCTGGCAGCCACCATTCTTTCTGTCCTCGTGAGTTTGAGAATTATAGGTACCTCATATAAGTGGAATCTGTGAGTATTTGCCTTTCTTGGCGGATTTATTGCACTCAGCATAATACCCATAAGGTTCATCCATATTGTAGTATAGCTTAGAATTTCTTTCCTTTTTCAGGCTGAGTAATATTCCCTTGTGTGCAGAGACCACATTTTGTTTATCCATTCATCCTCAGTAGATGGACACTTGAGTTGCTTCCACCTTCTGGCTGTTGTGAATAATGCACTATGAACACCATTCCTTCAAGCACCTGCTGTCAGTTCTTTTGGATATATTCTCAGAAATAGAATTGTTAGGTGAAATATACCTGTTTTTGAATCCTTATGTTAAGGCCCACGTTAGCTTTCGGGAAAAAAAAAAGGCCAGGCGCGGTGGCTCACGCCTGTAATTCCAGCACTTTGGGAGGCTGAGGCAGGAGGATCACCTAAGGTCGGGAGTTTGAGACCAGCCTGACCAACATGGAGAAACCCTGTCTCTACTAAAAATACAAAATTAGCCAGGCATGGTGGCGCATACCTGTAATCTCAGCTACTTGGGAGGCTGAGGCAGGAGAATCGCTTGAACCCGGGAGGCGGAGGTTGCGGTGAGCCAAGATCACGCCATTGCACTCTAGCCTGGGCAACAAGAGCAAGATTCCGTCTCAAGAAAAAGAAAAAAGAAAATAAAAGAAAAAAGTTAATTAGCTGGGCATGGTGGTGCACGCCTGTAATCCCAGCTACTTGGGAGGCTGAGGCAGGAGAATCATTTGAACCCGGGAGACGGAGGCTCTGATGAGCCAAGATTGCACCATTGCACTCTAACCTGGGCAACAAGAGTAAAACTCAAACTCAAAAAGAAAAAAAAAAAAGAAGAAGAAGAAGAAGCGTTTCTGCATGACTGCAGACATCCCTAGCTTAACCATGCCATGACTGATGTCTGGAAGCTGGAACCATCTATAGCCCTGGCTTTACCTTCCCTACCCCACTCCCCACAGACCCCCTTCCCTCTGGACTGTTTCTGGCCTGGGAGCCTCCCAGGCACATTCATGTCTCAGGGCCTCTGCCTGCAACACTGTCCTTCCAGACGTCTGCATGGCCTGCCACCTCACCTCCTTCAGGTCTGACTCCGATCTCCTCCGGGGATGACGCCTTCTCTGGACACCTGTTTAAAGCCTCTCTCTCCTTCACACTCACAAAGACACGTGTACCGTGGCATTCCCTAGCCTCCTTCCCTGCTTCAGTTTTCTCCATTACATTTAACATAACCATATTTTTCATATATCTATCACCTTAACTCATTTAACCTACTATTTCTTTTAAGACAGGGTCTCGCTCTGTCACCCAGGCTGGAATGCAGTGGTGCAATCAGGGCTCACTGCAGCCTCAACCTCCTGGGCTCAAGCGATCCTCCTGCCTCAGCCTCCCGAGCAACTGGGACTACAGGTGTACACCACCACACCTGGCTAATTTTTGAATTTTTTTGTAGAGAAGTGGTTTTGCCACATTACCCAGGCTGGCCTGGAATTCCTAAGCTTTAGCAGTTCACCCACCTAAGCCTCCCAAAGTGCTGGGAGCACAGGCGTGAGCCACTGTGCCTGTCCTACTGTCTCTTACCTATTTGTTTTACTTGTTGTCTGCCTTTCCTAGGAGTGTGTCAGTTCCATGAGGGCAGGGGTTTCCTCTGTTTCAGTCACTGCTCAGCTAGCTTCAGAAGAAAATGAAGAAGTACTATGGAGTCGTCCAATTTAATTATGTACTTTGAGCTAACACCCACCATGAGAAAACACGGAAAGCAGAAAGTTTTATCCACAGGTGGCACGTGGTAGGTAGCAGAATCTCACCTCAGGCTGTCCCTGTAGTACACAGGATGTGGCCCTCCTACAGTACATTAAGCAGTGGCCCCCAAAAATCTATGTCTAAGCCCTGCCCCCCAGAACCTGTGAATGTGACCTTACTTGGAAAAAGAGGCTTGGCAGATGCAATTAAATTAGAGACTCCTAGCCAGGCATGTTGGTACACAACTGTAGTCCCAGCTACTCGGGAGGCTGAGGTGGAAGGATCACTTGAGCCCAGGGGTTGGAGGCTGCAGTAAGCTATGATCGCACCACTGCACTCTAGCTTGGGAGATAAAGCAAGACCCTGTCTCTAAAATAACAACAATAAGAAGCAGAAGGAGGAGAAGGAAGAGGAGGAGGAGAAGGAGGAGAAGGAGGTGGTAGCAGGGATCTTGAGAGGAGATCATTCTGGATTTAGGGTGTACTATGGATTGGATATTTGTCCTCTCCCAAACTGTTGTTGAAATTTAATTTTCAATGTAATGGTATTGGGAGGTGGGGCCTTTAACAGGTGATTAGGCCATGAGAGTTCTGCCCTCATGGATGGGTTTAATGCCCTTAAAAAAAAGGCTGTCAGGAGTGGGTTCTCACTCTTATACCCTTTTGCTTTGTAAGGAACAGCGTTCCTCCCCGTATTCAAGGCACCATCTTGGAAGCAGAGACCAGGCCCTCACCAGACACCAATCCTACCAGTGCCTTGACCTTGGGCTTCCTAGCCTCTAGAATTGTATGAAATCCATTTCCTTTTTTTTTTTTTTTATCATTACCTAGTCTCTGGCATTGTATTACAGCAGCACAAAACAGACTAACACAGGGTGGAACCTAAATCCAATGACAGGCGTCCTCATAAGAAAAAGGCGGAAGGAGATTGGAAACACAGAGACACACGGAGAAGACAGCCATGAGAAGACAGACACAGAGACTGGAGTGAAGCCTCTAGGAGCCAAGGAACACAAGGTCTGCTGGCAACATCAGATGCAAGGAGAGGGAGAGGGGCATGGGACTGATTCTCCCCGAGAGCCTCTTCAAGGAAACAACGCTGCAGGCACCTGGGTTTCAGACTTCAGGCCCCAGAGCTGTGAGACAAGACACTGCTGTTGTTGTAAACCGCCCAGTGTGTGGTCATTTTTTTTTGAGCCGTAGTTTCACTCTGTTGCCCAGACTGGTGTGCAGTGCTGTGGTCTCAGCTCACTGCAACCTCCATCTCCTGGTTCAAGCTATTCTCCTGCCTCAGCCTCCTGAGTAGCTGGGACTACAGGTGCGCACCACCACACCTGGCTATTTTTGTCTTTTCAGTAGAGACGGGGTTTCACCATGTTGCACAGGCTGGTCTCAAACTCCTGGCCTCAAGTGATCCATCCACCTCGGCCTCCCAAAGTGCTGGGATTACAGGTGTGAGCCACCGCGCCTGGCCTGGTCCCTGAGTTTGTCAATGTAATGAGATTCACTCTTCTAGTTGTTTCTATAGGAAAACAGAAGAAACTCCTATTCGTTACATATTGCCTGGGCACATACAGTGCCATGTGGGAAAAAAAAATGGACAAAGCAAATCAGGAAAGCCAGACCTACAGATCTCAGAGCTAGAAGAGAACTTCAGTCTCATTCCTGGTTCATCTTTTCATTTTGCAGACAAGATAATGGAAGCTGAGGCGGAGACATGTCCACTGCATTAATAATAGCTACTGTAGTAACTATAACTTTAACATTTATTGAGCATGTACTGTGTGCCAGGACTGTGGTTTGTGGATTTTAATTTACTCAGTCCTGACAATAAGCATGTAAGAGAGAAAGTAGGTTATCCATATTTTGAGGAGAGGAAACCAAGTCATAGAGAAGCTCAATCATTACTTCAAAGTCACCCCGAAGATCAGGAGTGTGATGTGAAGCCAGCCAGGCTTGCTGCAGAGTCTGGGACTTAGCAGGTGTGCTCCACAGAAGACCAGACTCGTTCTGTGAGCTGTCAGGATTGATCTCCCATCACAGGTACACTGGCTTTCTGGGGGAAAGACATGAAAGATAAATTGTAGATGGCCAACCAACCTATTAATAAGCTGAGCAGCAGAGGCCATGGAGAAGATCACAAACACATGGTTAAAAAGTCATCCAGGCTGGGTGCGGTGGCTCACGCCTGTAATCCCAGCACTTTGGGAGGCTGAGGTGGGTGGATCATGAGGTCAGGAGATTGACAACATCCTGGCCAACATGGTGAAACCCTGTCTCTACTAAAAATATAAAAATTAGCCAGGCGTGGTGGTGCACACCTGTAATCCCAGCTACTCAGGAGGCTGAGGCAGAATTGCTTGAACCCGGGAGGCAGAGGTTGCAGTGAGCCAAGATTGCACCACTGCACTACTCCAGCCTGACAGAGCGAGACTCCATCTCAAAAAAACAAAACAAAACAAAACAAAAAAACAGTCATCTTCTGTCATCTCTCAATTCATAGAGAATGGGCTGCGAGCAAGATGTGGAACTCATTTTTTTCTTTTTCTCTCTTTTTTTTTTTTTTTTGAGACAGGGTCTCGCTCTGTCACCCAGGCTAGAGTGCAGTGGTGTCATCATGGCTTACTGCAGCCTCGACCTCCTTGGCTCGAGAGATCCTCCCACCTCAGCCTCCCAAGTAGTTGAGACTACAGGTATGTACCACCATGCCTACTTTTTAAATTTTCTGTAGAGATGGAGTCTCACTATAATGCCTGAGTTGGTCTCAAACTCCCGGACTCAATTGATCCTCCCGCCTCAGCTTCCCAAAGTCCTGGGATTACAGGCATGAGCCACCATGCTCCCGGCCTGGAACTGAAAGACCAATCCTGAATGAAAACTAGTCAGGCTGTGGGTCACACTGAAACTTAGCTTCTGTTCTGATGGGTTGGAATTCAGACCCATCCAGTTTCCTCTGCCTCTCTGGGTTCTTATAGTGTACCTATAGAAAACACTATCTATATTTTGCTCTGCGGCTACAGAAGCATGAAGAATGTGAGGAAGTAAAAGCATTGGTATCCTGGGCATCTATGGCTCCTAGAAATGTACAGGAATTCTTTTCTAACGTTTGAAATAAAGATGAGTAAATATGCCTAGCCCACTGCCCATTTTCTGTGAGTAAATAACTTTGTTCACTTCTAGCCATGGCCTATTTCACCCTTGGCTGTGTACTGATAGAACAATGTCCAGTACATAATAGACAATAAGTGCATTTTATATTCTTTATTTTATTTTATCTTTTTTATGTATTTTATTTTATTTTTCAAGACAGAGTCTTGCTCTGTCGCCCAGACTGGAGTGCAGTGGCGTGATTTCTGCTCACTGCAACCTCCGCCTCCCGGGTTCAAGCGATTCTCATGCCTCAACCTCCTGAGTAGCTGGGATTACATGTGTGCATCACCACACTGGCTAATTTTTGTAATTTTAGTAGAGACGGGGTTTTACCGTATTGCCCAGGCTGGTCTCAAACTCCTGCTCTCAAGAGATCCACCCGCCGTGGCCCCCAAAGTGCTGGGATTACAGACGTGAGCCACTCCACCCGGCCGAAATACAGTTATATTATTTTCTTATCAGCCTCCCTGCCTTTTACACAAAAGGGAGGTTACTGTATTCCAGATATTTCTATTTCTCTATTAGTATACAAACAGGTCCCTTACTCTTTTTCTTTCTTGCTTCCTCCCAATTTTTTTTTTTTCGAACAATGTTTGAGTTTCATTCACACGAAACACGGAAGCCATCTGTGAGGCTCTGTCCCAGAGAGAAGGGGCCTTCCCTCATGCCTGTTACTCGAATGTGGATAAACACAAGCACAAATCAAATAAAATGCAAATTACTCTGTGTCTTTTCCTAGTCAATACAGCAACGGTCCTCAGCGGTACTGTACCATTCTGGAAAAATATGCTGCCTTCCCATCTCCTAAGGCAGCAGCAAATTCTTCCTGTCGCCTCCTATTGGCCAAGGCAGCCAAAGATTTAAAAGTCTCTGGTTCGTAGATGGCCAGATTCGCTGGGACTTTCTTGTGGCGCTTCACCTGGCACTTAATTAAATTGCCAGTGAACGCTGGGTACTTCGGGCCGTGTTCCTGGGTAGCAGCTGTAATTCGATTAATCCAGAGGGTCCTCATGGTCCTCTTCTTCAGGTTTCCGGCTTTGGTGCATTTCACAAAGGCTCCAGTCCCGGCTCTGACCGCCAACCTGTAGCAGCAATTTCCCCCGCACCCCGCTCCCCCGCCGGAAGTGCTTGGCGTGCTTCAGCACCTCCCGAATCCGCCAGTAGCGGTAGGTGACGCGATTTCGCAGCGGTGAAGAAGACCAAGACGCCCGCGGGCCAGCGTCCTGGATCCTCAACAACACACGCGCTGCGCTGCCGCCGTCTTGCTGGGCGTCGCTTCCTCCCAGTTTTTAAGAGCTGCACGGTTTTTTTGTTGGTTGGTTTGTTTCTGAGACGGAGTCTCGCTCTGTCGCCCAGGCTGGAGTGCAGTGGCGCTATCTCAGCTCACTGCAACCTCCGCTTCCCGGGTTCAAGCGATTCTCCTGCCTCAGCCTCCCACGTAGCTGGGATTACAGGCGCGCGCCACCAGCCTGGCCAGTTTTTTGTATTTTTAGTAGAGATGGGGGTTTCACCGTGTTGATCAGACTGGTCTCGAACCCCCGACCTCGTGATCCACCCACCTCGGCCTCCCAAAGTGCTGGGATTACAGGCATGAGCCACCATGCCCGGCCAAGCTGCACAGTCTTAATAGCGCATGGAGTACAAATACTTATTTGCCTTCCATACCTATTGGATATGTAGTGGTTTCCAACCTTCTGTTATTGCAAACAATGCCTCAGTGAATAACCTTGTACACACATACACCATTTTGCACACAGATGACCGTATCTGCAGGGCAAGTTCCCAGAAGGTATGCTGGAGTTTTTCACCACTGTGCTAGGTCCCTTTTGCTTTGGTACCACCTATGGGCCTAGGCCTCCTTACCAGGGGCCTGGTAAGCTCCCTTAGTCCCTTAAAGAGATTTAGTCCACAGGACAGTTGAGTAACTGGTACCTTGCATGCATAACTCACAGGACGTGAGAAACACAGCTTTATCTTCTACCATCTCTATCTGTATCCAGTAGAGAGTATCTTCACTTGCCCCGGATGAAAAAGCTAATAGGGCTGAATTGGACTCTCAGGGCCTCTGCAGCAAAGTACTACAAACGGGGTGCCTTAAAACAACAGAATTTTGTCTCGCAATTCTTGAGCCTAGAAGTTCAAAATTAAAGTGGCAGGAGGGCTGTGCTCCCTCTGAAACCTGTGGGGGATCCTTCCTCAAGTCTTCCTCGCTTCTTCCTTGCTTCGGTGGTTTGCAGCATTGGGCCAGCCTCTGCCTTTGTTGTCACGTGGCATTCTCCCAGTCCCTCTGTCGCCATATGTCCATATTATCACAAAGACACCAGGCATATTAGGTGAGTGTGACCTCATCTTAACTAATTACATCTGCAACGACCTTGTTTTCAAAGGAGGTCATATTCTCAGGTATGCGAGCATTTAGGACTTTAACATAGCTTTTTTAGGAGGATACAATTGAACTCATAACACAGACCCAAAACGTTTCTGCTCATGTTAGGTTGGGGACAATCTTAGAGTCACTTTATTGATTTGTTTGTTTGTTTGTTTTGAGATGCAGTCTTGCTCCATTGCCCAGGCTGGAGTGCAGTAGTGAGATCTTGGCTCACTGCAACCTCCACTTCCTGGGCTCAAGTGATTCTCCTGTCTCAGCCTCCTGAGTAGCTGGGATTACAGGCGCAAGCCGCCATGCCTGGCTAATTTTTGTATGTTTAGTAGAGACGGGGGTTCGCTATGTTGGCCAGGCTGGTCTCAATCTCCCGACCTCAGGTGATCTGCCCGCCTAAGCCTCCCAAAGGGCAGGGATTACAGGCGTGAGCCATTTGCGCCCGGCCAAGATCACTTTAAATCACAAACTTGTTCTCAATTCAGAAACTAGTACGTCCAGTCCCAGGTATTTATCAGTCCTTCAAGCTTCATTCCAAGGCCAGCCAGCTGTGGTCAGGGCTGGGGCTGCTGGTCTGCAGGAAGGGGAGTGGCTGAAGGTTTCTGCTCCCTCTGCTGACCCCCTTGGTGCCAGGGGAGGGGGAGTGGAGGTGGGAGAAGGATGGGACGGATTTGACTTGGCTAGGAAGCTCTGTATTCTCAGGGCCTGCTATGGCTATTCCTTTCTTCTCACCAGGATTTTTGGAATTTCTCTGGAAATTTCCACTCCGGATCTCCTAATTCCAGTGAATGTCACTCAATTTATACACTTTCTCCCTCTGCTGTTTAAAGAAGGTGGATCCTCAAAATTGAAGGGCTTTTAAATCTTTGTAATTGTTTTTCCTTTTATTTTCAGAGGGAGTCTTGCTATATTGCTTAGGCTGGTCTTGGACTCCTGGGCTCAAGCTATCCTCCCACCACAGCCTCCCAAATAACTGATTATAGGCATGCCTCACCACATCTGGCTTATTTCTAGTTTACTTGTTTATTTATTTATGATTCTTGTCTTTTCTGAGACAAGATCTTGCTCTGTTGCCCAGGCAGGAGTGCAGTGGCGTCATCTTGACTCACGGCAGCCTCAACCTCCTAGGCTCAAGAGATCCTCCCCCCTCAGCCTCCTGAGTAGCTGGGACTACAGGCGCACGCTGCCATGCCTGGCTATTTTTTTTTTTTAAGAGATGGGGTCTCACTGTGTCACCCAGGCTGGCTCTGAAACTCTTGGGCCCAAGTGATCCTCCCACCTTGGCCTCCCAAAGTGCTGGGATTACAGGTGTGCCCATGACACTCAGCTCTAATTTTTTTTTAAAGCGTTATTTTTAGAATAGTTTAAGATTTACAGATAATTTGCAAGATAGTGCAGAGAGTTCCCATAAACCAGTTTCCTCATATTTGTATCTTACATTAGTATGGCACATTTGTTAACAATTAATAAACCAACATTGGTACGTTATATTATTGATATTATTGGTACATTATTTAAATTTCCTCCATTTTCTACCAATGTCCTTTTTCTGTTCCAGGATCCCATCTAGGACACCACTTACATTTAACCATCATGTCTCCTTAGATGCCTCTTGGCTGAGGCAGTTCCTCACACTCTCTTTGGTTTTGGTGACCTTGTCAACCTCCATAACAGAGAGGTTCTCTAAAAGAAAATGGTATTTATTTGGGAACAGGGCATTGCAATGGAGCCATGTGGGCCATTTTAAGCTATGTGTGTGAAATTCAGGGAGGTAAAGGAAGACCAAGATTTTTAAAGAAAAAATGAGGAGGATTACATATTGTTTTTGATAATTAGCCTCAGCTACAAGTATCGATCAGGGTGATACCAGTCTGAAGTTGGACAGGCTATTGCTGGGCAGATGTCCTGGCAGGAATCTTCTTTTGGGAAGGCTGACATGGCCTCTGTGGACAGTGTTGATCTTTTATGAGCATTTGTGACATCACGCATTTAGGAACAAGAATCCTCTTCATGGCTTTCCCCAGCTCTATTTGTCATTTTTTTTTTCTCTCTCTTTTAACACAAATGACTCCACCATTTTGATTCTGACCACATTCACAACCTTGACCGATTTTAGGTTGGCTATTTTGTACAATGTCCCTCTGCTGGGATTTGTCTGATGTTTTTCTCACGATTAAACTGGGTTATTGGTTTAGGGAGTTTGGTATAAAAAATCTATTTGGTCTTTGTCCCCAGTTCCTGACACAGAACTCCTAAACCCCTTGGAATTTCCTAGGCAATAGGAGTGTTTTTGTTATTCATAATGACTCCCTTAGTCAAATCACAGTTTCTACTAATGAGGTGGCTAATTGCGGGCTCTAGGATGGATTCAGGGTGGGGCTGGTGCAACACACCATGTGATCAGAGGGTTGTAACTTTCATTCAGCTCCAACATGTCCCTACTCCTCTTGCGGGAAGGGAAAGGGGCTGGAGGTTGAATTCAATCACTAATGGCCAATGACATAATGAAACCTGGATAAAAATCTCTTAAACAGGGTTCGGAGAGCTTCCAGGCAGGTGGGCACACAGAGGTGCTGTGAGGACAGCACTCCCGCCCTTCACCCCCCGTGCTGCGCATCTCTTGCACTCGGCTGTTACCGAGTTGTGTTCTTTACAATAATCTTCTAACAGTAAAGTGTCTCCCTGAGTTCTGTGTCGTCCCAGGGAATTGCTGAACCTCACGGGAGCTGTGGCAATCCCTCAGTTTCTAGTGGGCAGGGTAGAAATGCGGGCATTCTGGGCACCCCGCTTGTGGCTGGCGAAGGGAGGGCAGTCTCCCTGGGCTAATCCCTTAACCAGTAGTTTCGCGCTAATTCAGCTGGTGTCAGAGAACTGGGGAATAGGTCGTCGATGCTGGAAAGGGCAACGTGGTGTTTGGTGCCGGTCAGGGAGGAAGGCGCGGAGGGAAGGTGTAGGCCTGCCTTCCGCAGGGCAGGGTGAGGTTCGGCCCTGTAAGGCCGCAGGAGTGGGCGAGGCTAGAGCGAGCGCGGCAAGAAGGCGGCAGAAGCGCGCCTCCCAGGCAGCGTGGGCGAGAGAGGACAGGTGGCCGAGAGGCAGAAGCTGGCTAGCGGCGAAAGGCCCGCGTTCCCGAGCGCGCGGCACCGCGGCCAGGGCAGGAGGAGGCCAGGCGGCCCCGCGGCCCTGCGCAGAGAGCCCAGTTGCACCACCAGGCGGGCCACGAGAGGGCGCAGCGCGGCGCGGCAGGGATTCGCGGGCGACCACCCGGCGCAGGAGCGGCCGCGTTTCGGCCTCAGAAGTAAGTCGGGGCGCTGCGGGCCGGGACAGGGGTGGGCGTTCGCCGGGGGCGTGCTGGGGCCGGGCGAGGGTCAGGCAGTCCACCGCGAGCCTCTGCCAGGGAACAGCCGTCTCCTGAGTCGAGGCCTCGGGGCTGCAGCCGGGACGGCCGGAAAGCCGCCTCCAGCTGCCAGAAGGGGGCGGGGCTTCCGGTGGAGCAGCCATAGGGACCTCGCGGCCCAGGGCAGCGCGGCCTCCGCGCGCCGCTGGCGTTCTTCCCTGCGGGACCCGGGCTGGCTCGGCCCGGCTGTCAGTGCGCACGCGCGGCGACGCGGCCTGAGAACCTGGGTTCGCGCGCCCTGTCCCCCTCCCACGGGCCCCTGGCCGCGTGCCCCGCGCCCATGTTAGGGGCAGAGCCGCAGGGCCTACTCGCCGCTAAAAAGCACGGTTGACTAGGACCTGCGTGTGGGGAAAGGCTTCCTAATGACCCAGCGCCTAAGTGCCCGGAAAAAAAAGACTGATACATAATAACATTAAAAAACGGAAGCTGGGGCCGGGCGCGGTGGTTCACGCTTGTAATCTCAGCACTTCGCGAGGCCGAGGCAGGCAGATCACTTGAGGTCAGGAGTTCGAGACCAGCCTGGGCAACATGGTGAAACCGTGTCTCTGCTAAAAATAACAAAAATTAGTCGGTCGTGCTGCTGGTGGTGCTCCTGTAATCCCAGCTACTCAGGAGGCTGAGGCAGGAGAATCACTTGAACTCGGGAGGTGGAGGTTGCAGTGAGCTGAGATTGCACCGCTGCACTCCAGCCTGGACGACAAGAGCGAACTCCGTCTCATTAAAAAAAAAAAAAAAAAAAAAAAAGATGGGCCAGACACTGTGGCTCACGCCTGTAATCCCAGCACGCTGGGAGGCCTAGGTGGGAGAATCTCTTTGAGTTCAGGAGTTGGAGACCAGCCTGGCCAACATGGCGAAAACCCCTCTGCAAAAAATAAGAAAAGTTCGTTTCAGCTACTCCGGAGGCTGAGGTGGGAGGATTGCTTTAGCCAGGGAGGCAGAGCTTGCTGTCAGCAGAGATGGCGGCTCTGCACTCCAGCCTGGGTGAGGGAGTGAGACCCTGTCTCAAAAAAAATAAATAAATAAATAAATAAAATAAAATAAAATTAAAAGGAAAAAGAAAAAAAAATCCCCTACCATTGATTAAAGACAGATGTCAAACTGGGAAAAAATATTTGCAACATCTATCACAGATAAAGGGTTAAGATCCCAAGTATGTAAATAACTCAAACATTGAGGGAAGCAAAGACCAAATAGGCAAAAAACATGAACTGACAATCTGCACAAAAATGACATAAAACTGGCCCTTCAATGAAAAGATGTTCCGTTTCTCCCATAGGAGGAGAAATGCAGGGTACTCTGAGATACCATCACGGTTCTAACTGATCCCGTTGCTAAGTGCAAAGCAACAGGACAGTCTGTGGGGTAACAGATGCTCTCATACATTGCTGGTGGGAATGCAAGATGGTCCAACTCCTAGAGAGGAACATTTAGCATTGTTTAACAAAACTACATATGCATTTACCCCTTGACCCAGCAATTCTACAGGTAGGAATTTACTCTGGAGAAACGCCTACACCAGTATAAAAGTGTATATATGTACAAGGTCACTCATTGCAGCATTGTTTGCAATGGCAAAATTTTGGAAACAACTTCAGTGCCAATACATAGGCAATTGGGTGAATAAACCCTGGTACATCCACACAATGCACGTATAAAAAACAGTGAGGAAGGTCTCTGAACTGATGTGGAGTGATTTCTAGGGTATACAGTACTAGGAAGTGAACAAAAGTTAAACAGAGAGTACTGTGTTAGGCTACTTTTTGTGTGAAACATTCAAGTATCTCCTTATTTTTGGAAAGAAAAAGAGAAAAGGGAAAAAAGAAACCTAGGAAGAAAAAACTAGAAACTAATAAATTGGCTACTTGCAGTGGGTGGATGAGAATGGGGTGAAAGTCTAAGAGGAAATGACACATCTCCAGGCATACCTTTTTTGGGGGCAGTTTTGACTTTTCAAAACATGTTAATGTTTTAGTATTTAAAAAGAAAAACTAAATCAACATAAGATGGGGGAAAGGAAACCTAAAATTGAATACAAACAGAAGTGAACAAATGAGCTAAACTGCATAGTAAATTAGTCATAGAAAGGCAAACTCAAATAACTTTGAACACAGCTCTTTGACTATCCACCTGTGTGTAAACAAACAAAACTACAAAGAAATTTTGTACTTCACTTAGTTGGTAGTGATCTGGTATAGCAATTCTGAAAATATTTTCTGTGTATTGTAGGATTAAACAAATAAGTAAATATAATGATATTCTTGGGAGCTGGGATCCTCACTATGAGAGAAGAAAGATAAAAATATGGAGTGAAGGAAGGCAAAGAAGAGCTCCATGAATTGGAATGAGAGATTCCACAGATTACTTATTAATTACAAAGATAAAAAAGGAACCTTTATAGTGGAGAAACTTGGAAACTTGGTGGATAACACAACTTTTCGTTTTTTTGGAGACAGAGTCTCGCTCTGTTGCCCAGGCTGGAGTGCAGTGGTGTGATCTCGGCTCACTGCAACCTCTGCCTCCCAGGTTCAGACAATTCTTCTGCCTCAGCCTCCTGAGTAGCTGGGATTACAGGCACGCACCACCACACCTGGCTAATTTTTGTATTTTTAGTAGAGACAGGGTTTCACCATGCTAGCCATGCTGGTCTCGAACTCCTGGCCTCAAGTGATCTGCCCACCTCAGCCTCACAAAGTGCTGGGATTACAGGAGTGAGCCACTGCGCCTGTCCTGCTTTTCATTTTGACTTGAGTTATTTCTAAGATCTGTCTGCTGAGAGAGCTGGGGAGCAGGGCCACCCAAGTAGCAATGAGCATTCCTCATGCCCATATCTTGTTTTCTAAATACCATTGTCCATTAAAAGGAGTCAGAGCTCCTAGGAGAAATGGCTCATTGTGGGAAGGGGAGGGAAGGTCAACGATGAGTCAGGAGCGGCTTGTTCAAAACACAAGGAGGTGCTCAAAGAATGATAGAGACAGGTCAGAAGGACACAGGGGTCAGCTTGATGGGGCTCCAGTGGCCAAACCTGGAACAATTTGAATATCAAAATTAATAATGGCAATAATGAATTATCACGTTGAATAAAAGAGAATCCATGAGTCCAGAGTCATACTAAAAAGCAAATAAACTTACCAACAAATACATAAACAGAGGTAGAAGAGGAGAATGCCAGCTAATGATTGCTGAAGGAACAACAGAGTTGGAAAAGTTGGCTAGTCTGAAGGTAGCAAGTTATCTCAATTGATTGTTCATGGTCAGTTACAGATTGAACTCTTTGTTTTATTCTTTTCCCCCTTCTCACTACTGCATTTGACTAATCATACAGAAAACGTTACCACATTGTAGGCCGGGTATAGTGGCTCATGCCTGTAGTCCCAGCACTTTGGGAGGCCAAGGCGGGTGGATCACCTGAGGTCGGGTGGATCACCTGAGCCTGACCAACATGGAGAAACCCTGTCTCTACTAAAAATACAAAATTAGCTGGGCATGGTGGTACATGCCTGTAATCCCAGCTACTCAGGAGGCTGAGGCAGGAGAATGACTTGAACCCGGGAGGCGGAGGTTGTGGTGAGCTGAGATCGCACCATTGCACTCCAGCCTGGGCAATGAGTGAAACTCCATCTCAAAAACCAAAAAACAAACGAAAAGTTACCACATTGCAACTAACACAGTCATGACTCATTCAGGTGGGCGCTTACTGGGTGTCTTGGTCTGTTTTATGCTTCCGTAACAGAATACCTGAGACTGGGTAATTTATAATGAACAGAAATGTATTTGCCTTATGGTTCTGGAGGCTGGGAAGTCCAAGATTGAGGAGCCACATCTGGTGAGGGCCTTCTGGCTGCATCATCTCATGGTGGAAAGCAGAAGGGCAAGAGGGTGAGCAAGGGAAAGAGAAAGGAAGGGGCCAAACTCATCCCTTTATCAGGAGCCCACTCCCGCAATAACAGCAGAGCCTTTATGACCAAATCACCCACCTCTCAACACTGTTGCACTGGGGATTACATTTCCAACACATGCACTTGGGGAATACATTCAAACCATAGCACTGGGGAATAAGATGCCAAAGCCTCACTCCACAGATTACGTATGAATTACAAACATATACAAGGAACCTTTATAGTGGTTCTTCTGGAAACCACCTTAACCATGTGAACAAAGTCAGCGTCATCAATTTGAACTGACATCCTGTGCCAAAAATGCATAACCTGAATTGGATTTAGGAAACATTAGACAAACACAAATTGAGGGACCAGCTGCAATATAATGGGGCTAACTTTTTTTTTTTTTTTCCCCAAGACCAAGTCTCACTCTGTCACCCAGGCTGGAGTGCAGTGGCCCGATCTTGGCTCACTGCAACCTCCACCTCCCAGGTCCAAGCGATTCTCCTGCCTCAGCCTCCTGAGTACCTGGGACTACAGGTGTGCACTACCACGCCCAGCTAATTTTTGTATTTTTAGTAGAGATGGGGTTTTACTACTTTGGCCAGGATGGTCTCGATCTCTTGATCTCGTGATCTGCCCGCCTCGGCCTCCCAAAGTGCTGGGATTACAGGCGTGAGCCACCGTGCCCAGCGAATTTTTGTATTTTTAGTAGAGACGGGGTTTCACCATGTTGGCCAGGATGATCTCAAACTCCTGACCTCAAGTGATCCGCCCGCCTTGGCCTCCCAAAGTGCTGGGATTACAGGCGTGAGCCACCGCGCCCAGCCGGGGCTGACTTTTAAAAGATGTCAAGGTCATGAAAGACTAAGGAACTATTCCAGATTAAAAGGGAATAAAGAGACATGGCAGCTAAATGACATGTGTGTCCTTGCATTGGGAAAAATAATACTGCTAGCAAGAATGTTATTTGGGACAATTGACTAAATGTGAATAGCAGTTATTAGCATTGGATGGATGCTGATACCTGAATCTGAATATTGCAGTGTTAAATTTTCTGCATCTGATCATTGCAGTGTGGTTATGTTGGAGAAATATTCTTGTTCTTAGGAAATACAGCTTGAAGTACTAGGGTGAAGGGTCATGGTTTCTGCAATTTAATCTCAAATGGTTCTGGAAAGAAAGTTATACTTTGTACCACTGAATGGATATATAGTAATTGTCCCCTTAGCTGTGCTGTTGCTTTCCAAGGTTTCAGTTACCTGTGGCCAACTGCAGTTTGAAAATATTAAATGAAAAAAAAAAAACAAGAAAAAGAAAATATAAAATGGAACATTCCAGAACATTTCATAAGATTTATTTGTTTATTTAATTTTGATAGATTTAGAGGGTACAAGTGCCCCTGTTTTGTTACATGGGTATATTGGGAAGTGGTGAAGTCTGGATTTTGAGTGCAGCCATCACCCCTGATCATGTACATTGTACCCATTAAGTAATTTCTCATTGTTCACCCCTTCCACCCTTCTGAGCCTCCAATGCCTGTTATTCCACTCTCTGTGTCCATGTGTACACATTATTGAGCTCCCACTTAGAAGTGAGAACATAATTCATGAGTTTTAAATTGTGTGCGGTTCGGAACAGCACGATGAAATCTCACACCTTCCTGTTCTGTCTCACCTGGGACACGAATCATCTCTTTGTCCAGCAGATTCTCCCATTTGTCACTTAGTAGCTCTGTTGGTGATCAGATCGACTGTTGTGGTATCACAGTGCTTGTGTTCTAGTCATTCTTACTTTATTTAATTTTATTATTAGTTTATTATTACCCTATTTTATTATTAGTTGTTAATTTGTTATTGTGCCTAACGTATAAACTTTGTCATAGGTAAGTAATAGGAAAAAACAATATATATAGGGTTCAGGCGTCCACTGGGGGTCTTGGAACATACCCTTGTGGATAAGGGGGGACTACTCTACCACAGTTTGCTTAATATGTTCCTTATTGAACATTTAAAATTTTCCAATTTAAAAAAATCATTCTTGGCCAGGTGTGGTGGCTTATGTATATGATTCTAGGGCTTTGTGAGGCAAAGGTGGTTAGATCGTTTGAGGCCAGGAGTTCGAGACCAGCCTGGGCAACATAGCAAGAACCCATCTCTATACAAAATACAAAAATAATTAGCAGGCAATGGTGGTTTGTGCATATAGTATCAGCTACTTGGGAGGCTGAGGCAGGAGGGTCAGTTAAGCACAGGAGTTTGAGGCTACAGTGAGCTATGATAGCACCACTGCACTCCAGCCTGTGATATACCCTGTCTTAAAAAAAAAAAATTTTTTTTTTTTTGAGACGGAGTCTCTCTGCGTCACCCAGGCTTGAGTGCAGTGACACCATCTCGTCTCACTGCAAGCTCTGCCTCCCGGGTTCACGCCATTCTCCTGCCTCAGCCTCCTGAGTAGTTGGGACTACAGGTGCCCGCCACCACGCCGGGCTAATTTTTTGTATTTTTAGTAGAGACTGGGTTTCACCATGTTAACCAGGATGGTCTCGATCTCCTGACCTCGTGATCTGCCCGCCTCAGCCTCCCAAAGTGTTGGGATTACAGGCGTGAGCCACTGCGCCCGGCCAAAAAAATCATTTTTATAAGGATTGTTGCTATTAAAGCCTTCACAGGCTGGGCGCAGTGGCTCGTGCCTGTAATCCTAGCACTTTGGGAGGTCGAGGTGGGCGGGTCACTTGAGGTCAGGGGTTCGAGACCAGCCTGGCCAACATAGTGAAACCCCATCTCTACTAAAAATACAAAAATTAGCTGGGTGTGGTGGTGGGCACCTGTAGTCCTAGCTACTTCGGAGGCTGAGGCAGGAGAATCACTTGAACCCAGGAGGCGGGGGTTGCAGTGAGCCAAGATCGTGCTTCTGCACTCCAGCTTGGGTGACAGAGTGAGACTCTGTCTCATTAAATAAATAAATAAACAAACATTAAAAAAGAAGAAAATAAAAAAGAGGTTGTATGGACCGTGGGAGGCAAGAGCGGTAGATTCTGAAGGCAGCTGCTTATGCTGTTGTGCCCAGGATTCTCATATCACTGCAGACACTCTCCACACCATGCTTACGCCAGAGTTTTTTTGTTTTTGTTTTTGTTTTTTTTTTGAGACGGAGTCTCGCTGTGTCGCCCAGGCTGTAGTGCATTGGCACAATCTCGGCTCACTGCAACCTCCGCCTCCGCCTTCTGGGTTTAAGCAATTCTCTGCCTCAGCTTCCCGAGTAGCTGGGATTACAGGTGCGTGCCACCATGGCTGGCTAATTTTTGTATTTTTAGTAGAGATGGGGTTTCACCATCTTGGCCAGGCTGGTCTTCAACTCCTGACCTCGTGATCCACCTGCCTCGGTCTCCCAAAGTGCTAGGATTACAGGCGTGATCCACTGCACTTGGCCTGCCAGAGTTTTTAAGTTAATGACACCCCTGGCATTGTCCTAGGATTCATGGGTCTAATCCCAGCTACAATGCGTAAATTTAGACGTGGACAATAGGGGATCTGTAATTAGCTGGATCATTGCCTCTAGGAGATTTTCTTGACTAAGAACCACAATATGAAGCTTTGTGTTTGAGGACCTCATAATTCTCCAAGACAGTTTGTGAAAATCAGTATAAATCTAAAATTGAAAGGAAAATGTGTTTGACCTGAAAAATACCGAGTCAAAAACAAAAGTCACTTTTAATGGGAGTGTACATTGGTATAACTGCTTTGGAAAACAGTTTAGCATTATCTCTTAATTCTGCACATTAATTAGCTTGCTGGACGTATGCCTGGTGTAGTAATGGGTCCACACCCAGAGAAATGCTTGCCCAGGGGCTCCAGGAGACGAGTGGATGTTCAGAACAATATTATTTGTTAGAGGAAACAAACTGGAGATAACCCCATGTTGATCCCCAGGAGAATGGCTAAACAAAGTAGGATATGATCACAAATAGAATATTAGATAGCAGTGAACATGAATAAAATGCAGCTTTGCGAAATTGTATGTGTGAATCTTAGAAACATTGAATAGAAAGAATGCAAGGCTTGGAAATCTGCTTATTGAATAATATTCTTATAAAGCAAGAAAAAAAAAACAACCATACCTAGCCTCAGCTCTTGTGTTATGAGAAACCCCAGCAGTGATAGGATGTCTCATTTGAAATTTTCTTTGTGGTAGGGCTATTCTGCACAACATCCATAAACACTTCCCGGGCATCAGACTTGATTCATTTTCCTATTTATTTCCTCCTCTTTGGGAGAGAGTATTCTAATTAACATCATGTGTGTCCCACCACAGATTAAAGAATTCCCCCATTCCCCTAAACTGAGAAGGAGAGGCTGCAAGTCTTTGCTTGAAATTTTTGTGCTGAAAGTGAAGCATTCAGGGTTCCAGTGGCAGAATTAGGACTCCATCCTTAGGGTAGCAGGAGAAGTCTGGTAGTGCCTTTAGAAAAGGAAGGTTAAGGCCGGATGCAGTGGCTTACAGCTGTAACCCCAGCACTTTGGGAGGCTGAGGTGGGTGGATCACCTGAGGTCAGGAGTTTGAGACTAGCCTGGCCAACATGGTGAAACACTGTCTCTACTAAAAATACAAAAATTATCTGGACATGGTGGCGGGCGCCTGTAATCCCAATACTTAAGAGGCTGAGGCAGGAGAATCACTTGAACCTGGGAGGCGGAGGTTATAGTGAGCCAAGATCGTGCCACTGCACTCCAGGCTGGGTGACAGAGTGAGACTCCGTCTCAAAAAAAAAAAAAAAAAAAAAAAGGAAGGTTAAGAGTTAATAGATTAATAGATTCAGCTCTCAGTTCCTCATCAGAATTAGGGAGGAGTAACATGGGGAAAGAAATCCAGAATAACTAGTTAAGCCCATACATTGCACCTCCTTCATCAAATAACCCATCAGGAGTGCCAAATTTGGCTACTTTTGTCTGTCACTCATTTTATTCAGCAAAACCTTAAGCCAACTTCATTATTTTGCCAGGAAAACAGACCCATTTCCTGCCCTTGAAGGTTTGCAGTCTCAAGGGGGAAAGCAGTACAACCTTTACAAGCAGTTATCAAGGTGGGTGGGTGGTGTTGCAGGCGAGCGTGGAAGGGGCCCACCTGGCCAGGGGGCAGGCCATACCTCCCTGGGAGGTGACGTTTGACCTATGAGGCAAGCCCTAAAGGACAGGTAGGGATCCCCCGCGGATGCCGTGCTGGCGAGGCAGGGCCTGAGCAGCCAGTGGAGAAGGGCAGCGGGAAGTGCGCTGTGCAGGAGCCAGACGTCTCAGCCCGTGTGGCCAGAGGTGGCAGGGGCGCGGCCTGAGCGGGGCTGGGGCGCGGGCAGGATTTGGGGCTGCGCCGAGGGGCGTCCCGACCTGGCCCTTTGCCACGGTAGGTTCCGGCTCCCATGCCTCCGCTGCCATCTGCGCTGTCCTTGGCGACTACGCCTTCACCCCCCTGGGTGCGTTTCAGCGGTCCCGGAGCCTGGCGGGAGCGGGGCCAGGAGCGCTCCGCGGCCGGTATCAGGCCTGCAGGTAGGGACGCGCGGCCGCCCGGGGCTCTGGGGACTCGGGTGTCCAGGTGCCGAAGTCGCCGCTTCCACGGGGGACTCAGGCCCGTGAGTGGGTTTCCTAAGAACTTACCAGATTCCACGGCTCGGGTTTCCTGCCTTGGATCCTGCTTTTTATTCCCCAGGGGGAGTTATTTATAGACAGGAATCGTGTGTTCAAGGCCTGGCTCTTCGGACTCGGCGTTTTTCTTGTTCGAGGTGCTTCAATGGGGGCTGGATGCCATCATCTTCCAGGTCTGGAATCTTGTAGAAAACGAGCTGTACAGGCAGGAGTTCAGTTCAGCTGTATCATCTGTTCTTGGCCTCTTCTGGAAACGGGCTAATTCTCTGTTTAGGGCTTTATCATTTTATAACCGAGTAACATACTAGCCCTGTGGTTGAGTTGTTTCTTCCTATTTTTTTTTTTTTTAAATATAGTCAGGGTCTCACTCCATTGCTCAGGCTGGATGGAGTGCATTGATGTGATCGCAGCTCACTGCAGCCTTGAACTCCTGGGCTCAAGCAATCCTCCCTTTTCAGCCTCTGAGTATCTGGGACCACCACACCCAGCCTTTTTTTTTTTTTTTTTTTTTTTTTTTTGAGATGGGGACTTGCTCTGTCGCCCAGGCTGGAGTACAAGTGGCGTGATTGCGGCTCACTGCAGCCTCGACCTCCCCAGGAGTAGCTGGAACTACAGGCACACACCACCATGCCTGGCTAATTTTCTTTACTTTTGTAGAGATGTGGTTTCACCATGTTGCCCAGGCTGGTCTTGAACTTGAGTTCAAGTGATTTGCCCGCTTTTGCCTCCCAAAGTGTTAGGATTACAGGCGTGAGCCACCACACCTGGCCGCCTGGCTAATTTTTAATTTTCTGTACAGATGGAGTCTCCCTATGTTGCAAAGACCGGTCTCAAACTCCTGGCCTGAAGTGATCCTTCTGCTTTGGCCTCTCAAAGTGCTGGCATTATAGGTGTGAGCCACTGTGCCTGGTCCGTATTGCTGTTTTATCACCAGCTACCTGCAGTGCATTTGGGCTAAACATGTCGTTTGCATAAAACCATTTTAAAAATCACAAATTGACCTGCAAAGCAAGGTGTATCAACAGAGGGGCATGGCAGCTTCATGGGACCCCCCTATAGGAGACTCAATCCTGGGTGCCTCTATAGAAACATAAATTCAGTGAAAACAAAGGAGCTAGTTCCCATGGCTGGAGAATGTAAACGGATGAAGGTAATGCCCCCCTTCTCCCACCATAGTCTTTCCAGGGAATTTATTTCCAGCTCCATTAAATTTATAGCATCAAGGGTTTATAATAGGTAGTTTTTTTCTTTCTTTCTTTTTTTTTTTTTTTTGAGACTGAGTCTTGCTCTGTCACCCAGGCCTGGAGGGCAGTGGCGCGATCTTGGCTCACTGCAAGCTCCGCCTCCTGGGTTCATGCTATTCTCCTGCCTCAGCCTCCCCAGTAGCTGGGACTACAGGCGCCCGCCATCATGCCCGGCTAATTTTTTTTTGAATTTTTAGTAGAGACGGGGTTTCACTGTGTTAGCCAGGATGGTCTCAATCTCCTGACCTCATGATCTGCCCGCCTCAGCCTCCCAAAGTGCTGGGATTACAGGCGTGAGCCACCGCACCTGGCCAATTTTTTTTTCTTTTAAGCAGTGTGATTGGTTTTCCCTGAGTACGGAAGTCTCAGTCCCAGAATATGTTCAGATTGGCAGAGGAGAAATTCGGTTGTCATGTGACTCACTGGCCCCTCATGGAGCTTTTAGCCACAGGAGAGGATGCATCTGTGCTGGTTTTGCCGCAGTGTCTGGAGTTCCCAGCTGAGTCCGCTGTTGAACAGTTCTCTTCATGTGCTTTGCTCGGTGACACGTACATTCCCAAGGCGTCTGCTACAGGGTCTCTTTAAGGGTCTCCCGACCCTTCAGTCCTGCCAGCTTCGCACTCTTCTCTGCCCCAGCTAGTCTCTGGCCTTGCACCCTGGGGCTCTTCTTGCCCCCTTCTCAGGGCTCAGTGTGCTCTACAGGATCCCACCCAGCAGTCCTCAGGCTGCAGTTTAATCAGGACGCTTCCAGCCTCCTTCCCACACTGTGGGGTCCTATTCTTAATTTTCTTTTTTTTTTTTTGTTTGAGGTGGGAGTCTTGCTCTGTCGCCCAGGCTGGAGTGCAGTGGCACAATCTTGGCTCACTGCAACCTCTGTTTCCTGGATTCAAGTGATTCTCTTGCCTCAGCCTCCTGAGCAGCTGGGACTACGTTGCACCACCATGCCTGGCTAATTTTTTGTATTTTTAGTAGAGATGGGGTTTCACCATGTTGGCCAGGCTGGTCTCGAACTCCTGACCTCAGGTGATCCACCCGCCTTGATCTCCCAAAGTGCTGGGATTACAGGCATGAACCACCGCGTTTGGCCCCTATTCTTAGTTTTATAAATTAATGGGATGATAAAAGCAGCAGCGTAGGACTTGGAAACTGACTTGTTTAAACTAACACAGTTGGCAGATAAAGTAACTTAACCTGAAGGAGCACTTCAAGTGGTTGGGATTTCTGGCACCATGATTGACCAGTTGAGGAAAATTCAGGCAGATGGGCTTTTCCGTGCCTGAAAAAGGCAACTCGATTTACTGGGAAGGAACTCCCCACCCCGACTTTGTGTAATAGTTTCCCCACGAAGAGCGCTCATGAGGATGAAGTGAAAGCGCGTTGCCCTTCTATTCCCTTCCTGTTCACTCTGCCCAGGTGGGCAGTTGCTGGGTCACAATAGTCTGCACTCTTAGCCTGTGTGGCTGTTCTCTGTGAACCCGCCCACCCACACCAGGTGGATGCTATTATTATTCCTGCATTGGAGCTGTGGAACGAGAGGCATTTGCCCTGGTCACATGGCCACTGAATGTGTGCATTTTGTTGGGGAGTTGGGGGGTCAGAGGCAGTATCTGAACCCAGGGTTTCTGATTCCAGACCATGGCCTCTATTGCTTCACTACACAAACGGCAACTCACACAGGCTCAATATTGGGCTGCTGGGCAGGATGACTGGCTAATGCCTTTTTCATGTGGTTGTAAAAGTTTTAATTTCTTTCCACATTCATTTATTTGACCTCTTAAAGCTGCCTCTGTGCAAACCCTTTAAAAGTGAAACATTTGTTCAAGAAATGAGTCACGATTGTTAGGAAGACAATGATGAACATATTAGGAGTGGGGCTCCCCCATTTGCAGAGCAATCTCCCATCCATTGAGGTGGTTTAGACTTTTGAGGGTGTTTTGGAGGGTGGGGGCAGTGGCCCCATGTGCTTACCTGGAAGCTTATGGTACTGATCACCCCTCTGGAGGGCCTGTCTGATAGGCAGGAAACTGCTCACAGATTTCTCCCTTCGCCCAACCAGGACCTGATTTTTACATGCCTGAAATATAAAGGACCACTCCCCTCTGCTGGACGAAGATAAATTTGCTTTTAACAGAGAAAAAATTTGTGACCGCTTCGCTCTCTAGTGGTCAACTAGGTAAAAGAGCTAGCAGTTCTACGTCACTTTACAAACTGAGGTATGAACCTCAGTTTTTGAGGTAGTTGCAAAAACTTTCAGTGAGCACCTACTATGTATAGGCACAATGCTAAATACCAGGGATATGAAGGTGAATAAGAGAGCACCAATATCAAATGTTTGTAGATTGCATCATATTGTAAATGTACGAGGACCACAGAATTTGAGAGATGGAGGGGAAGTTAGAGATGATCTGGCTTGTGTCCCTCTTTTTTTTTCCTAAGTTGAAAAACTGTGACCTAGAGAGATGAGATAATTTGCTTAAGATCACATGGCTGGTTCGGAAGAGGGGAAAAAAGGAGTGCTGATGAAATTCAGTGGAATGTCACCTTCTAATTTTTATCACCTATTATTTTGAAATAATTTTAGGCTTACAAAAGAGAAATAGTACAGAGAGTTCTTTGAAACTTCACCCAGCTTCCTCTAATGCTAACATCTTACACAACCATGGATTTACCAAAACTGACATTGGTGCAACATTATTATTATTATTGTTATTTATTTTTTGAGACAGTCTGGCTCTGTTGCCCAGGCTGGAGTGTAGTGATGCAATCTTGGATCACTGCAACCTCTGCCTCCCGGGTTCAAATGATTCTGCTGCCTCAGCCTCCCGAGTAGCTGGGATTGCAGGTGCACACCACCACGCCCAGCTAACTTGTATTTTTCTGTGTGTGTATGCGTGTGTGTGTGTGTGTGACTGACTTCCTTAAAACAGTAATGACTTACTGATAGTCAGCTATTGTACAGAAAGGGTATCACAAACCTCTTTGTCTTTTGGATCATGCCTCTGTTTTCAGAGCAGGTTGTTTTCCCAGGTGATTTTGATGACATCCCACCTGCAGCTTTTTAGATGTGTCCAAGTTGGGGACAATCCCGGCCTGTTCAACTGACCTGGATACAAAGGCTGTCAGGGCTGGCAGTGGTGCACCTTGAACCTTCTGCCACTCTTGCGTCTTGGATCTTGAGTTTCATTTCTATTTTTGTCGGGTATAGAGCATTCTTTGCTCTTGGTTGCCTAGTTTATCCAGAGAAGGACTTTGGGGCCAAAAGGACACAAATTCAAACATCAGTTTCCCCACCTAATTATGGGAGCTCAAGTTCTAAAATTCAACTGTTCTAAAATTCAGTTTCTTCCTTTGCAAGATGGGGACAATAATGGTCACCATGCAGAGTTGTTGAGGGATTAAATGTATCCAGTAATTGGCATAGCACCTCGTGTGCAGGAGGTGCAGAATGAACGTGGAATAAGTGAATGGCTGCCAATGAGGGAGACCCGGTTAGGTGGGTCCAATGGAAGGTCTTTTTCTTTTCTTTTTAGAGATGGGGTCTCTTCTGTTGCCCAGGCTGGAGTGCAGTGGTATGAACATGGATCACTACATCCTGGAACTCCCGGGCTCCAGCAGTTCTCCCGCCTCAGCCTCCCAAGTAGCTGGGGCTATAGGCACGTGCCACCATGCCTGGCTAATTTTTAAATTTTTTGTAGAGATGGGGTCTCACTATGTTGCTTAGGCTCAGTGGAAGGTCTTGAATGCCAGGCAAGACTGCCTGCACTTTCTGGGGTGGGGGCAGGCACTGCAGGAGTTTGAGAAGCAGGAGTGATGGGATGAGCGCTGTGCTTTAGGCAGTCAAGTGCAGAGTGTGCTGGATGAGGCAGAACCGTGGGAAACAGGGGACGGGCACCGGGAATCATCCAGCAGGCTGTCGTGCTAGTGCCTGTTCTGGTGAGGGCTGAGCTGGGCCTGGACTAGAAAGAAGGGACCATGTGAGACTGTGCAGAGGTCCCGCCTACCAACTGCTATGGAAATAAACAAGACACAGGGGCTGGAGAAGTTGGGACTCCAAGATGCATGAATTCTGGGTCCTAGTGAAAAGGTGAACAAGTCATGAACAGAGATAAGAGAAATCAGGATAAAGAGATAATTTGTGGGAGGAAAAAATGCATTTGGTTTTATTCATGTTGCCTTTGAGATGCTGACAGACTATCCAAGCAGAGACAAGTGGAAGAGATGATTGCGGCGCCAGAGCCTGGGAGAGGCCAGAGCTGGCCATGAGGACTGAGCGTCACTGCCAGAGGTCACCAAGGAAGAGAACATAGAGGAGGCCAGAAGTTGGGGGCAGAGGCTCACTTATGGCCGACAGTTGAGAGAGGGGTTAGAGACAGAGACGGAGAACTTGGATGTGCTGGTTCGCAAGGGCTGCTATAACTAAGTATTGCAGACTGGGGCTTCAACAACAGAAATTCATTTCCCCAGTTCTGGAAGCTAGAAGTCCAAGATGAAGGTGTGGGCGGGGTTGGTTTCTCCTGAGGCCTCTCTCCTTGGCTTGGAGATGGCTGTCTTCTCCCTTTGTCCTTACAGGATTGTCCCCCTGTGCATGTCTGTGTCTAGTCTCCTCTCCTTATAAGGATACCAGTCATAACAGATTAGGTGATGACCTCATTTCACCTTAATGACTATTTTATCCTTATAAGGATACCAGTCATAACAGATTAGGTGGTGACCTCATTTTACCTTAATGACTATTTTAAAGTACCTGTCTCCTGATGCAGTCCCATTCTGAGGTACTGGGGGTTAGAACTTCAACATTAGAATTTGGGGGGACACAGTTCAGCCCATTAACCCTGGAACAGAAGCAGAATATTGAATTTTAAAAGAACCCAAGGGAGGAGTTTCAGGAAGGCCAGGGGCTGGCTGTGGCCTGTTTGTCTTAGACACACCCTTGCCTCCTGCCGCCTCTCTATCTCTCTCCTCTGGTCCACAAGGAGGTTCCTGGAGGCTCTTCTGCCGTGGGGCCTCTAGTGAAGTTCCGCCATGGGGCGTTGGGCTGGAGGTGTGGAGCGGCTACAGTATTTTTCCGCCTTCTTCCCCTGCTGATGTCTCCAGCAGCAGTTGTTTCTCTGTGGCTCCATCTCCCACAGCACTGATCTGTGGGTTCCAGCTTCCACCAGGGGACCCTGGATCCCGGGCGACGGTAACTTGACCTGTGTTGTGTGCCCTCAGCCCTACAGAGGGTCGCGGCTTCTGCTCTTTCTATTCCCTGGGTTGCCTCACTGTCCCTTCTGTGGTGTGTGTCCGTTTGTTTATTTATTTATTTATTTCAGACGGAGTTTCACTCTTGTTGCCCAGGCTGGAGTGCAAGGGCATGATCTTGGCTCACTGCAACCTCCGCCTCCCAGGTTCAAGCGATTCTCCTGCCTCAGCCTCCCAAGTAGCTGGGATTACAGGTGCCTGCCACCATGCCCGGCTAATTTTTTGTATTTTTAGTAGAGACGGGGTTTCACCATGTTGGCTAGCTGATCTCAAACTCCTGACCTCAGGTGATCCACCCGCCTTGGCCTCCCGAAGTGCCGGGATTACAGGCATGAGCCACAGTGCCCTCCCTTGTCTGGTGTTTTGTCATGTTGTAGCCAGCTCTCTGTATTAAATCCCCTCTGAGTATCTAGTAGTTTTTGTTGATTGGTAGAAATAGCATGGTCAGGAATGCCAGGTACTGCAGAAAGATGGAAGGGATGGAAATGGAAAATGGTCAGATCTTTGAGCAATGGGGGTAGAGCCCAGAATTCCAGGGCTTGAGAAGGGGATTTCTGCCAAACCGATGGGTGTATACCAATTCTCATGAAGGTCTTAATTTGGACCTACTTTGAGACTGCATACTTTTTCATATTTATCAGACAGCTGGGTACAGTCTGTTTTTGAAGTGCTTTTTCAGCTTTAGCTGTCCTCCTTTTTTGGTTTTCTGACTTTTCCTCATTGATTTGGAGTTCTTTGTATATTCTAGATATGAATCCTTTATCAGTTATGTGTGTTACAAATACCTATTCTCATTCCAGAGCTGCTAAAAAAAAAAAAAAAAAAAAAAAAAGACAGGGTCTTTCTCTGTCGCTGAGGCTGGAGACCAGTGGTGCGATCACAGCTCACTGAAGCCTTGACCTTCTGGGCTCAAGTGATCCTCCTACCTCAGCCTCCCGAGAAGCTGTCACCACAGGCATGCACCACCATGCTTGGCTAATTTAAAAAAATGTTTTGTTTTTTTTTTCATAGAGATGGGGTTTCCCTGTGTTGCCCACGCTGGTCATGAACTTCTGGACTCAAATGATCCTCCCACTTTGGCCTCCCAAACTGTTGGGATTACAGGCATGAGCCACTGTGTCTGCCCCCAAGTCCTTTTTAAATTAAATTTCCTTTTTATACATTTCAGTGGCCTGATTATGTAATTCTTATCAATCTAGCAGATTCAGTATATTAATATGGCAAACCTAATAATATTCCCTTAGATGTTTCAATACTATTCATAAACTCAGTAAGATTTCAATATAGAAGTACCCATTTCAAATTAGTTATAAGAATGTACTTAAAACAGCCACATACTCTAACACACTTCAAGTATATATAAGACCAAAAATATGCATAGATTCCTTATTAATACAGAAATATAAATCTATGGCTTTGCTTCTTTCAAGCCTTTCTATATGTAACTCAGTTTTACTGGATTAGGAGATGGATACTGTACAGTTACTGTCCTAGTTAACTGAGGCCATTGTCCATCAGAGGTTTCACTGGGTTTCTTTCCTCAGTCTTTAAGGAGACAGTGAATCCTACTTATTGTCATTCTGTCAACAATTCTGAAATCTCAAGGAGGGTGAGGCCAGGCACGACACATGCCTGTAATCCCAATGCTTTGGGAGGCTGAGGCAGGAGGACAGCTTGAGGTTAGGGGTTCAAGAGCAGCCTGGGTGGTAGGGCAAGACCCTGTCTTTTAAAATAATAATAAAAAAATTAAATTCAAAAGAAGGAAGATGATCTCTTAGCCTCTTTTAGTTGAAGTTAGAACATTACTTACCTCTGCTTGCTCATAGAAGTCTGTAGCTCCCACATAGACTGATAAATTCTCAGGATGAATTTAATTTTTACAATCTTTGGAATGAATAAAATCTTGTACCATGTCCTGTTTTTAGGCTGATCCAACTCTGAAGGAGTCTTAAACCAGATGCGATGAGCTTTGGTTCTCTCCCGCGACTCTGTGCTTCGGAATCCCAGCTTTAGGGTCTTTGTATTGATGCCCTCTTGGGTCACAAACAACCTTCTAAAGGAAGAATTTGCCACCTACTAATCTTTATCAATACAACAAATGAATCAATACAAACATAACCAAATAACGAGACTCAGCAGTAACACATTTTATCCTACATTCTTTTCGAATATTTAAATTTTATTGAGGATAACCATGGATTTCATGGCTCTTCATTTTTTTTTTTTTTTTTGAGATGGAGTCTTTTTCTGTCACCCAGGCTTGAGTGCAGTGGTGCAATCTCGGCTCACTGCAACCTCTGTCTCCTGGGTTCAAGTGATTCTCCTGGCTCAGCCTCCTGAGTAGGTGGGACTGCAGGTGTATGCCACTGCGCCTGGCTAAGTTTTGTATTTTTAGTAGAGATGGGGTTTCGCCATGTTGCCCAGGCTGGTCTTGAACTCTTGATTTCAGGTGATCTGCCCGCCTCAGTCTCCCAGAGTGGTAGGATTACAGGTGTGAGCCACCGCGCCCAGCCGGCTCTTGAAAATTGGGTACCTTCATAATTGGGTGTATTTCAATTTGATACTCAAATCGTCCTGATTTGGCACTTCTAGCTTGTCTCCTGCATCCTTCTGCCTGGACCTATTTTTCTTTGAAGCTTCTCCTGCTTCCTAGCATAAGATGTTCCAGCTTATCTGGTATCTCTTGAACACCAGAATCAGTGATTTCTCCAAGGATTTCTAGTTCCTTGTAATGAGGAGAAGAGCACCCATTCAAGAATCTGAGCACTCAGGTGCATCTTGGGGTAAGGCTACTCTGAGGCCATCTCAGTGAAAGAGCTAGGAAAGATAATTATTTTCCTCTTAAAGACATGAGTTCAAATGCATATTTCCAATAGTTAAAGATGTTCTAATTTAAATTCTTTTGATGCTCTAAATATTGTCTACTTTTCTCTTTATTTTGATTAACAAAATAAAATTACTTTTTGCTTGATTTGACGATTGTTCCAAAAACAAGAACATGTTAATATACGTATTAAAGTTACTGAATAGAGATCAAGATTTTCTTTTCTTTCTTTTTTTTTTTTTGAGATGGAGTCTTGCTCTGTCGCCCAGGCTGGAGTGCAGTGGCGCAATCTTGGCTCACTACAAGCTCCGCCTCCTGGGTTCACGCCATTCTCCTGCCTCAGCCTCCTCAGTAGCTGGGATTACAGGCGCCCGCCACCACGCCTGGCTAACTTTTTTGTATTTTTTAATAGAGACGGGGTTTCACTGTGTTAGCCAGGATGGTCTCGATCTCCTGACCTCGTGATCTGCCCATCTTGGCCTCCCAAAGTGCTGGGATTATAGGCGTGAGCCACTGTGCCCGGCGAAGATTTTCTACATAGTTCCTTGGTTCTTAGAAAGTATCCCAGGCTGGGCACGGTGGCTCACGCTTGTAATCCCGGTACTTTGGGAGGCCGAGGCGGGTAGATTGCTTGAATCCAGGAGTTCGAGACAAGCCTGGGCAACATGGCAAAATCCTGTCTCTACAAAAAAATATAAAAATTAGCCAGGTGTGGTGGCATGTGCCTGTAATCCCACAACTTTGGGAGGCTAAGGTGGGCAGATGGCTTGAGCTCAGGAGTTGGAAACCAGCCTGGGCAACAGGGTAAAACCTTGTCTCTACAAAAAATACAAAAATTAGCCAGGTGTGGTGGCTCATGCCTGTAATCCCAACACTTTGGGAAACTGAGGAGGGAGGATTGCTTGAGCCCACGAGGTCGAGGCTGCAGTGAGTCGGGATTGCACCACTGCCCTCCAGCCTGGGTGACATAGCAAGACCCTGTCTCAAAAACAAACAAAACAAGCTATCCTTCTCAGCTCTGGCCATTTGACTGATGAGAATTCTGAATGCTCTCCAAGTTCAAACAGGTACTGAGTTAATGTCAGTATGATAGGCTTTCCCTGGGGAAGTTCTGCCATGTATTTAATGGGGGATAGGACAGTAAACACTCTACTCTCTCTTGTCCCCAAACTATTATTCCCAGGGCATGCCTTCCTAAGGGCAAGAAACTAGAGACTTTTTGAGTCTGTGGAGACTTTTCCTATAGAAAGCCGGTCATGTTGATGGGTTTCAGAGGTGGTCTTCAGTGGCTAGCTGGGTCATTCTTGTTCCTTTCTGCAGTGTTCTTATAAATGACAAAGTCTTGCTTCTAAATCCCTAGTCTGACCGGGCGCGGTGGCTCACGCCTGTAATCCCAGCACGTTGGGAGGCTGAGGTGGGACGATCACCTGAGGTTAGGAGTTTGAGACCAGCCTGGCCAACATGGTGAAACCCCATCTCTACTAAAAATACACAAATTAGCCAGGTGTGGTGGCATGTGCTTGTAATCCCAGCTACTCGGGAGGCTGAGGCAGGAGAATCACTTGAACTTGGGAGGCGGACGTTGCAGTGAGCTGAGATCGCGCTGCACTCCAACCTGGGCAAGTGAGACTTCATCTAAAAAAAAAAAAAAAAATCCCTAGTCTGTGGTCTTATTTTCCACATCATTTTGGAAATGTCTTATTAGAGTCTAGAGTAGCCCAGACCCAGGGAATGACAGAGGAAGATGTTAGCAGTGCTTCTCTAACTTTAATGTGTTTGTGAGTCTCCTGGGATTTTGTCAAAATGCAGACGCTGATTTGGGGTTGGGTGGGGCCTAGGATTCCGCTTTTCTTGCGAGCTTCCAAGTGATGCTGCTGCTGCTGCTCTAAGGACCACACTTTGAGCAGTGAGGGACTACAGGATGAGGATCAGGTGCATACACATTAATATCCCTTGGTGTATTATTTTTGCATCCTTCCCCTATTCCTTTGTTATATAGGGGTGATGAAACTCAACTCTATCCTTGACCTTTGCAAAATGAAATCATTTTAGGGCGGGATCATAAACAGAGCTTGTTATGTGACTGTTTCACTTCTCACTGTGCCCTTCATATCTTCCTCCCTCTATTCCTTCCCCAGGCATGAATGGTATCAGTACTCTTCAATGCAAGGGTCAGCTCATGTTGAACCATGGTGGTCCCCATGCTTTTAACCTAGAATTGGTATACAGGATTGACCCCAAAATGTAATTTTCCCATGATGTATTCTGAGACCATATCTCGAAACACCTAAGGGTAAACCTAGAAAATTCCTATTGGCCAGGTGGAGTTAGAGTACCTGTGGGAAGGTGTGGTCTCAAAACCCTTAGGGAATTTGGAAAAACTGGAGATGTTGGTCACCTTCAGATAGAGGAGATGACCTCTCCATACCTAGCAGGGGTGGGGAGTGGTCCTTATAGCCATAATTCAGCAAACTTCAAGAAGGCTATCTGAAAGGTTGTTCAGTGAAACATTTAGGATTTATCACTGTTGAGCACTTTTCATCTTCAAATTCCTGACTTGTAGTCCTGTGTTGTCCTGGAGTGGCCAAGTCTCTCCTCAGCGGGAACTGCACGTCCTTCTCCAGTGACACAATTTTAAGGTCTTGTTACCATGCAGGAACCCACTTTCCGGCTGCCACTGTCCTGTAGAGAAGTGTAGGATATGGCTTTAGTCCTGTTTATCACTTTGTTTTTCTTCTATTTCTGGTCCACAGAGATGCTTGCTTTTAAGCCCAGTTATTTCTTTTTGGATTTTCTCTCTTTTAAAAATCTATCGCTATATGCAAGGGGGAAAATATACTATGTTATCTAACCAAAAGTCTGAAGTTCTGGGAGTGGGTGTTCTATGCAGCTATATTAAAGCAGATGAACAAATGGCCAAGGTACTTTAAAAATCTATCTTTATGGCTAGGCGCCATGGCTCAAACTTGTAATCCCAGCACTTTGGGAGATCCAGGCAGGAGTTTGACTGCTCGAGACCAGGAGTTTGAGACCAGCCTGGGCGACACAGCGAGACCCTGTCTCTATGAAAAATAATTTCTAAAAAATTAGCTGGGCATGGTGGCCAGGAAGATCACTTCAGCTCAGAGTTCGAAGCTGCAGAGAGCTGTGATTATGCCACGGCACTCCAGCCTGGGCGACAGAACGAAACCTTGTCTCTTAAAAAAAATCTATCCTAGCTGGGCGCGGTGGTTCACGCCTGTAATCCCAGCACTTTGGGAGGCAGAGGCGGGTGGATCACCTGAGGTCAGGAGTTCGAGACCACCCTGGCCAACGTGGTGAAACCCTGTCTCTACTAAAAATACAAAAGTTAGCCAGGCATGGTGACGGGCACCTGTAATCCCAGCTACTCGGGAGGCTGAGGCAGGAGAATCGCTTGAACCCAGGAGGCAGAGCTTGCAGTGAGCCGAGATTGCACCACTGCACTCCAGCCTGGGTGACAGAGAGAGACTGTCTCAAAAACAAACAAACAAAAACTATCCTTAGATTAAGACATGGACGTGGTGTACATGATTGCTTTTGCTGCATCTTGCCACCTATTTTCAGCGAGGGCCAGAATAGGAAGCCACTGGATGGAATTCTTTGCTGTGCTTCGCAGCTGTTCAGAACACGTTCTTTACATAATGCCTTTTAAAGAAATGAGGTTCTATGGGAGAAGCCTCTGTGTCAGGACTAATTATGCTTCCCTTGGAGACAAGAACACCAAATCATGGTGATGTTTTCCTTTTCCCACTGGTGTTAGGATGCTTACAGTCAAACTGTTGACCCACATGTAGCAAGAACACCATAGGGAGCCTTCCTGGCACAGCCTTTTTAGAGGCAGCCTTCTTGGTGCTTATCTGTCTTCAATTTCTGTTTCCTGTCCTTATTTAAAAAAACATTATTGCATCCCGTGAATGTATGTGATTGACCTTAAAATCTTTTGCATGAAGGCTTAGTATAATTTAATAAAAACGGCCTTATCTTATTTTCCCAAGTCGACTGGGTAGCGGCTGTGGAGCGCTCTGGGACTCCCGGTGTGCTGCTGGTTAGTAAAGGTTGGCCTTGGCAGCTATGAACATAGGCAGAGCCCCCTCCTCAATCCGCCTCCCACCCCTCCAAGGAAGGGAGGCCGGACTTGGCTTAAACAGGTCGGGCAGCCACTGGAGCCTCCCCTCCCCCGCATCCACAACATACCCATCCCACTCCTCAGCCCTGGCGCGGCCCCGCACCCCGGCCTCCACTCCCTCGAGCCCCCTCTCCGGGTGCAGCCCCGGCGTCCCCTGACCCCGGTGCACACCCCCCGCCCCAGCGCTGCCCCTCGCCGCCGCCACCAGCCCTGGGCGCGGCCTCCGGAGCTCCCCATCACACAGCCGGGCGCGGCCTCACCCCCCCCCGCCCCTCCCGCCGCAGCCTCCAGTTGCCCGCGTCACCTTCCGGGTCCCCGCCTCCCCCGCCGTCCCCACCCCCGCGCCGCCTGGCCCGGGGGGGCGGCGCGGCCCTTCCGGCCGGGGCGGGGCCGGGCCTGGGGCGCTGGGGCGGGCGGGCAAGGCGGGCTCGCCCTGCCGGCGGCGCGGCCATGCTCATCACGCTGTGCTACCTGTACCTGTGGGCGCGCTGGGGTCGCCGGCCGGCTGAGCTCGTGCGCGCCACGGTGCGGCGGCTGCGTGCCTCGCGCTGTTCCTTCACCTTCTGCGGCGCGGCCGCGCAGCCCCCGGGCGCCCGCGTGTGCCTGAGCCGTGGCGGCCGCGTCTTCTGCGTCAGCGACAGCCAGGTGGGCGGGTCGGGCGGGCGGGCGACCCGGGCCCCGCGAGCCGGAAGTGCCCCCGTCCCTGCGCCTCGTCCCCGCCGGGAGCCCGGGAGTTCGGGAGCCCCGGAGTGGCGCCCTCAGTGCGGCCTGTGCGGCCCGGGAGGGGCTGTTGCCCCGGGGCCCAGAGAGAGGCCGGAGGTGCGGGACTCGGACCACGGACCCGGTCGCCTCTTCCCGGCCAGCCGGGCGGTGCTGGACGCGTGACTCTAGGCGCGCACCTGTGAGGACGTGAGCTGTGGATTGACAGCCGGACGCCAGCAGTGCCCACCTGGGGTCGCCCCCAACCTCCTCTCCCACACTTCGAGCCGGCGTTTGGGTGACCGTGAACCAGGAGAGACAGCTGTGGCGGGCCGGGAGCGGTGGCTTATGCCTGTAATCCCTGCACTCTGGGAGGCCTAGGAGGAAGGACAGCTTTGAGCCCAGGAGATGGAGACCAGCCTGGGCAACATAGCTAGACCCCTCTCTACAAAAAACAAAACAAAAAAAACACTTAGGTCGGCGTGGTGGCACGCGCCTGTAGTCCCAGCTACTCTGGAGGGTGAGGCGGGAGGGTCACTTGATCCCGGGAGGTTCACTTGAGCCCCGGAGTTTGAAGCTACAGTGAGCTATGATTGAGCCATTGCACTCCAGTCTGGGTGACAAAGCAAGACCCTGTCTTAAGAAAAAAAAAAAAAAATCCCAAACAAAAAACTCCCACCTGTGTCATCAGCTTTTTGTCAGATGTCCCCAAATTTACAAAAACTGCCCTTTTCCCTCTCCATCTTCTGTCAGTTGGTTGCATCATTCACCAACTTGGGCACCCGACTGATGGTCTTTGCGTCTTTTAAATTTCAGTTGACAGTCAGCCTTTGTTTTTTTTGACCCAGTGCTTAGGATGGTGGTTACGTGTTCAGCCCACTCTGTCACCTACCTTGTGACTTGGGCCAGTCAATTAATCTCTGTAAAAAGTCTGCTGCCTTGCTGTAAAGGGAACAATAGATCTTTCCATTCAGCTGTTTTTGGAAATGGGCTTAGCTTCACAGTGCAGTACTGCACAAAATTTCATGGACATCGGTAGCATTGTTCTCATTAATATTTAAACGTGTTTTGCTTTTAATCTGTTTCTTGTCCCTTTCCTCTGTTTTCTGGAATATTGCCTCACTTTTAGCACTAAAATGACGTTTTCTGCATATGTCACACCGTAAAGCCCCTGTGGGGAATTGAATCTTATCTCAGGTTTGAACATTGCCTGGAGGCTGTGCTTAGATATGGGTTGAAATTGTGCCACTAGCAAATAAAAAATACTCTTTCTTGTTAGTACCATATATGTATTATGTCACACTGAATATGAATGACTGTTTTCTCAGGTCCCCCAAGGTACTAGTTATGCAAATAACTAGTACCACCTCCACATAACTGACACTACCCAGACAAAAGGGGAAGAAGTTCATGCATTACATACAATGTATGGCTTAGAGCGTTGGGAATTAACCTGATTGAGAAAGATAACTCAATAAAATGGCAAAAAATTGAGGGGTGAGCTTTTTGTAGTAGTTTCCAAATTGGATCAATTACATTTAGGATTTAAGTCAGAATAGAAATTTTGGACATATAAAAACATGGAGATGGGAATGTCTGATTTTCTTGGACAGTTTTACTTTTGAACATTTTCATGACTCCGCTGGCCTTCTGTTAACTACACTAACCATAACTAGTGATTTTCAGCCCTTGCCTACCTGTGCAGGCCGGAGTAGGAGTGGCCTGGTGCTTTCATGGATTCTGTAACTCTGCTCTGTCACTCTGCACAGTAAGCTTTGCCTACAGATTTGGTTAGATATTGCTGCGTCATTTCCTAGTTTTCCAGACTAGATGGGATGGCCATGCTCTGCATCCCTGTAGCCTTTAAATCACAGTTCCTATTCTAGTTCGTATCTTTTTCTTATTAGGAAATGAGACTGTTTAGCATAGCAGCTTGACCTGAAATAGTAAATTTAATAGTTGTTGGGTTTAAGCTGTGATGTTGAAGGTCTACAGGTGGAAAGCTTGACCATTTATTTGTGGTTGGCTACTGTTATTTTGAGATTTAAAATATGATCAGGTTGATGATTTGGTGGATATCTCAGTCTGCTTGGGTCTACTTTTGAGGGATACCTCAGTCTACTTGGGCTGAAATAAGGACACACCTGAATCTCATGCCCATATGTTGAGATGGATCTCATTCTGTCACCCAGGCTGGAGTGCAGTGGCGCGATCTCCGCTCACTGCAATCTCCACCTCCCAGGTTCAAGTGATTCTCCTCCTTTGGCGTCCTGAGTAGCTGGGATTACAGGCATGAGCCACCACGCCTGGCTAATTTTTGTATTTTTAGTAGAGACAGGGTTTCACCAAAGTGTTGGCCAGGCTGGTCTCAAACTCCTGACCTCAGGTGATCCGCCCACCTTGGCCTCCCAAAGTGCTGGGATTACAGGTGTGAGCCACCAAGCCTGGCGTGTTCTCATATGTTATACACTTAAAATCAAATGCATGAATACTGAATATGTGTGTTTATAATTGAATGCCCTACAATCAATTGATAAGTTTAACCAAAGACAGTTTATACAAATTGGCAGTATCAAGCTTTTTGTCTGTTTAATGTACACATTCTATGCTTGGATAAAGTGGACATACTTTTTTTTTGAGATGGAGTTTTGCTCTTGTTGCCCAGGCTAGAGTGCAATGGCACGATCTCGGCTCCCCGCAACTTCTGCCTCCCGGGTTCAAATGATTCTCCTGCCTTAGCCTCCCGAGTAGCTGGGATTACAGGCATGCACCACCATGCCCGGCTAATTTTGTATTTTTAGTAGAGACAGGGTTTCTTCATGTTGGTCAGGCTGGTCTCCAATTCCCAACCTTAGGTGCCTCAGCCTCCCAAAGTGCTGGGATTACAGGCGTGAGCCACCGCGCCCGGCCTAAGTGGACATACTTTTTAACCACTATATTGATAATTATGTTTACTGAGGGAGGGGCAAATTCTCCCCTAAATTTTCATTCATTATTTAGTTCAATAGGTTTTTATCAAGCAGATTTGAACTGATATGCAGCACAGTGGAGCCTGCCTAGTTACCTTCGTTCTGGGTGATGGTGAAAGCCTCCTGCATACCCCGCTCAGATTTCATCTTTTTCTTCTCTGGCTATATCCTGTATGTGAAAGCCTTTTCAAATCAATTTGCTGTTTTTCTTAGAGAGATTTCAGGAAAGAAAACGAGAGATAACTGGGTATTTCTGATTTGCTAACCAATCTTGATTCTAATCTTCTTTTTGAAAAACTACAATCACTCCTGACTGGAGTTTACATTCCATTAAAGTATGTCTGATTGCGTCTGCATATGGTAAATGCCTTTCCCTGAAATAGCTTTTCTCTCTGGATTTAACTGCTGTGTGAGCATCCAGAGACTTGCACACTTCCCAGATCTCCGGGAGAGGAGCAGGGTTGATTTCACTATAAGGAAGGTGTAAAGAAAAACTGCCTGGTGCCCTGTGCTGTGATGGCTGTAGGGAATGAAGGAACAGCCCTTCAGGCTTCTGTGAGTAAGGAGCTTCTGTTGGTGGGTACGTACTTCTAGGCCTCCTCATCTTTTTTTTTTTTTTTTTTTTTTGAGATAGGGTCTCACTCTGTCACCCAAGGCTGGAGTGCAGTGGCATGATCTCATCTCACTGCAACCTCGGGCTCCCAGGCTCGAGTGATCCTCCCACCTCAGCCTCCTGAGTAGCTGGGACTACAGGCACCCACCCCCATGCCCAACTCATTTTTTTGGTATGTTTTTTGTAGAGATAAGGTTTCACCATGTTGGCCAGGGTGGTCTTGAACTCCTGGGCTCAAGCGATCTGCCCACCTTGGCCTCCCAAAGTGCTAGGATTACAGGCGTGAGCCACTGTGCCGGCCAGCCTCCTCATCTTTAAATGTACTTCCCGGTTAGCTACTGTGTGCTAAGCAGTGAGGAATGGCGGGGATAGGCCCCGTTTCAGAATTCATGGCTTGAAAACAGTGGTCTAGAGATATTAAAGCTGTCCTGAGTCATCGATGGGCTTTTGCAGGTGCTTAAACAGTCACAGCTAAACAAGAAACACACGGTTCCTGCGGCCTGCAGAGGAGCATCAGATAAGCTTATTTCCATGTCACTTGGAATTATAGGGGAGGGTATGTTTCAGAGGGGGTTGAAATTTATGGCAGTTGTGGTATGAAGTGACAATCTCATTATATTTCTTTCCCTCTATACAGTCCATTGAAGACTTGAACAAGTGGGCCCTATTTCTTGTGTCTCCTTTTATACTTGAAGCAGAACACATAGCATTTGTGACGGAGAGCATTTGGGTACAAAGTGAGAATTTACAGAGATCATCCTCTTCAGAAACAGTGAGTACCATGTTTACTTGTGTCCCATAAGGAACTGATGTGTCTTAGTCAAAACCAAATTTGCTTTTTTTTTTTTTTTCCTGAGACAGAGTCTTGCTCTGTCACCCAGGCTGGAGTGCAGTGGTGTGATCTCGGCTCACTGGGACCTCCGCCTCCTGGGTTCAAGTGATTCTCATGCCTCAGCCTCCAGAGTAGCTAGGACTACAGGCGTGTGCCACCACACCAGGCTAATTTTTGTATTTTTAGTAGAGTCAGGGTTTTGCCATGTTGGCTAGGCTGGTCTTGAACTCCTGACCTCAAGTGATCCACCTGCCTCGGCCTCCCAAAGTGCTGGGATTACAGGTGTGAGCCACCACGCCCGGCCTCAAATTTGTCTTTTTATGAGTGCTCTTTCCTAGCCTTTGTGGCTCCCTTTCTCTTTGGATATTTTGGGTTAAATATATTAGTAAAATTATTTTCACCTGTTTCTTTTTATGTTTTTAATGTGGCTGCTAGAAAAATTTATTGTTATTATTTTTCAGACAGGGTCTTATTGTGTCACCTAGGCTGGAGTACAGTGGTCATTATAGCTCACTGAAGCCTCAAACTCAGGGCTCCAGGGATCCTACCTCCTCAGCCTCCCAAAATACTTGGATTAGAGATGTTAGCCACCACGCCTGGTCACTGCTAGGAAAGTTAAAACCACGTGTGTGGCTTGTATTTGTGGCTCACGTTATATTTTTATTGAGCAGCACTCTCTCTCAGGTCATCTCATCCATTCCTACAATTTCTTGCTTCCTAAATCAACCTGAGTGGCTGGGGTATATCACCACCTACGTCCTAAACGTCTTTCCTTGAGTATTCTGAAAATACTTCAACCTCAGCCACATGTCCAAAATGAGTTGTGTTTGTATTCTTCTGCTTCAAAGAGAGAAAATCCCAAATTAACACGCCAGCCGGCTTTTCCTCGCACCTCCTCCTCGCTTCCGTGAAGTTATGAGTTGTAACAGCACTCCCTAAATTGTTAGCTCCTCTCCTTCATCTCCACTGCTCCTCATTCCATCCTCATGTTCATTATCTTTTGTCTGAGCTGTGAAAATACCCTGTCTCATGTCCCTTCTTTGGGCATTCCTCTTGATGGCCAGAGTTAGTCATTCTGGACCCACATCCAGTTGGGACAGTGTTGCATAAGCTTTTGGTGGATGTCATCCCTCCAGGTGCAGTCCATGCCCTGAGGCTCCTGGAGGTCTGACCCCAGTGTACCCTTGCAGCTTCCTTCCCCTCACTTGTGGGTCCTCACCCGCCATTGTTCCCTGCTATGTAGATCATCCAGTGGGGATTTTGCTGATGCTAGCCATGTTTACTGGATTCCCATTTCATGAAGATTATCTGTAAGATGCTGTATTGAGAGAAGAAGAAAAATGGGGAAGTAAACAAGAAGTAATTGACTGGAATTCAGGGTGAACCAAAATAAGGGGAGGCAGGTGCAGATAGTATAGGATAGCGAGAGACTTTCTGATGGGGGCCCTGGAGCGGGCAGAGCATCAGGCAGATGGGCCTGGAGCAGTGCAGTGTGTTAAGACAGTACGTTCTCTCCTGAAGGTTTGTAATGTTTCGTTTAGCCCTGTAGACACTTATGATAATAATAAGCCATTTATTGAGCCCTTGCTAGGTATTTTATAAACGTTACCCCTAATGTCACAGGATCCTTGGGGTGTCGTTTCACCAGACAGAAACCTCTGTGGCTAGCGGTGCCTTCTGCCTAAGTATTGCTTGTGCCCACTGGTCTTATTCCACCCACTTGGCCTGGCAGGCTGCACTCAGCTCATTCTACCAGCTCAGATTGCACACCTACCAGGGGCAAGCTGGGTGCAGAGCGGCAAGGGGTGTGTGGGTGAGAAGTGCAGGGTCGGGGGGGGGGGGGGTGGGTGGCTCCATGCAAGGCTGTGGCTGGACCAGGTGTACTGAATGAGGCTTTTGCTGTGGGCACCTGTGTCTGGACAAGGGGAACATGGTGGCACCTGGAAGCATGGAGACGCTGGGAACCGCAGAGCCCCAAAGAGGGTGTTTACAGCCTTGGCTTGGGGAGCCCCTAGATCTTGGCTTCTTAAAGGGCCACAGTTCTTCTCTCCTTCTTGTTGCCTGCAATGTAGTGAGTACGGGGACATGTTTCAGCCCTGGTTTGTCTTACAGCTCTTTTAGTACTGCCATTCGGTGGGTCCTGAGTTATTGTCCTGCATCCAGGAAGAATGAGGTATGTGGAGGGTGAGCAAGGCAGAGAGGAACTTCACTGAGTGGCAGAACAGCTCTCAGGAGACCTGAAGTGGGTAGCTCCTTTCTGCAGCTGGTAGTCCCAGCCTCTGTGTGAGTCTGGCTGGGTCTGAGGTTTTCATGGGCTCAGAAGGGAGGAAGCGCGTGCTGATTGGTCCATGGGCAGCCATGGGCGGGCCAGAAAAAGCACTCTAAGTTCTCACTCTGGGCCACAGGCTTCACCTGGAACTGACAGCCAGGTCCCCAGGTTTTGGGCTGGTCTTGGCTTGAAGGCAGGGCGTCACCAGGGACCCGCCCCTTTCTACCTATGAGCCTGTCTGCCTTCTGCTGTCAGTCATGTTGTCCAAGGTGCCCAGGCTGTTTGTGCTGAGGGGTGCCTACAGGCCTGCAACCAGCCGTCCTCAGCCCCTCCTCGGCCTCCCTCCCATCCTCGTGGTCCAGAGTGGCTCCTAAAGTCTAGAGGGGGGCTGAGGTGGCAGGGGGCTGGTGTGTCAGCGCCATCCTGAGCAGCACCCACCTGGCCGGGTTGCGACACCGCCCAGGCTCAGCTTCAATTTTGCTCCAGAATCAGAGCGGGCACAGGGAGCAGGAAGAGGCCAGGCAGCGGGATCAGGCACTTCCAAGCCTGTGGGGAAGCGGGGGCCTCTGGGACCCCTGAGAGTGCAGGGATGCCCAGGTCCGCAGCTGTGGCTGGGAGGCTGCAGTTATGCCTGGGAGCACTGGGCTCCTGCCCTGCCAACTCAGAAGCGGGAAGGGCTCCTGCCTGCTCCCAGCTCCCCCTGGTTCCACAGAGCGCGTATCCCTGGCCGCGCCTACCCTGCTCCAGACTGGCTGCAGCTGTCATCACTAATACTTAACGGCTCTACAAAGTATTATCATTATTATTATTGCCATTTTGAAGATAAGAAAACTTAGGTTATAAGATTAAATGACATTCCTAAAGTGATAGGAATATCATTGCTAAGTGACAGACAAAGTTTTCTTTCTTTTTTTTTTGGAGATGGAGTCTTGCTGTGTTGCCCAGGCTGGAGTGCAGTGGTGCGATCTCAGCTCACTGCAACCTCCACCTCCCGGGTTCAAGCAATTCTCCTGCCTCACCCTCCCAAGTAGCTGGGACTACAGGCGCACGCTGCCACGCCCAGCTAATTGTTTGTATTTTAGCAGAGACCGGGTTTCACCGTGTTGCCCAGGCTGGTCTCGAACTCCTGAGCTCAGGCAATCTGCCTGCCTCAGGCTCCCAAAGTGCTAGGATTACAGGCGTGAGCCACTGTTCCCGGCCTAGACAAGGTTTTAACCAGCTGCTAAGTGAGAGATAAGATTTTAACCAATGCTTCTATCCTTTCTAGTAACTAGAGAACGAATTAATGGTTTTAAAGAGATCTAGATCATTGAGATTCCAAAATAAAGCTTTTATTAACCTAGGTCCAGTCAAACAGTACTTGTGTCTCTTATGTTTGGTAGAAGACGACCAGCTGTTGATACGACGGTTTTGGTGAACTCAGGGCTAATTTTCTTTCTTTCTTTCTTTCTTTTTTTTTTTTTTTTGAGACAGTCTCACTCTGTCGCCCAGGCTGGAGTGCAGTGGCGCGATCTCGGCTCACTGCAAGCTCCGCCTCCCAGGTTGACGCCATCCTCCTGCCTCAGCCACCCGAGTAGCTGGGACTACAGGCACATGCTGCCACATCCGGCTAATTTATTTATTTATTTATTTATTGTATTTTTAGTAGAGACGGTGTTTCACCATGTTAGCCAGGATGGTTTCGATCTCCTGACCTTGGGATCCACCTGCCTCGGCCTCCCAAAGTGCTGGGATTACAGGCGTGAGCCACCGCGCCCGGCCTCTTTTTTTTTTTTTTCGAGACGCAGTCTTGCTCAGTTGCCCAGGCCGAAGTGCAGTGGCGCGATCTCGGCTCACTGCAAGCTCTGCCTCCCGGGTTCATGCCATTCTCCTTCCTCAGCCTCCCGAGTAGCTGGGACTGCAGGCGCGTGCCACAACGCCCAGGTAATTTTTTGTATTTTTAGTGGAGACGGGGTTTCACCATGTTAGTCGGGATGATTTCCTGACCTCGTGATCCGCCTGCCTCTGCCTCCCAAAATGCTGGGATTACAGGCATGAGCCACTGCGCCCAGCCAATTCAGGGCTAATTTTCATATGCAGAAAAGACGATTCATAAACTTTATTTTTATTTTAAAAATGATTTTGAATTTATTGAAAATATAAATTAAATAATCAAGTAGGTCAAATCACATGAAATTGCTAATATCTGGCTTTTCTTTTTGAACTACAAAGAGGCCTTGTCATATGGTAACTGTATTAGGCAGTTCTTGCATTGCTATAAAGAAATACCTGGAGCTGGATAATTTATAAAGAAGAGGTTCTGCGAGCCATACAGGAAGAGTGGTGCCAGCATGTGCTTCTGGTGAGGGCCTTGAGGAACAGTCATGGCAGAAAGTGACAGAGGTGCAGGTGTGTCACATGGCAAGAATGAGAGTGAGACTGAGCTGGGGGAGGTGCCACACATTTTTAAACAACCAGGTCTTGTGAGAACTCACTCACTATAGGGAGGACAGCACCACACTATTCATGAGGGATCTGTTCCCATTACCCAAACACTTCCCCCACAGGCCCCACCTCAACCACTGGGGATTACATTTCAACGTGAGATTTGGAGGGGACAAACTTCCAGATTCTATCAGTAACCAATTCCTTGGGCTTTTTTTTTTTTTTTTTTTGAGACGGAGTCTGGCTCTGTTGTCCAGGCTGGACTGCAGTGGTGCAATCTTGGCTCACTGCAACATCTACCTCCTGGGTTCAAGCGATTCTTCTGCCTCAGCCTCCCAAGTAGCTGGAATTACAGGCACCTGCCACCATACCCGGCTAATTTTTTGTATTTTTAGTAGAGACGGGGTTTTACCATGTTGGCCAGGGTGGGTCTTGAACTCCTGACCTCAGGTGATCTGCCCGCCTCAGCCTCCCGAAGTGCTGTGATACAGCCATGAGCCACCATTCTGGCTCCTTGGACTTTTATTTATTTTTTATTTATTTATTTATTTTTGAGACGGAGTCTCGCTCTGTTGCCTAGGCTAGAGTGCAGTGGCACGATCTCGGCTCACTGCCAACCCTGCCTCCCGGGTTCATGCCATTCTCCTGCCTCAGCCTCCCGAGTAGCTGGGACTACAGGCGCCCACCACCACACCCGGCTAATTTTTTTTGTATGTTTAGTAGAGATGGGGTTTCACCGTGTTAGCCAGAATGGTCTTGATCTCCTGACCTTGTGATTTGCCCACCTCGGCCTCCCAAAGTGCTGGGATTACAAGTGTGAGCCACCACACCTGGCCTACAAACTCAAATATCTTAAAATATTTCATTTCATTTTAGGACTCTAGGTACACAGAATTGGGTTAACCATACTCCTTGTTCCAAATGTACTCTCATCGTTGGTTTATGCATGGATCTCATTCACCTGTGGATTTGAAATAATACAATAAATACCCATGAACTCACCGCTAGAACTACACGTGCCTCCCCACCCCCTGAGTCCATCTACTTGCTCCTGCTCCTTCCTCATGACTCCCCCTACCCCTCCTCCCAGTTTCTTTTTAGATTTTTAAGTTGTCTGGATTAACAGACACCACGTTTTTGAACACTTACATAATTCGTATACATTATAGTTAATGTGTTGCTTCACGACAGATACACATTGTGAGAAATGCGTCCTTAGGTGATTTCATCATGCAAACATCATAGAGTGTACTTATACAAGTCTAGATGCTGTAGCCTACTTTACACCTGGGATTTATGGGGTAGCCTATTGCTCCTAGGCTATAAACCTGTACAGCATGTTACTGCATTGGATACTGTAGGCAGCTGTAACACAGTGGTAAGTATTTGTGTATCTAAACATAGAAAAGGCACAGTAAAGATACAGTATAAAAGATAAAAAACAGTACACCTGTCTAGGGCACTTGCTATGAATGGAGCTTACAGGACTGAAAGTGGCTCAGGGCGAGTCAGTGAGTGAGTGGCGTGTGAATGTGAAAGCCTAGGACACAACAGTCACTACTTTAGACTTTATAAACACTGTACACTTAGGCTACACTGAATTTATAACAGCCTTCTTCTTCGATAATAAATTAATCTTAGCTTACTATCATATTTTTACTTTATAAACTTGATTTTTTAAAATTTTTGATTCTTTCGTAATAACAGCTTAAAACAAACACATTGTACAGCTGTAAAAAATATTTTCTTTCTATCCTTATTCTAAAAGCTTTTTTCTAAGATTTTATATATTTAAAAAAAAATTTTGTTTTTAAAATTTTATTCTTATTTTCATTTATTTATCTCTACAAATTTGTGAACATACAAATTGCTATGTTTCCTAGACTGATCTCCAACTCCTGGCTTCAAGCAGTCCTCTCACCTCAGCCCTCACCAAGCACTGGAATTATAGTTGTGAGCCACCATGTCCAGCCTGTTTCTTACTTTTTAAACTTTTTTTGCTAAAAACTAACGTAGAAACACACACATTAGTCTAGGCTGCCCAGGGTCAGGATCATCAGTATCACTGACTTTCACTGCACATGTGTCCTCCTGGAAGGTCTTCACGGGCAGTAACGTGCATGGAGCAGTGAACTCCTGTGATAACAATGCCTTCCCCCACAGTAGCTCCTGAAGGACCTGCCTCAGGCTGTTACAGTTAACTGTTTTGTTGGGTTTTTTTTGAGACAGAATCTCACTCTGCTGCCCAGGCTAGAGTTCAATGGCACTATCTTGGCTCATTGCAACCTCCGGCCCCAGGTTCCAGCAATTCTCCTGCCTCAGCCTCCCAAGTAGCTGGGATTACAGGTGCCTGCCACCACACCTGGCTAATTTTTATATTTTTAGCAGAGATGAGGTTTCACATGGTGGCCAGACTGGTCTCAAACCCTTGACCTCAAGTGATCCCCCCGCCTCGGCCTCCCAAAGTGCTGGGATTACAGGCATGAGGCACCACACCCAGCTGTTTTTTTTGTTTTGTTTTGTTTTGTTTTGTTTTTTTAATAAGTAGAAGGAGTACACTCTAAAATAATAGAAAACATAGAAAACACATAAACCAGTAACAGTTGTTTATTATCAGGTACTGTGTACTGTATGTAATTGTCTGTGCTATACTTTTTTTTCTTTTTTTGAGACTGAGTCTTGCTCTGTCGCCCAGGCTGGAGTGCAGTGGCGCATCTCGGCTCGCTGCAAGCTCCACCTCCCAGGTTCACGCCATTCTCCTGCCTCAGCCTCCCAAGTAGCTGGGACTACAGGCGCCCGCCACCACGCCTGGTTAATTTTTTGTATTTTTTTAGTAGAGACAGGGTTTCACCATGTTAGCCAGGATGGTCTCGATCTCCTGACCTCGTGATCTGCCTGCCTCAGCCTCCCAAAGTGCTGAGATTATGGGTGTGAGCCACTGCACCTGGCCTATACTTTTTATTTTATTTTATTTTATTTTTGAGATGGAATCTCGCTCTGTCGCCAGGCTGGAGTGCAGTGGTGTGATAGCTCACTGCAACCTCTGCCTCCCGGGTTCAAGTGATTCTCCTGCCTCAGCCTCCCTAGTAGCTGGGAATACAGGCGCGAGCCACCATGCCCGGCTAATTTTTGTATTTTTAGTAGAGGCGGGGTTTCACCATGTTGCCTAGGATGGTCTCGATCTCTTGACCTCAGGTGATCCACCCTCCTCGGCCTCCCAAAGTGCTGGGATTACAGGCATCAGCCACTGCGTCTGGCCTTGTCTGTGCTATACTTTTATATGACTGACAGCCCAGTAGGTTTGTGTACACCGGCATCACCAGAAATACGTGAGTACTGTGCTGTACTACAATGTCATTAGACCATGGGAATTTTTTACCTCCATTGTAATCTTATGAGGGACAGCCATCATATATATGGTCCATCGTTGGGCGAGACATTATGTGGTACATGACTGTATTAAATTTACAAATATGGTAAGCTTGAAGTTTTCTTATATATTCTAATATTATATATAAATTTAGTAAGATTTCAACTTAAAGCCAAGATCAGACTTTCCAAAATATTGCAATTATATAAAATATCAAATATGTTCAGGTTCCTTTTTAGCATAAAATAATGACTGCCGTGCTTTTAATTTCCTAAATTGTTAATTATATGTCTTTATGGGGCTAAAAGATGTACAGCGTCTTAAGGAACATAGTTACTATATTATGTAGGATACAGGCTAAGTTGTATAACAGTGGGACCCAGAGCTACAGGGGCTCAAACAAGCTAGAAGTTAAATTTCTCTCTCTGGGCAGTGGTTTTGCTTTGGAAGTCCATCCAGGGACCCATTTTTTTCCTCATCTTCTTCCTTGGTTCCTTCTCCTGTCTTCCCTCCTCTATCCTAGGTAGTGGTTCTCTCTTGCTAGAGTCTGGCTCCCGTGCTACTCCACCAGTGTCAGCTTCATCTAGCCTTCAGAGTGGGGGAAGAGAGAAGGTTGGGAGACAACCAGTTTCCTCTTTAAAACTGTGATCCATCTTGGCATGGTGGCTCCCGCCTGTGGTCCCAGCTACTTGAGAGGCTGGGGTGGGAGGATCACTTTAGGCCAGAAGTTTGAGGTTGCAGTGAGCTTTGATTGCCATTGTATTAGAGTGAAACCTCATCTCTAAAAAATTAGTAAATTAAAAAAAATACTGTTGTGATTCAGAAATTTCACGTGGCGACTTCTGCTCCCATTTCATTGTACAGAACTTTGTCACATAGCCCCCTTGGTCACTTAGGTGCAGGGTAGTCTGCAAAATGCATTCCCTAGCTGGACAGTCATGGATTCAGCAGAAACTGGGAGTTCTGTTCTTGTAAGGGAGAAAGAAAGGCTAGATTTTGGGAGATAATTAGCATCTCTGTCACAGCTATCATTTCAGTTAACTGACTTTCCAAGGAAGATTTAATTAAGACCTTCTTGCTGAATGGTGGTTACTTAATTCTTTTTTTTTTTTTTTTTTTTTTTGAGACGGAGTCTCACTCTGTCACCAGGCTGGAGTGCAGTGGCACGATCTCAGCTCACTGCAACCTCCGACTTCCTGGTTCAAGCAATTCTCCTGCCTCAGCCTCCCGGGTAGTTGGAGTTGCAGGCCTGCACCACCACAACCAGCTAATTTTTTATTTTTAGTAGAGACGGAGTTTCACCATGTTGGCCAGGATGGTCTCCATCTCCTGACCTCATGATCTGCCCGCCTTGGCCTCCCAAAGTGCTGGGATTACGGGCGTGAGCCACCGCGCTCGGCCGTGGTTACTTAATTCTTAATTTTCTGGGGTAGGAGAATGCCTTCCCAACAAGGAGGATTGCCACAGTCCAGTTAACTAATTTCACTTATGATCAGAGACATCAGTGGGTCTTGCAACCAGGAGCTAGAGACGTCCAGAGCCATTCATGTTGACCACTCTGGCTGTTACCCCGAGCTCCATTTTATAAATTAGGATTCAAAACTTAAAAAGGGATTGATCTCATAGCTCACTGTCTTCTAGCCAAGTTGACAGTTCCCATTTGGGTTGACTGCTTGATGGGATTTTGCATTTTGGGGGGTTCTTATGAATCTGTGTGTGTATGTTCTACCTGACTTCACAGCCATTTGAATTTAACAGGGTCCTAAGGTATTAAATAGAAAAATATATTATGGAAGAAGGACATTTGAATTGATGGGATCTTATATTTTTTCACATCTTTAAGACTATACAACTCTTAAAGATATTTAAAATATCTTTTTGAATTTTGGATATTTCAAATGGCTTTGATCTGTGGTAATTCTACAGATTACCAACAACAGATAAATGGATCTTAAAATTCAGTTTTAAAAAATGTAGCATTCACATACTCATATTTTCGCTTATTCATTCATTAACATTTATTGAACAGCTACGTTTCACTTATTTTGCTTGATGCAGTAATACCAACAAGTGATGGCAGATTCAGCTCAGTTTTCAATATTTTCTATACTTATATTAGCAATTGCATTTAGTAAGAATTGTTGACCCAAAGAACTTAATACAATTCTTTTTTTCCACAGGAAATTTGCTTATGTTCCTTGTACTTGATCAAGGCATTCATTGAAGGTTTATTGAGTGCCTGTTATATGCCAGATTGTGTGCTAGGTAGGGTTGGAGGCATGTGTTACATGGAGATGAAAGATTCATTCAGAGATGACATTCCCTGTTTGTAAGGAGTTCACAGTGTGGGAGAGCAGAGAGCTAAGTAAATGAACAATTAAAGGTCACCATGTTAAGTACTATAGAAGGCATGGATAGGGATTATGGGGGGGACCTACTTAGATGCGTGAGGTCAGGAAGGACTTTCCAGGGTAGATGATGTCTGAGGTTTAAGGTAAAAATAGGTGAAAGGAGGAAAGGACTTCCCAGGTAGAACAGCATGTGCAGATGCACAGAAAGCATTTGCACCTGGCCCCTGCACACAGCTCAGTACATTTGGAGTCTGCATTCACCTGAGTTGGGGAATGGCCCTAGATAAGGCCAGAGGGGAAAGCAGGGGCTGGAATGTTGTGTGGGAAATTACCCTGATATGGTGGTAGCTTCCAAGAACATGGCCAAGCAGCCTATTCCAGCAGTCACAGAATAGAGAGGCTCATAGGCTGAGTTAAGACGCTCGAATCACATTGTTTATCACATCAATTCAAAACATGCAGCAAGAAATAAGGGGAGAGTTCTGGGATTGGTTAACACTTAGGATCAGGTGCCTATGGAATGGAAGCAGCACAACCTGAATCCTGGGCCATGCAATGTTCATACATGGAGTCCTGTCTCTCTGCTGCATCAGCCTTCCCTGCCAATGGTGTCAGCACAAGGACTAGAGCTGAAGTTACACAAGGGCCCAGAAGGTGGAAGGTGCTTTGTTGGAGATATTTGGATATATATGTCTGCAATAGCTGTGGCTTACCAGAGACCTGCTGGGATGCTGTGTGTGTTTTTTCATGTGTTTCTAGACAGTATATAAATGGGGTCAAAATGGGTGGCCAAATTAAGGATGATATAACTGTCAAGTGGCATAGTTTGTGTCTTACTAATATTTAAGATTTGATAAGATTGGCCCTGGTCAGCCTGGGCAGCATAGCAAGATGCTGTCTCTACAAGAAATTAAAAAAAAAAAATTTAGCCAGGCATGGTAGCGTATGCCTTTGGTCCCATCTACTTGGGAGGCTGAGGTGGGAGGATTGCTTGAGCCCAGGAGGTCGAGGCTGCAATGAGTCCTGATTGCGCTATTGAACTCTAGGCTGGGTGACAAAGCTGTGAGACCCTGTCTTCCTCTAAAAAAAAAAAAGATTGGTTCTCCCGTGACTTTCTGCCTAGGACTAACACTCTGGTTTTGTCCTTTTTATCTATGTTCAATGCACGTATGTTCCACTTATTTTGTCTGTCTTGAGCGTGTCTTACAAGCTTTTGACTCACTATGAGTTTCATCCATGCTATTGGTTTTCTTGTTTTCTATGTAGCAGAATTGAATATACTCAAATTGGACATAATATATACATCAAACAAGGCTTATATGTGTTAACCAGGAATTTGGACTTGATCCCAGGGACAGTAGGCTAAAACTATTTTTTTTTTTAAAGCAGAATGATCAGATTTGCACTTTAGGAAGGTCACAATTCAGGCAGATTGCAGAAGGGATTGGAGGGGAGCAAACCTGGAACAGATTGTGGCCACATGGGAAAAGATAATGGGCTTGATGAGTGTTGGGAGTAGGAACGCTGAGATAGAGACATGTCCATACTGGTTAGGAGGTGATGGCCTGTGGGTGGATGGTGGGTCACTTGTGCAGATGGGGAATGTAGCAGGAAGGGCTTAGAAGGCTGTTGTCAGGAATGCAGTTTTGCACATTGTGTTAATCAGATTGCTGAAGTAACAGATAAGCTTAGAATCCCAGTGGCTTCTAACAGTGAATCCTAGTTTCTTGGGTATGTTACTCATGCTCAGCAGGTTCGCTGCGCTGTTTCCAGCTGTGACTCTGCTTTGAGCTCTCTGCTCTCTACATCTCTCTTGTGCAGGGTCCTGGGCCAAAGGAGCATGCCCATTTAGGGACATGTCATTCTCATGCAGAAGGGGAAGACTAATTGCTGGCACAAACTTGTTGCAGCGCATTGAAGATGGCTGCAAATTCTTTCCTCCTATTGAGAGGTGGAGTCACTTCCCCCTCCCTTGAATCTGAACTGACCTTAGTGATTTGTGTGTCCATTGGGATATGGTAGAAGTGACATTCTGAAAATTCTCAGGCCAGATCATGAGAAACCTTGGAGCCTCCATCTGGGCTTTTGGAACATGCCATCTGGGAGTCCAGCTCCCATACTGTGAGGAAGCTCAAGCTGCCCTGTGGCGAGATCCACATGAAGTAGAAGGACATGTGGCTCTTCGTGGACAGCCCTGGCTGAGCTCCCAGCTGACAGGCAGCTCCAGCTCAGTGACAGAGGCATCTTGAAAGTAGGTCATCCAGCCCTGGTTTAGTCACTCTACCTGATGCCACATGGAGCAGAGTTAAGCTGTTCCTGCCCAGTCCTGTCCAAATTGAGATTTGTGAGCAAAATAAATGATTAGTTTTAAGCCACTGAATTTTGGGGTGGTTTGTTACACATGAGTGGGTAACTAAACCACTTGGGATACCTCTTAAAACTCCTCTTCTTCCTCAGCTTACATCAGTGGAATGGGGGGATGAGGTGGGAGGTAACTGTGGATGTGAATGCAGCACACCTTAGCAGGCCTCGGCGGTGTATCGGCTGTCTACAGAACACAATAATAACATTCTTCTGTGTGGCAACAAAGATATTTATTCTCATAATATTTGTATTATTTTCTCAGTTATTCAGCGAGACCTGCCCTTTCCCTGAGCATCTTGTCAGTCATGGTTTCGCAATTCCTCTTTTCAGCTCCATCTGGGTTAGTTGACTATTTCAGCTCCTGCTTGCAGTGACTTTGTGATAACTCTTACGCTGTTACTTGATTTTCCAATACCCTTAAAAGTGCCATAGGGTATATTGTCTTTTTTTTTTTTTTTTTTTTTTTTTTGAGACAGGGTCTCATTCTGTCATCCAGGCTGGAGTGCAGTGGCATGATCATGGCTCACTGCAGCCTTTACTTCCTGGGCTCAATCCATCCTCCCACCTAATCTTCCCAAGTAGCTGGGAATACAGGCGTGTGCCACCACACCCAGCTAGTCTTTTGTTTTTAGTAGAGATGGGGTTTCACCTTGTTGCCCAGGCTGGTCTTGAACTCCTGGGCTTAAGCGATCCTTCCTGCCTCGGCCTCCCCAAGTGCTGGGATTACAGGCATGAGCCACTGCATCTGGCCTGTCTTTTTACATAATATCAAGTGAAAGTCAATTTTGTAGCTCTCCTTTATCCTCTCTATTTCCAAACACAAAAGACAGCAAGGATAGCCAAAAGTTAAAAATAACTTTTTCCCTTTAGTCTTGTATTTTCAAATTCTTTTTTTTTTTTTTTTTTCTAGACGGAGTGTCGTTCTGTCGTCCAGGCTGGAGTGCAGTGGTGTGGTCTCGGCTCACCACAACCTCTGCCTACTGGGTTCCAGTGATTCTCCTGCCTCAGCATCCCGAGTAGCTGGGACTACAGGTGCACGCTACCATGCCCGGCTAATTTTTGTATTTTTAGTAGAGGCGGGGGTTTCACCATGCCATCCAGGCTGGTTTCGAACTCCTGACCTCGTGATCCACCTGTCTCGGCCTCCCAAAGTGCTGGGATTACAGGTGTGAGCCACCGCGCCTGGCCCTGTATTTTCAAATTCTTTACCTCTGCGTTTCCAGCCTTGCTCCATCCAATTTGTTACTAGAGCTTTTTAACAATTTCACGTTGAATTAAGATGATTTGGAAGAGGAGAAACAAGAGTCAGAAAAATTAGCAGCATCCGTGATCTGACTCTGGGTACCAGTGGGTTGTTGAGATTTCTGTTCCCCACTCACTGCAGAGCTGCTGCCTGCCAATGCCCCCTGTTGGGCAGGGCCACCTGTGCTAGTTTAACCTGGGGTCTTTCACTCCCGGACTGCTTCTTGGATGTGAGTTTTAAGTTGAGCAGAGAAGATATGCCTTGCCTGCTGCCATACATTGTAACATCAAGTCAAGAGCTTTAGTTACTTAACAGATTTCTGCTGGCTGCTATTATAGGAGGAAACTCCTTTGTTTAGGGACAGCCAGGGCTTCCTTAGCTTTGATCTTTGGGAGTGAGCCTTTTGCTTGACTTCCCTTCTCTTTTCCATGCCTTTGTTTCCATCTCGAAGTGCAAATTTAAAGTGTCCTGTTTGCCTTTATCCACTGGAAGGCAAACACCCTGGACGACGTATCAGTGACAGCGCGGTTCTGCTTTGATCGGAGCACCCAGCGCTGCTTGAAGGCGTTTGCATGGTCCATGGCTCATGGACCACGCTCCTAGAAAACGGAAATGCACTTAGGTGAGGAAACAGTTGGCAGAGTGGAGAAACTTGATCCGGGATGTGTGGATGTATTCTTTGGGCTCTTCCGGTCCTTCCTCTTCCTTTGTTTATCTCCTGCCTCATTCCTCTTCAGAGGTGTGTGGGAATTTCATCATTGGCTCCTTTTACACTGCCAGTGCCTGCTACCGCAGGGGGCTAAATCAATGTTTTTACAGCTAAATTCCGGGTTGAGTCTCCATTGGCTGAGCGGTTCTCCTCCTCCTTTGATTGCTCTGAGGACAATGGTGCCTTTAGCTTCCCGCGGGAGGTTGCCCTGTTCGTTTCCCTGTTTCCCACGCACCTTCATCCCAGAAGTCTGCCCTGCCACGGTGTTAGTTTATCTTCTCATCTTCCTGAACTGACGTCCTTTCCCCCATTCCCAAAGCTGAAATCAACGAACTCTCTGTCCTGAATCAAAGATGTCATTTCTGAAATGTAGAACTCTGCTGAAACATTGGGTGGGCCTGACCCTCTAGGTGAATTCTGCTTCCCTTGGCTGTGTGTCTGCGAGGAGGTGGGAGAAGTAGGTGGTAAAGTGGAAGGAAAGATACAAGTAGAGCTAAATGAAAATTCTGGAGTTTCTCTTTGTCCAAATATTCTACACAGGTTAGTGAGTTGGCCATAAAGGCCTGCGTTTATTCTTTTCCCCTCAAACGCAATGTTTCTCAAGTTTTTTTTTTTCATGATTGTTTTTCCGAGGAGAATAATTAAATTCACGTTCACTCTGAGAAGAGAAATGAGCTACTAAGGAATAAGATTTTGTTGTGGGGGGCCGGACATGGTGGCTCACACCTGTAATCCCAGCACTTTGGGAGGTTGAGGCAGGAGGGTCGCTTGAGCTCAGGAGTTTGAGACCAGCTTGGGCAACATAGCGAATTCTCGTCTCTACAAAAAATACAAAAATTAGCCCGTCATAGTGGTGCATGCCTGTCGTCCCAGCTACTCGGGAGGCTGAGTTGGGAGGATTGCTGGAGCCCAGGAAGTCGAGGCTGCAATGAGCCATGACTGCACCACTCCAGCCTGGGTGATAAAGTAAGACCCTGTCTCAAAAAAAATAAAAATAAAAAATAAAAAAGTTGAGGGATAGGATTGAGCCTTGGAGGGCCACAAACTGTTGTAATGTCTAAGATTTTTTTCACCTCCCCATTCCCTGCCAGGTTCGGTTTTTGCCCACTAGGGATGATGTGGTTTCTCATGAGGTTACTTGCTCTAAAGGACTTTATATTTTGGAACCATAAGAGCACCCTTGTGGCCCAGGCACTTTATGGATGATCCCTTTTAGTGCTCCCAGTAACCTTCCAAGGTAGGTGCTCTTATCTCTACCTTACAGACAGGACATTGAAGCATGGGGAATTTGAGTAGCTTGCTCAGGTCACACGCTCTTAACCAGGGGAGCCAGGATTGAAGTTTGGGAAGTTGGGCTGACTAGGCTGTGCTGGAAGAGTGTAGAGACAAACAAACTGCCTGGACTCTTTTCTTTTTGTTTTAAAAAATTGAGATATAATTCACATGAAACTCACCCTTGAAAAACAATTCAGTAGTTTTTAGTATATTCACAAAGTTGTGCAATCATTAGCATTATCTAATTCTAAAACATTTTCAGCACACCAGAAAGAAACCACACACTTGTCAGCATTCACTGTCTGCTCCCTGACACCTCAGCTCCTGGCAACCGCGAATCTACTTTCTGACTCTAGATTTGTCTATTTTAGATACTTCATGTAAATAGCCTCATAGAATATGGGACCTTTAGTTGTTGGCTTCTTTCACTTAATGTAATGTATTCGAGATTCGTCCACGTTGTAACATGCATCAGTAGTTCATTCTCATTCCTTTTTATGGTTGAATAATAGTCCTCTGTATAGCTATATACATTTTATTTATCTGTTCATCTGTTGATGGACATTTGGGTTGTTTCTACCTTTTGGCTATTGTGAATAATGCTGCTGTGAACATCTGCATACAAGCTTTATATGTGGGCATATTTTTTTTTCCTGAATGATGAAAAATGGCCATGAAAGTATTTTTTTAGTTGTATATATTTATGGGGTACAACATATGATGTGGTTTTTTCTTTGAGACAAAAAAAAACCAAAAAAAAACCTGTAGTCACCATGACGTACAGTAGATCTTCAGAACTTATTCATGGAAGGATTTTAAGCAGAGGAATAGTGCAACATTTTTATTTTTTTGAGATAGAGTCTCGCTCTGTTGCCCAGGCTGGAGTGCAGTGGTGTGATCTTGGCTCACTGCAAGTTCCGCTTCCTGGGTTCACGCCATTCTCCTGCCTCAGCCTCCTGAGTAGTTGGGACTACAGGCGCCTGTCACCATGCCTGGCTAATTTTTTGTATTTTTAGTAGAGACAGGGTTTCACCGTTAACTAGGATGGTCTCGATCTCCTGACCTCGTGATCCACCCGCCTCAGCCTCCCAAAGTGTTAGGATTACAGGCGTGAGCCACCGTGCCAGGCCAAGGAATAGTGCAACATTTTTAAAGGAATAATAACATTACCCTGGTGACTACGTGAAGAACGTCTTGGGGAGAGCCAAAATGAATGAAGGGAGCTTGACGAGGTCATTCAAGTATGATGATGGAGGGAGGTGACCCAAAAACAGGATTTAGAAACATAAGCCAACTGTCCACTTAGTGATGCTGACTAAATCTCATTAGCTGAACAAATGGAACAACAACAACAATTAAAAAACCAAAACCAAAATCAAAACAAAGAAGCAGGAAAAAAAATAAAGAAATTGTCCTTACTAGTTTTGTTGTATATTAATTTTTAATTGAGGTATAATTTATATAAAATAAAATGCACAGATTTTAGATGCACAGTTCTGTGTGTTTTGATGAATTTATACACCTAGGTAACTGCCTAGGTCATTAAGACATGAAACATTACCATCACCCCAATGCATTTGTCTTGCGCCTCTTTCTATTCAATTCTTTCTACTTGGGCCACGAATCTTTTTGACATGGTAAATTAGTTTCTCCTGTTCTAGGAATTCATAGAAATGGAATTATACAGCATGTATCCTTTGGCATCTTTTTTCTCCACTCAACATAATGTTTTTGAAATCCATCCATGTTGTGCATATCTCAAGTTTGTTTCTTCCTGCTGAAAAGTATTCTTTTGTATGAGAATCATCATAAACCATTACAATATGTGACCTTTTGTGTCTGATGTCTCTATTTTGTAGAGATGAGGAACCAAAAGAATTAAAATGGAAGCTTGGAGAATGAACTTGGGATTCTGAAGTGTCTAGAAGCCGTATATGTTCAGATCTTGGCAGCAGCCAAAATGAACTATTTTGGGGCCACTGGGGTGGTCTATAGGGTCCCTACCACTGGGGCCTAAGTTTAGTTGGAATGAGGGTGCCTGATGATCTGTGTAAACTCTAGGATGGGCCTCATTTGGGGATGTGGGTAGTGTGTCCATATTTCCCTGAGAAGGATTGGTCTTGAGTCTACCCTCAGATTTTTTTTTTTTTTTTAGACAGGGTCTCACTCTGTTGCCCAGGCTGGAGTGTAGTGGCATGATCACAGCTCACTGCAGCCTCAACTTCCCAGGCTCAAGCGATCATCCCACCTCAGCCTCCTGAGTAGCGGGGACTACAGGTGCCCATCAACACACCTGGCTCCTGGCTATTTTTTGTAGTTTTTCATAGAGACAGGGTTTTGCCATGTTGCCCAGGTTGGTCTTGAATTCCTGATCCTTCTGCCTCAGCCCCGCAAAGTGCTGGGATTTACAGGAGTGAGCCACCGCACCCAGCCTCATTCTCAGATATTTGCTGTTGTTGAGCTTCTTGTTTTTGCCAAATATGCTTGCATTTGGCTTTCTTGAGTTTTGCTCCAAGGTTTTTGAGCCAAACCTACAGTACTTTTGGATCTATTTCCATTTTGGAGACCATATCTTTCTGAAGGCTGGGGTTTGGGTATACGTTCTTATTGAACAAGTTCAGATCTTCCAGTTGTTTCTCAGTGAACGTAGTTTGTTTCTTTTGTGAAGGCCTCTGGGGCTTGCCTTTGGGAAGATCCTCTGAGCCTAATCTAGATGTGTTCGTATGTTCAGGTCCAGTTATCTTAGGTATATACTGGGGAGTAGAATTACTAGATCATATGGTAACTCTATGTTTAACTCTTTGAGGAACTCCCAAAGTCTTCCAAGGCAGCTGCAGCACCTTAATTTCTACCAGCAGTGTATTAGAGTTCCAGTTTTTCCTTGTCCTTGTTGGTATCTTTTTTGATTCCAGCCATCCTAGTGGGTATGACTTTGTGTCTCACTGTGGTTTTGAGATGCATTTCCTTCGTGACTGATGTTGAGCAGTGTTTCTTGTGCTTATTGGGCGTTTGTATATTTTCTTTTCTTTCTTTTTTTTTTTAAGATGGAGTCTCGCTCTGTCGCCCAGGCTGGCGTGCAGTGGTGCAATCTTGGCTCACTGCAAGCTCTGCCTCCGGGGTTCACGCCATTCTCCTGCCTCAGCCTCCCTAGTAGCTGGGACTACAGGTGCCTTTGCCGGGTGCCTTACATCCTTTGCCCATTTTTAAATTGGATTGTCTTTTTATTGTTGAGTTGTAGGAGTTCTTATATGATTTGCCAATACTTTCTCCTATTTTTCTGTGTTGTCTTTGCATTTTCTTGATATCTTTTGAAGCACAAGAATGTTTGATGAAGTTCAATTTATCTATTTCTTCTTTTGTTGCTTCTGTTTTTGGTGTCTTATCTAAGAAGTCATTGGTTGATCAAAAGTCATGACAATTTATGCCTGTGTTTTCCTTCTCTGAATTTTGTAGTTTTAGCTCTTATATTGAGGTCTTTGATCCAGTTTGAGTTAATTTTTGTACGTGGTTTGCATGATGTGAGGAAGAGGTTTATCCTCATTCTTTTTTTTTTTTTTTTTTTTTTTTTTTTTGAGACGGAGTCTTGCTCTGTCGCCCAGGCTGGACTGCAATGGCGCAATCTCAGCTCACCACAACCTCCACCTCTCAGGTGGGATTGCAGGCGTGAGCCTCCGAGCCTGGCCAGTTTCTCCTTTTTCTAAAAGAGGTCTTTAACGCTTCTCTATCTGTGGTTTTTTTCTTTTTCTGTATCAATTTAATGCAAATCTGAGTCTTTTAAAGTTTAATAGGTTTTTTTTGAGACTGTCGCCAGGCTGGAGTGCCCAGGCTGGAGTGCCAGGCTGGAGTGTTGGCTCACTGCAACCTCTGCCTCCTGAGTTGAAGCAATTCTCCTAGCTTCAGCCTCCTGAGTAGCTGGGATTACAGGTGCCTGCTCCCACCTAGCTAAATTTTGTATTTTTTTTTTTGAGACAGTTTCGCTCTCATTGCCCAGGCTGGAGTGCAATGGTGCGATCTCGGCTCACTGCAACCTCTGCCTCCCGGGTTCAAGTGGTTCTTCTGCCTTAGCCTCCTGAGTAGCTGGGATTACAGGCACCCGCCAGCACGCCCAGCTAATTTTTTGTATTTTTTAGTAGAGACAAGGTTTCACTATGTTGGCCAAGCTGGTCTCGAGCTCCTGACCTCAGGCAGTCCACCTGCCTTGGCCTCCCAAAGGGCTGTGGTTACAGGCGTGAGACACCGCGCCCAGCCAATTTTTGTATTTTTAGTAGAGATGGGGTTTCACCATGTTGGTCAGGCTGGTCTCAAACTCCTGGTGGTCTACCTGCCTCGGCCTCCCAAAGTGTTGGGATTACAGGCATGAGCCACCATGCCCAGCCTATGTTCATTCTTTTACACGTCAGTATGTAGTTGTACCAGTACCATTCGTTGAAAAGACTATTATTTCCTTATTGAGTTGTCTTGGCACCCTTGTCCAAATTCAGTTGTCCATGAATCTGTTTATTTCTATACTGTCAGCTCTGTTCTCTTGGTCTATATGTGTTAGTCTGTTTTCACACTGCTAGAAAGAACTGCCCAAGACTGGGTAATTTTTAAAGGAAAGAGGTTTAATTGACTCACAGTTCTTCATGGCTGGAGAAGCCTCAGGAAATTTACCATCATGGCAGAAGGCAAAGGGGGAAGCAAGGTATGTCTTACATGGTGGCAGGTGAGAGACAGAGACAGAGAGGAAACTACCAAACACTTTATTGATTGATTGATTGAGACAGAGTCTTGCTCTTTCACCCAGGCTGGAGTGCAATGGCATGATCTCGGCTTACTGCAACCTCCAACTCCTGGGTTTAAGCGATTCTCCTGCCTCAGCCTCCTGAATAGCTGGGATTATAGGCACCCACAACAACGCCTGGCTAATTTTTGTGTTTTTAGTAGAGACGGGGTTTTACCATGTTGCCCAGGCTAGTCATGAACTCCTGAGCTCAGGTGATTTGCCCACCTTGGCCTCCCAAAATGCTGGGATTACAGGTATGAACCACCGCGCCCAGCCCAAACACTTCAAAAGTATCAGATCTCATGAGAACTCACTATCACGAGAACAGCATGGGGGAAACTGCCCCCAGGATCCTGTCACCTCCCACCAGGTCCGTCCCTTGACACATGGGGATTACAGTTCGAGATGAAATTTGGGTGGGGACCCAGCCAAACCATATCTCTATATGTCTATGCTTATGCCAGTTGGACGATGACTTTTGAAACCCAAGTTGCTTGGATGAGCAAGGACCCTGGGGGCAGAAGTGGCGTGTCTTGCAGGAATACCCCTTTCCTCTGTAGGTTCAGGATTTATCCCACACTTGGCCTGGAAGTTCACTATTATCTAGTCTGTTCTTCCAGACTTTTAAGGTAATGCTTTATTCATTTATTTTATCTAGCATTTAAAAAATAGTTTTTAGGAGGAGTTAGTTCTAAAATCCTAGCCCACCAATATCTAAAATAGAATTCAAGCCCAGTGTGGTGGCCCGAGCCTGTTGTCCCAGCTACTCGGGAGGCTGAGGCGGGAGAATTACTCAAGGCCAGGAGTTCAAGACCAGCCTGGGTGATAGAGCGAGTACTCATCTCAAAAAATAAATAAATACAAATAAATAAAAATGGAATAAAAAATTATTTATCTATAATTATGAAATTCGGGGCAGTGTGTCCCTGAGAAGGTATCTTTAGGAAGTAGAGCAATCGTTCATGGCATCTTAGAAAAAGACTGTGCTGCTCACTGCTGCTTTTAAAGCCACATTTGTGACAGCTAATAAAAGCAGCTGTCGGTAATTGAGTACTTTATTCCAGTCAATCTAAGCTTTTTACTGGGGGCATTACGTATACTCTTTGATCTCATGAACACAACCAACCTTTAAATTATATTTATTTATTTATGTTTTTGAGATGGAGTCTTGCTCTGTCACCCAGGCTGGAGTGCAGTGGCACGATCTCAGCTCACTGCAACCTCTGCCTCTTGGGTTCAAGCGATTCTCCTGCCTCAGCCCCCCGAGTAGCTGGGACTACAGGTGTGCGACACCACGCCCGGCTAATTTTTGTATTTTTAGTAGAGTATTCTTGTTTTACAAATTAGGATGCTGTGAGGGTCGGAAGCTTGCCCGAGGACAGACAGTGATGATTAGTTGCCTTTGACTCGGCCTCAGACCCCTGACTGCAGCGCCGGGCTCTTCACCTCACAGGCTGTCTTCTCCATGGGAACCCTCAGAGAGAGCATGGGTGTTCCAGGCCCCAGTGTCACGGTCTTCTGTAGTAAGAACTGGAAGGCTAAGCCGGGTGTTTTGCCTGCTCTCTTTCTCCCTGTCCCCCTTGTGGTAGGAACGTGAACCTCCTTACAGGGAGGAACTGTCTGGAGAGTCTTTTTGGATTGTTCTCACAGTTCGAGTGCAGGAACCCCAGGGGAAGCATGTTTTAAATCCTGATTCCTGGACTTCAACTCCAGAAAGTCCAGTGCACCAGATAGGGAGGGAGTTGTGCTCGGGACTCTGAAGGTCTCATGTGCTCCCTGGGAGGTCAGTTGCACTTGGTCTCGGACCACACTTTGAGAAAAGCGGGTCCACAGGTTACATTGAAAGTAACTGGGTATTGTGGACTTCTTGTTCTCTCCTCTTCTCTGTTTTTAAAGGGCAGCATGGTGTTTTTCCAGTGTCTGGGGAATGTCCCTTTATCTTTTAATTCCTTAAAAAGGTGGAGACTTCAGTTACTTTTAAATGAGAGAGTTATATTTAGTGTTTCGTAAGCACTGTTGTCAGGTAGAGATGAGAATGCTGAATTCAAAACAACTCTGATATTAGTAAAATGTAATATCCAGTAATTTGTTATTAATGACTGTAATTTAGTGGTAGGAGCCTCAAGGGAAAAATAAAGTATGTGGTTATTTTAGAGAAGAAAAATCTCAACCTGTCTTTTCCCACCTCCTCCCTCTCCTGCTTTTTCTCAGATTGTCAAGTGGTCAGACTGTTGTTTGCCATTAGCTTGCAGACCTGGGGATCCTTATCGGCTAATTGCTGAAGCAAGTGTGGACAACTTCAGCAAGCTGGGGGTGGCGTTCATGGAAGATAGACTCCACATGGATAATGGACTGGTACCCCAAAAGATTGTGTGTAAGTAACTTTAGAAAATGTTTTTATTGGCCAGGCATAGTGGCTCATGCCTGTAATCCCAGCACTTTGGAAGGCCGAGGCAGGAGGATCGCTTGGAGCCCAGGAGTTCGAGACCAGCCTGAGCAGCATAGACCCCTATCTCCAAAAAAACAAACAAACAAAAAAATTAGCTGGGTGTGGTGGTGCATGCCTGTGGTCCCGGCTACTTGGGAGGCTGAGATGGGAGGATCACTTGAGCTGGGAGGTTGAGGCCACAGTGAGCCATGATCACGCCACTGCATTCCCATGTGGGTGACAAAGTGAGACCCTGTTTTTATCATAGTGGGACACTATAAGTTATTAGCTTAAGGACTGTTGAGCACTCTTACTGGTATGACATAAAGGCTATGCTTGGTTTCAGTTTAATTCAGTCCACAGGTTTGATTTTACTGTAATAATATACAATTCATGCATGTGTCAAGATTTTTTTGGGGGGCTGCAGGGTACATTTTCAGTGCTTATTAAATTTCTTAAACAAGAAGTTTTCATGACTGCATTGCTCATGAGGTGGCATTCAAATTCAGAACCCATATAATATTTATTTCACATAGTTTAATACAGTATAACTAGTGTCTAGACTACAGTTCTGATTGAGTGGGAAGCATAGCTAGTGTTACTATGAAGTTCTAAATCAAACCGCTTTTTACTTAAAATATATGTATCACAATTTCTTGGGACAAATCGTTTTTCAGGAAACACACAAACTGTTCTTCCTTAATTAGACTTAAAAGCAGGCTTTTTATGTCTATGAATGTCTTCTTTCATCTGATGGGCAAATAAATGTCCCTTATCAGCTTTGGAAGTTTATGTAAATCCCTTAATATCCAGAATCACCTCGTACATGTCTCTAATACCATGTCCGACATGTAGCAAGTGCTCAATAAATGTTTTTGAATTAGTGATTGTCAACTTATGTTCCAGTCCTGAGACAAGATACTGGGAAGAATCTTCTCCCATTGATCCTATGGCATGTCTTGAGAGTGACATTTCACTGGGGCGTGCTGGGGTAGACTCTAGATATGTGTCCTTTTTATTGCTCAGTTTCATTATTGTGAAGGAGAATAACACCCAAGAAATAGAATCTGTAAGTAAGGAGGCAAAGGCACCTCTCTGAATCTCACTTTCTTCACCATTCCGTAAGAGGGTCTTAGGTTCTCCAATAGGTATAAAAGATGTTGGGCAAACTGCTGATTTCACTTGGGGTCTTCAGGTGGGAACAATTAGTGTTTCCAAAGGATGCCCCCGAGTTGAGGGGGGATGCAGGTGGGAGCCGTGCCAGAGGCTGTCCTGGAATGTAAGTCCCAGAATGCAGAGAGGGTGATGAGATTCTTGAGATGAGCTATGTGTCATACAAGAAGTGTTGATTAATTTTCTGTCTCTCTCTCCTATTCATGCCTTAGCGGTGCACTTGCAGGACTCCACTCTGAAGGAAGTTAAGGATCAGGTCTCAAACAAGCAAGCCCAGATCCTAGAGCCGAAGCCTGAACCTTCTCTTGAGATTAAGCCTGAGCAGGACGGTATGGAGCATGTTGGCAGAGATGACCCAAAGGCTCTTGGTGAAGAACCCAAACAAAGGAGAGGCAGTGCCTCTGGGAGTGAGCCTGCTGGGGACAGTGACAGGGGAGGGGGCCCCGTTGAGCATTATCACCTCCATCTGTCTAGTTGCCACGAGTGTCTGGAACTTGAGAACAGCACCATTGAGTCAGTCAAGTTTGCGTCTGCCGAGAACATTCCAGACCTTCCCTACGATTATAGCAGCAGTTTGGAGAGTGTTGCTGATGAGACCTCCCCCGAAAGAGAAGGGAGGAGAGTCAACCTCACGGGAAAGGCACCCAACATCCTCCTCTATGTGGGCTCCGACTCCCAGGAAGCCCTCGGCCGGTTCCACGAGGTCCGGTCTGTGCTGGCCGACTGTGTGGACATTGACAGTTATATTCTCTACCACCTGCTGGAGGACAGTGCTCTCAGAGACCCGTGGACGGACAACTGTCTGCTGTTGGTCATTGCTACCAGGGAGTCCATTCCCGAAGACCTGTACCAGAAGTTCATGGCCTATCTTTCTCAGGGAGGGAAGGTGTTGGGCCTGTCTTCATCCTTCACCTTTGGTGGCTTTCAGGTGACAAGCAAGGGTGCACTGCACAAGACAGTCCAGAACTTGGTTTTCTCCAAGGCTGACCAGAGCGAGGTGAAGCTCAGCGTCTTGAGCAGTGGCTGCAGGTACCAGGAAGGCCCCGTCCGGCTCAGCCCCGGCAGGCTCCAGGGCCACCTGGAGAATGAGGACAAGGACAGGATGATTGTGCATGTGCCTTTTGGAACTCGCGGGGGAGAAGCTGTTCTTTGCCAGGTACTCAGGGCAGCATGGATTTGGTGATCTTTGGGTATCTGTGGGTATTTTTGCGAGGGAATATGTCTTTTAAAGGTACACGCTTAAAAGTTTCAGGAGTTCGTGTGCTGCGGGCTGTTTTTGACTATTGGCTGGGAGCTTTTGCTGATAGTGAGCAGAAAGTTTAGTTTAGTTCAGGGCTTTCTTGAATACCCTGGTTAACCAAAAGACTTGTGAGGGAGGAACAAGGCAGCTGTCAGGGTTAAATGAGCTTGCTGGTTAACTGAGGCTTAGTCAGAAAATTCTCGTTTTGTTCTTTACTAGTAATGATCTTTCTCAAATTCATCGGTCTGCTTTCTTGCCTTAGAGCACCCCTTGGTTAATATAATTGAGTCTTTATTTAAGGTAGGAAGTTGAAACCATCAGGGTAGTGATTCTAGACGTCAGTGACCACTGCGATGAAATACTGCAGTTGATTGCCAAGGTAGTTGGTGTTGAAAACATCTTCAGGTTCCCAATTCCTTTCTTATGTTTTGTCACTCTTCCAAGTGCTGAAAAGAAAAACTTCAAATAAGAGAATATTGAAGCTACTTAGATTTGTGGCATACTAATACATAGGTAGGGGGAAAATGGAAAGAGGATGAAAGGAAAATGCTAGTTTCTTTTTCTTGCGTAGGAGATCCTTTGGCTCATCTTCTTTTTCCTTTTAGCTTTTTGTTTGTTTAAGCAAACGGTAGCGGATAAACTATTTCAGAATTCCTTGTCATTGACTCCAAATCTTTTAATCCTTAGGGGAAAAGGTTTTCATTAGAGTTAGATGAACATTCACTTGCCCTAAAGGATTTGATGCTCTAATGAGAAAACTACGCAGATGTAGATATTTTGTCCAGAAGAGTTCCCAAGATAAGTGTAATCGATTTTGTTTTATTATAGGGATCTTTTTATTGAGATAGAGAATTGTTTCCTTTTTTGTTTTGTTTTCATTTTGTAATGCCTTGTCTTTTTCCAGTTCTCCTGGAAGCTAAGTTTCTTGAATTTTCTGGCCAAACATTTTTTTCCAGAGTATATATTTGTTTCTTTACTATTCTAAAGCCGACTCACTTGTTCTTAAGATAATACTCAAGCAGAGATGCTTAAAATTAAGGAATTTGGACATTAGGACAGATGAACACGTACAGCCCAAGCAGGTTTCCTGCAGTGCTGCAGGCCACATGAATTAGCTTTTGGAGGCGTAATAAATGTTCCTCTTATCTTTTTCTCTGCAAATATTGTAACTATAGTAACTGCATATTCTCAGAAAATCCACTTAAAAACCCGACTTCCTAGAGCCATATTTCAGTTTTGAAGAGTGAATTTTACCACCCCTGAGCACAGACTTGTACTAGAAAATTGATTTGGCACTGTTGTGATCCATTTCTCCGAGTTACATAGCAAATCTGCTTGCTGCACCATTTAAATTGACCCCATTACTATCATAAAATTTGATACTGCAGTGCATTGCCCTAGAAAAAAAAGGCAATATGATGCAGCTTCACAAATCAGATTCAGAGGATTAGAATGTCATTTTTGATTTTAAATGACTTCCAGTCTTCTGTGTGACAGGGTCACTGTTTTCTCCACAGGCCTGTGTCTCTGTGATACCTTACTGAGATCAAAAAATAAATATTATCACAGGCTGGTTAGTTTCCTCTTTCCCTGTTCAATTTCATAGTCTTCACCTTTGTAATAAATCTAGTAATGATGTAACCCAATAAGAGGAGGTAAAGTATTTCAAGGGCAGAACACAGCTGCACCCTAGGCACTGGTGTCCCAGCCGAGTAAGCTGCAGATTTGATGCCTTTGCCATTCATAATAATAAAGAAAGAGAGGAAATGTTTGTATGCTCGCTGTACTGATCAAGTTTGCAGGGAAAACTTAAGGCTGTGGATTAATGCTGACATTTGACTGTCAAATGGACCAGGAATTTGCCATGAAGTTGTCCACAGAAAATCTTTAAAAGGGATTTTAAAAGATTTTGTTTTCTTGTTTAGCTTAGCACATGGCAGCAGTGGGTCGCCTTTGATGACAGAGTTTCTCAACCATGGCACTATTGACATTTTGGGTCAGAGAATTCTTCGTGGCAACAACAGTCTTGTGCATTTTCGGCTGCGGAATAGCATCCCTGGTCTCTCCCCACTGGATGCCAGTATCACCCTCTCCACGCATTTGTGGCTGGAGACATTTTTTTAGTTCCGGTTTTCGGTCCAACTAAAAAGTCTTATTTTTACAAGAAGCCAAGTTACAGAAATAGACCTGTCATTATGGTAACAGGGTTACACTCAGAGAATGAGATTCTAGTCCAGTACCTCTGTGGACGAGGAGTACAAATCTACCACCCACACACTCCGGTGTGCCATTTCTCCCTGCTAATTGGGAGCGTAGAACCAGAGGTGGCCTCTTTTCTTGTTTCCATTGTAGAAGCACCTACATCTTGAAACCCTAAGACAGTGAAGCCAAGCAGTTCTCGGGGTTTCAGCGGCCATCTTCCCCCTTGTCTCCAGGAACTCCGCCCGCTTGTAGCGCCATCCTGTTTTCCGTCCTGGCATCGTTCTCATGTGAAAACGAGTTCATACAATTCACTGCGTGTGCATCTTGGCTACTCTGTGTATTCACCCTGACCAGTGAGTCCACATGCATTCAGTCGAGCACCCCTCTCATCCCTTCGGCTCTAGTGGGAACAGAACTTGACTTATTTCATTTCTGCCACCTGTAAGGGTTAATCTCCGGGATAGCCGTGTGCTCAAGTGAATTAAACGGGTCTCGCCGCTATGCTGTTTGTCTATACTGGCATGGCTTTGTCCACCGGAGAGGAGAGGTACACATTTAGGGTAGAAGTGCACTGAGTAGGATACAGATTGTTTTTTTTTTTTTTTTTTTTTGAGACGGAGTTTCATTCTTACTGCCTAGGATGGAGTGCAGTGGTACGATCTCGGCTCACTGCAACCTCTGCTTCCCGGGTTCAAGTGATTCTCCTGCCTCAGCCTCCCAAGTAACTGGGATTACAAGCATGCGCTATCAGGCCCGGCTAATTTTTTTTGTATTTTTAGTAGAGACGGTTTCACCATGTTGGTCAGGCTGGTTTCGAACTCCTGACATCAGGTGAGGATATGGATTCTTTAGAGGGTTTTGCTTTTCTGCCTCTTCCCCTCTCCAGGGCTGTCTACAAACAGGCCCACCTGACCTGTTGTCCCATGATTGGCATCCTCAGTCTTGGAGGAAGCAGCCAGCCTGCAGCCAATCAGCTGTGGTTTGGGGACCATGTTGGACGGTGCCCTGCAGACCTTTTCTGATTGGCCTCAACCTTTATTTTTTTGAGCCGGAGTCTCACTCTGTCACCCAGGCTGGAGTGCACTGGCACCATCTCAGCTCACTGCAACCTCTGCCTCCCAGGTTCAAGTGATTCTTGTGCCTCAGCCTCTCAAGTAACTGGGATTACAGGCGTGCGCCACCATGCCTGGCTGATTTTTGTATTTTTAGTGGCAGTGGGGTTTCACCATGTTGTCCAGGCTGGTCTCAAACTCCTGGCCTCAAATGATCCTCCCGCCTCGGCCTGCCAAAGTGCTGGGATTATAGGCGTGAGCCACCACACCCAGCTAAGCCTCAACTTCTAACATTTGGTTAGTATATTTGGCTTGGTTAAGGTAGGAATTGAGAGATTCTAAGTCGCCTGAAAGCTGGCATTATGCTTTTTATTTTCATAATACTTCTATAATATCAGGCTAGAAGCTTTGCATACAGTAGGCAAAGCTGAAACAAAATAAGGCAGACGAGCTCAGTTTGCTTTTCTGGGTACTCAGTGTTCTGGCAACCTCCAGGCTTCAATGCTCATTTAAAATCTGATCTCAGGGGAGCTAGAGGTTCCAGTAAGTTCCTTCATACCCAGACAAAGGCTGCTGATAGGTGGAGATATTTTAATTTTAACTAGACAACAAAGCCTGAAGTAACTAGGTGAAGTTCCAAATCTTAAAATTCAATCAGGGGAAGGAGGGTGGGAGGAAAGGCCTTTCTGGTGTCCAAGAAATCGTATGCCTTCCTCAGTAAGTCCTCACTTAAAGTTGTTGATAGATTCTTGGAAACTGCACCCTTAAGTGAAATGACAAACAATGAAACCAATGTTACCATAGGCTAATTGATATAAACAAGAAGTCAGTTCCCATAGTGTATTTCTGGTCACAAAGACATCACCAGACTTCTAAATAAAGGCCAAAACACTGAAACACTGAAATAAATATGAATTATATGTACATTTAAGAAAGATTAATAAAAACAAAGATAATTATTTACCTGATTATTTCAGTTCAGCATGGTGGGTGGCCGCGTGGCTGGAACTCATCCAGGAAGCTCAGGGTACTACTGGTGGGGGAGTCAGCCCTGGCCAGGATGCCCTCCCATCACAGGGCACACTCACACCCGTACTCACACTTGCTCAGATCAGGACCATGTAGACGCATCGGTTCACCTAATGTGCACAGCTTGGGGATGTGGGGGGAAAACGGAGAAACAGAGAAAACCCGTGCAGACATGGGGAGAGCGTACGGACCCACAGACAGTGGCCCCGGCTGGGAAGTGATTTCTTTTTCCCCTCATCAACATCATAACAAAATGACTTTGAGTGAAACAACATTATTCAAGGACCTGCTGTTTTGAATTCCTGCAAACTCTCTCTCTCTTTTTTTTTTCTTTTTAAATGGTCGCACTTTGTTGCCCAGGCTGGAGTGCAGTGGCACGATCATGGCTGACTGCAGCCTCAACCTCCTGGGTTCAAGGGATCCTCCCAGCTCAGCCTCCCAAGTAGTTGGGACTACAGCCGCACCACCCACGCCTGGCTAATTTTTGTATTTTTTGTAGAGACAGGGTTTCACTATGTTGTCCAGGCTGGTCTGAAACTCCTAGGCTCAAGCAATCCTCCCATCTTGGTCTTCCAAAGTGTTGGGATTACAGGTGTGAGCCTTTATACCCAGCCTCCTGCAAACGCTCTTAAAATGATGAATAACGCTGCTCTCTTCCTAGGTATTGTTTTCCAGTTATGGCTAATAGGCAAAATGGAAGTTTCCAGCATGACCCATTTGCCTCCCTGAACTCACTAGCAATTAGGTTTTCAGCATAACTGTCTTTCTAGGTCTTTTTTTTTTTTTTTTTTTTTTTTTGCGATGGAGTTTCACTCTTGTTGCCCAGGTTGGAGTGCAATGGAGCTATCTCAGCTCACCGCAACTTCCGCCTCCTGGGTTCAAGCGATTCTCCTGCCTCAACTTCCCGAGTAGCTGGGATTACAGGCTCATGCAACCACGCCTGGCTAATTTTGTATTTTTAGTAGAGACAGGGTTTCTCCATGTTGGTCAGGCTGGTCTTGAACTCCCGACCTCAGGTGATCTGCCCGCCTTGGCTTCCCAAAGTGCTGGGATTACAGGCGTGAGCCACCGCTCCCGGCCCTAGATATTTTGTTCCTATAATCAAGTTAAGTAACTTGCGGAAGGTCATATGACTGATGAGTGTGGAACATCAGTACCTGGAGAGAGATGATGACTGTCCAGGGTCATTTCCACCGTGGCCTCTCAGCCTGACAACCAAAATTTGAGTAGGCTCTTTGGAATCGTTCTTTTGTTGGCCATGACTTTCCAGATATACAGCTTCAGAGTTTATATGCTATTGATAATTAGAAAAATTCATGTTCAAGTTTTCTCTTGTGGGTTATACTGTGTCCCTTAATTTTCAGAGGAGAGCAAAGCTATGAGCTATCTGGGTGTGATGTGCTCACTTGGAGAAGAAAACTGGTAAAGAAATTTTTTGGCCAGATGTGGTGGCTCATACATGTAATCCCAGCACTTTGGGAGGCTGAGGTGGGAGGATCGTTTGAGCCCAGGAGTTCAAGACCAGCCTGGGCAACATAATGAGATCCTGTCTCTAAATTTAAAAAAAAAAAGAAAAAGAAAAAAGAAACTGTTTTTCTCATTGCCTGTGAGTGCCCTCAGTTTACATAGTGCTATCTTTCCCCTTCAGGTGCACTTAGAACTACCTCCCAGCTCCAACATAGTGCAAACTCCAGAAGATTTTAACTTGCTCAAGTCAAGCAATTTTAGAAGATACGAAGTCCTTAGAGAGATTCTGACAACCCTTGGCCTCAGCTGTGACATGAAACAAGTTCCTGCCTTAACTCCTCTTTACTTGCTGTCAGCTGCGGAGGTGAGTTGTGGGCTCAGCTGGGCAGAGCGCGCTGTGACGTGGCCCTCTTCACAGTGGCGACCCGTTGCTTTAATTGTTTTATTTTGGTTGGTTTTGATTTTCCATTTCTGTTTTGACTTCGGGTTTGGAAATCATCTTCAAGATGTGCAAATATTCATTTTGTTGGGGGAGGATTATATATAAGAGAGGGCCAACTAGTAGAGTTTAGAAAGGTGTTAAGTCTGCAGGTGTGGCCCTTTCCACGTTAGGGGGAAGAGGGTCCCTGTGTCAAGAGTATATTCAGACTGTAACTTTATTCATTTGGGATTGAAAACATTTGTTTTGACTTGAGCCACTTTCAGCAAATCTTTGGAACAATCACATTTGTGCTAATGTCTGCCATCTTGTGGCAACAGCGCTCTGGGTTTCACGTCTGTGAGTCGTGTCTGACAGGAAAATGCCCACGGAGCTGGGAATGTGTTCGGGAATTCTCTTGGCCCATGCCTGCACTTGCTGCCTGTGATTGATACCTGGTTTTGGGCAGGTCGCCAGATTCTCCAGGTGTAGGTTCTTGCTAATCCCCCTGCTTGGCCATACTATCAGTTTCATAGTCATTGTGACAAATTATTTTGTCTATTTCTGTTGTCTTCTCTGAACAGACAAATTTGTGAGTTGAATGACATAACCATGTAGTTTCTGCAAACACCCAATAGTCTAGGTGACTTTAAACACTAAACTTACCTACTTTCTCTTGAAACAAACAAATTATACCTCTCATCCCAACATTTTTTAAAAAGGAGGCACTTTCTTTTGTGTTACACTGTGTCCCTTAGTTTTTGGAGGAGAGCAGAGCTATGAGCTATCTGGGTGTGATGGGCTCACTTGGAGAAGACAGATAGAAAATCTGAGAGCACTGCCAGTCCCCTAGACCTTCTCTGTCGCCTTTTCCTGGGGATGGAGGGCTGGGGCTGGCTACCTTAGCCAGTGCCTGCTCTGAGGCTCCCAGCTGGGGAAGTCCGGGAGTGAGGTGGCCTGGCCTTGCCCTTGGCAGAGCTCCCTGCCCTTTCTCGGAGTTCTGATCATGCTGGTCTTCGGACTTGACCTCCGGACTCTTGGACAGAGTAGTGGATAGGAAGAGTGGCCCTGCCCCAGGTTATTCTCTTGTGAGTGGAAGTTTGGAACTCTTGGCATTTCTGGTGTATTTAGGATGAGTATAACCTGAAATACCCATGTCAGGGCTTTGTATCATGTGTCTGCTTATATTCAAGCACACAACAGATGCTTCACATTTTTGTCCTTCCAGTTTTTTAAACAGCCTGGGGCAGTGGGAGGTGATACTTTTTCACCTGTTCATTGATCAATTGAGGGAGTATTGATTTCCCCTTTCACAAACTTTGGGAATGAAATGCTTGAACATGATTAAAGCAAATATTTGCTCTGTATACACATACATGGACACTCCCTACTAAGCCCCTTATTACATAATAACTTTGGAAAATAATTATTTTCAGAAATGTTCACTTCCCATTGCGGGCCCTCCACTTGGCCTTGTTGATTTTCTTGGATATCTGTGCTGTGGACTACTTTCCTCTCAGCTGCTTATTTCTGACTGAATTCTGCTTTACTTTGGGAGCCCAAGGAATGGAATGAGTACGTGTATGTTGTACATATCCTCATTTCTTAATGTTTATTTTTAGTTTTTGAGGCAGGGTCTTGCTCTGTTGCCCAGGCTGGAGTGTAGTGGTGCAATCATGGCTCACTGCAGCCTCCACCTCCCAAGCTCAAGCGATCCTCCCACCTCAGCCCCCCGAGTAGCTGGGACTACAGGTGTGCATCACCATGCCTGGCTAATTTTTAATACTTTTTGTAGAGACAGGGTTTCGCCATGTTGCCCAGGCTGGTCTTGAACTCCCGAGTTCAAGCAATCTGCCTGCCTTGGCTTTCCAAAGTGTTGGGATTACAGGCATGGCGCTCCCGGCCTCTTAATGTTTATTAACTCTGCTTAGGTGTCCTTGAATCTGCTGTAGAAGGAAATGGCAGAAGTCAAGGTTTTATATGATGTTTTCTTGGAATACAAGTTCTCTAAAGGATTATAGTGCAAATGAATTTGAAGGTGGATATGCACTGCCTGAGGTGGTCTTTCCGGAGGCAGCTGAATTCCTCCTGCATCTAGTCACTGTGCTATGGGTCAGTATTTATAGATCTGGACCACAGAGACTGGGAATGGAATTGGGTTTGTGCTTTGTATTTGGTTTTCTTTCTGGCATCCCTACTTAACAGATCTCAGTCATCCTCACGGAATTAAGTTCCATGGAGAGGATCTTGGCACCCAGTCATCTGCTAAATCCTGCCTGTCCATTTGGCTCATCGCCTGCCTTAGGGATTGGATGCCTGGGCTGGCTTTCTGCTTCCTGTGCCCTGCAAGACACTCTGTTGCTGGGAGTCAAAGATCTCTCACCACAGGGTGTCGCTGCTGAGCTAGGCTGCCTCGCATACAGGACCCTAGAACTATAAAGTTGTTCTTCAGAGATTTAATTTTTTTCTGTCTATATCAGTTTCACATAGTATAATTTTATAGTTTTCCATTATATTGGTGGCACTTTCTTTTGGGTCTGCAGAAATTATTTCAATGTCCCAGTTAATAATATTCATCTTTCATTCAACGTTTACTGTGTCCTAGGTACTATTATAGTATGGGATATGAAAGAACAAAATAAATATGCTAGTTATCTAAATAGTTTTACTGCGTACCAGCTGTGTTTACACAGTTTGGTGCCTTGACACTTGCTCTTTATGACGAATAGCGCAGAAGATTTATGTGCTTCTCCGTTACTGTGATATAACTGGAAAGAATAGTAGCAAGACCCAAAGAGAAAAAACACTCGCCTCAGCGACGGTCAGCCCTTGGCATTTGGGAAGGATGTGCTCGGAGACCTTCATCGACACCCAGACACCATGGTAGCGTGTGATTCCCACTATAAAACCCAGTCATGTGTGGCTCCATCAGTGTCACTGTGCACGATACCAAGAGGAAGCAGGGCTTGGCTGAGATGCAGGCTGTGGGCGGCTGAGCTGGGCTTCCTCCGACCAAGGCTTTCACGTTTAATTGAACCTCCCAGGAGCAGGATTGAAATTTGGGTCTCAGCAAAATGACAAAAAGTTAAACCATAAAACAAACACACAAACACACGTTTACCACACACCTATCTCCGTAGAAAGAAGACTGGGCCAGGTGCAGTGGCTCAAGCCTGTAATCCCAATGCCTTGGGAGGCTGAGGCAGGTGGATCGCTCAAGCCCAGGAATTCGAGACCAGCCTGGGCAACCTGGCAGAATTTCGTATTCTTTACAGAAGATACAAAAATTAGCCAGGCATGGTGGCGCATACCTGTAGTCCTAGCTACTCGGGAGGCTGAGGCAGGAGGATTGCCTGAGCCAGGGAGGTTGAGGCTGTAGTGAGCTATGATTGTGCCACTGCACTCCAGCCTGGGCAACAGAGTGAGACCCTGTCTCAAAAAAAAAAAAAAAAAAAGGAAACAAGACTGGAAGGAAATCTGGTATATATGGGACTTATTTGTGGTGGAGTGCTTAAGGGTGATTTTAATAATCTTTTAAAACTTTCTCTGTATTTTCCAAATTTTCTATAATGATTATATATATAATAAGCCAAATTAGTTATTAGTTATTTTATAATGAGCCAAATTGGTTATTTGTTATGAGTTATTTTATAATGAGCCAAATTAGTTATTAAAAACTAAAAACAAATGACTGCGTGTCATTGGACTTTGAAGGCATCTCACACATGGTCACACTTGAATGTTAAAAGGCAGGGAATCTCATAGGTGTTGATACTTTGGTTAATATTAATATTTGACATATTATTTAGAAAGGGTTCGCTCTGATAGTAAAACACGTGACTCTTGTTCATGGCCTGTGGCAGCTGTGACTTCCAGGGTTAACTGTGAGCTCTGAGTTGGTGTGTGGGGGCCTCCGAGCTGAAGCTGTCCCTTTGCTTCTGTGGGTGGAAGGTACCCCTGGGTGCCCTACCCCTGCTTGGATGTTCCAGTTTCTTGGCAGAGCCCTTTGAACTGTTTCTCCAAGACCATATATATGGGGACCTCTCCATGGCTTCCTCTCTGCAGATGTTGGTGGGTGAGAGACTGATACACCACATGGCTCACTGTGGGGTGTCCGGGGTGCGATCACCTGGTGGCCACCACATCTTCCCGCCACCAGTGGGTGACAGGCAGTCAGCAGCAATACATCTTTACTGTGCTGGGACATGAATGTTTTTGAGAAACACTGATTTTATAGAAGAAACATAATCCTTTCCCTTACAGAACACCAGAAAAAACATAATTCTTTTATATTTTATAGAAACATTTTAATAGATTTTATTTTCTATCGAATCTGATGTTCTAGAGAAAATGTAATTCTTTCCCAGTTGAGAAGCTAGCTGCCTTGTTTCTGTTTCTCTGGGTTCCATTTTCCTTTTTATCTCTGCCAGAGCAATGGCAGAAAGAAAGCACAGGCTGCCACGCTCTGCAGGGTCTCACTGGGAGGGGCAGCTGGCGGGTTAGGACCGGCTGGGACCTGAATCTGTGTGTGGGGCAGAGCCAGCCCCCCACCCTCCACCCCTGCAGAGTTGCCTGCCAGTGGACCCCTTTTGGTCCCCCCAGTGAGTCCAGAGGAAGCAGAAGAAGGTGGGATGTGCCACCCCTAGGAAGGTCGGCACCTTTACCTTGGGGAACTGGACGTGCTGCCCCCAGGAAGGTCGGCACCTTTACCTTGGGGAACTAGAGAGCTTGTGCATTGCTCCCGTAGCCTGGGACATCTGCTTAGGATCTGGGGAGCACAAGAATTTTTCCAAAATGAAAAAGCTTGGGAACCTTGTGGGTGTTCATCGTGGCCAACGGTGGCTAACAGTGTGTAGGTGACCTGAGAAACACAAGCCGGCTGGACTCTTAGCAGGGGTCCTGTGTCCAGCTGGGATCAAGATGTAGCTGTCACAAGAAGTGACAACTGGGTTTGTTACTGAAATGATCGGGCAAAATCACCATGAGGTGTGTTTGTGTGATTTTGGTAGTGGGGAGTTATGGAATGGGTAATACGTACTTAAAAACAGAAACTAGTTATGACATTTCATTTTGATTTAACCCCAAATTTTTACTGTGAAACTTTTTCCCCCCATAAAAAGCAGGTTTTGTTGGTAAGGATAGTTTAGATACTTGTAAACATATCAAAAAACGGGTACAGGCCCTTCTACTCCGGGAAGTCCTTTATGTTACTTTTTTTTAAATTGTATATATTTAAGGTATGCAGCATGATGATTTGATATACATGAACATACTGAGATGGAGCTGCTTTTCAGACGTTGATAGCTTTATGAAGAAACTTAGACTCAGTCATACATACCACACAGTTGTTCCTCCTTCTCTAACTGGCCCCTTCATGTAGCAAACATCTGTGTGCCTACTAAGTACAAGCCCTTGCTGCAGAAGTTTCTGGAAAACGAGGGATAATTCCTCGTCTTTGTGGCATGCGTTCTAGTTAACCAAGCTTTTTTACCTGTGTCGCCATCTCATTTGGGTCTCATAGTGACCCTGATAAGTAGGGCAGGGCGGGGAAGGAGTCCTTGCCCCCGGGAGAGGAAGCTGGCGTACAGGACAGTGAAGAGGCTTATGTATTTTTCGTTTCTGTTGTTTTTCTTTTTGAGATGGAGTCTTGCTCTTGTCGCCTAGGCTGGAGTGCAGTGGTGCAATCTCTGCTCACTGCAGCCTCTGCTTCCTGGGTTCAAGCGATTCTCCTGCCTCAGCCTCCCAAGTAGCTGGGGTTACAGGTGCCCATCACCATGCCTGGCTAATTTTTGTATTTTTAGTAGAGACAGGGTTTCACCATGTTAGTCAGGCTGGTCTCAAACTCCTGACCTCAGGTCATCCACCTGCCTCAGCCCCGCAAAGTGCTGGGATTACAGGCATGAGCCACTGCACCTGGCTTAATGTATTTTTCTAATGAGTTAATTAGAATTCTCCACTAAAAAAAATCTTTGCCTGCCATTTTTTAACATAGTACTTGATGTGGAGTCCTCCCCTTCTCCTATTTTTAATCCTAGTTCTGAGTCTCGAATGTATAGATAGGGCGAAGCTTTGGGCATAACTTTAAAATACAGCTTAAAAATAATTTTTAGAGATCCAAATTAGAGAGGAAGTCAGAATTCCAGGTGCACCTTGAATAGCTTTTGACATGTGGCTGCTGTGGTCTTGTGCGGCTGTTTTACAATACGGCACCGGCTAAAGGCAGCTAGCAGATTAAAGCAAACATTTAAAAGCTTTTATAGCTATGAATGCTTTTAAGGGTCTTTCATATACCTCTTTCTCTCGTTTCTTTCTTCCTTCGCCCTTCACCTACGCTGGAAATTTTTTGTTCATTTTGACTGACTTCCTGTTATCAAACATAATACCCATGGCAAAAGGTGACATGATGGGTTTTGATGTTGAATTGCAAAAGAAATCATACTTGGGGGGTTTTCCTGTGCTCCCTTTAGAATGTTTTATTTTTGTGGGAAGAAGGCTTTTCAGCTACTGTGTGTCCTGTCTTTTTACTTGAATCTTGTTTCCACAAGTGTGCCTCAAAGCAGCGCCTGCAGAGTAAATACCCGGGGCAGAGATGTGTGCTTGTGGGAAATCTGCACAAACGCTTTTGTTGTTTTCCACGTTTAATTAGTTTTGTGATGATTCTGGCTTCTGTGCGTTGCGGTCTTTGCTGTCTGGCCTGGTGAAGGGGTGATAAGGTCTCTGAGGCCGAGGGAACATTCCCGCTCAGCACTTTCCTTCTTGGGATAGCATCCCGTCTAAGAAGCGTGGTTTTCTTTCCTCCGTCTATTTATATCCACCGTTTATGCAGTCACAAACTTGTGGATGGGAAACGGCCTCTTTTGGAATAAAAAAAATCCTCCAAGACCACATGCTTTTTGTCTCCTACCCGGGCTTCCTAATAGCTGCCATGTGTGAGCGGGTATGGATTCTGGCCTCACCTCCCAGGGAAGTCGGTGGAGGCTGTCTCCAGAAGGGCTTAGAACATTCTCACACGCGGATTTTTGTCTCCCAGTTCAAAAAACACATCCCAGGAATAAGCCCATACTGGTGCCGGGTTAGAGAGCATGATCAAAGGGCTCCTGTGGTCAGGTGCAGGGCCAAGGACCAGAGCTGGCGGTGGGTGCGGCGGTGGGGCGCCCGGCGATGACGGAACCGTTGAGTCTGGCGCTCCCGGGCCGCGGAGCTGGTGGTGTCAGCTCAGGAATGTCGGGGTCTGAGACCCGAATCCCATTTGATAAATGTTCTCCTTCAGTTCTTGGGATGTGAATTATAGCTGGGGAGCACATTTTGTTTCCATGCATGCTAATGATTTGAGAATGCCGCCTGGAGATTTGCACTGACTGTCTTGGAAAAATGTTTATAGTGTTTCGGGGGTTTCAAAACTGACAGGCAGTTTGTGGACCTGAGTGGTGTTTAATCCCCCATTTCCCCCACCTGAGTGGTAAGGGGAGAAACAACTTGGGGTGCAAGGAGAGCGCTCCTGTGCTGGAGCTCGGCCGATGCTGGGCAGCACCAGGAGGATTTTGCGGGCTTCCTCGTGAAAGCAGGAAGACTCAGCCAAGGTTAGTCCGTCTGTCGGTCCCTCAGGCACTTTCTCCTGGAGATAAGAAGGGAAGACTCCTTTTTTCTGAGAGATCTTCCTAATTTGTTTGTTTTGTTGTAGCTGCCTGTGTATGGCTGCGTCTCCCCAGGTACAGCATGCCGAGTTTGGCCACACAGCTATCCAGGTACTACCATGTTTCCAGTACAATTCTACATTATCCCTCTGCTGGTGTCGTGGGTCTTTTCTTTCTTAAAATGTTTTTAGGCTTTGGTTTAATAATAGAATCAGTGGAAGGAATATTGGAGTTTCTGTTCCGTAACATACACATATATCAAAGCATCATGTGGTATACCAGAAATGTACATACTTTTTACTTGTCAATTAAAATAAATATTTTTTTCTAAAAAGGAGATATTGGAGTTAAAGACTATGATTTCAATTCTCATTGATCATTGGAGCTACTGTCCTTTACAAAAAAATTCTATAACTCAAATTTTATTTCGTGAATTGAGGAACGTGGCTTTAATTTAAAAAAACAGAGTCTTTTAATCGATACTTTTAAGGGTATTTGAGTTTTTAAAATTTCAACCATATGAATACATATTATGATAATATATATGCATATACATTTATATATTTATTTATTTAAGTGCATATGTCTGTTTTAACCAGAACTACAGAAAAACTTAAGATTGCTGAGATAGAACGTGCCTTTGTGGAGTGGTCATTTCTCCCAGAGAGTGAGAGAAGACTTAGAGTAGCGGGTCTGGAGATTTCTGGTAAAAGGGAAATGCACTTTCCCTTGACACGAGGTTCACAGCACAATTTTGTTGTGTAGGTGTTTGTGTCTCTGGTGGGTCTCTGGCATGTGTGTCTGAGTGCAGGGGACAGGGGCTCTGGGTGAAGAGGAGGGCTGCTTTGGCACTGTGCTGCTGCGCCTCCGAGGCTGAGATTCAGATTCTAGGTGTGAGCGAAAGGAGAACAGCGTTGCCCATCAGCAGTCAGCTAGATCGCTGGGTCCTGAACATGCGTATCATAGGACCATTGTCAGTTTCACCCACCATGAGGCTTTCCTGAGCCACTGGTCTATAAAAACTTTTAGTTTAATTCAACCTGCCTCCTACATGCATTAAGGAAAAGTTTAGAAAATTAAAATTAAAGTTGAAAGTGAATATTCTTTTTTCTTTTTCTTTGAGACAGAGTCTCACTCTTACCCAGGCTGGAGTGCAGTGGCACGATCTCGGCTCACTGCAACCTCCACCTCCCGGGTTCAAGCGATTCTCCTGCCTCAGCCTCCTGAGTAGCTGGAATTATAGGCACACACCACCACGCCCAGCTAGTTTTTGTATTTTTAGTAGAGACGGGGTTTCACCATGTTGGTCAGGCTGGTCTTGGACTCCTGACCTTGTGATCCGCCTGCCTCGGCTCCCCAAAGTGCTGGGATTACAGGCGTGAGCCACTGTGCCCGGCTGAAAGTGAATATTCTTCTCAGAAAACTTACTGAGTTTGCTTTTGTATGCCCTAGGTAAACATTTGGTAAGTTGCTCTCTTCTCTGAACAAAAATGAATCCTACGTAGAGTAGTTCACTGAAGAGTGATTGAATGATGGCACCACTGATCCCTCTTCCTGTTTTTAATTTCCGTAAATAAGAAAATACACCTTTTAAAAGAAACATCAAACAGTAGTTTCATAAATTAAAAAATGATGGTTAATTTGGGGGTGGGGGGATAGCCAGACTCTGCCTAGGATTGTCTAGATTACTTTTCATAGGCAACCTTGATGCATTTCAGGATTTAAGTTTTTCTGTAGCTTTTTAGTTAATAAAATGCTTTAAAGGTCAAAGGTCTATAATTTTGAAGGTTTTGCTCTGTGTATTTTTTCCTTCTGTGATGTTGGGGTTAGGTGTAGTGTCTCAGATTGGCCAAATGAGTTTTTCTTGGTAGACGGCTTTAAAAATTTTTTTTAATTTTAATTTAATAGGTACATAGTAGGTGTATACATTTATGGGATGCATGAGATGCTTTGATACAGGCGTGCTGTGCATAATAATCACATCATATAAAATGGGGTACCTATCTTCTCAAGCATTTATCCTTTATATTACAAACAAATTATATTATTTTAGTTATTTGAGCATGTACAGTTAAATTATTATTAACTGTAGTCACCCTGTTGTGCTATCAAATACTAGGTCTTATTCGTTCTTTTTATTTATTTTTATTTTTTGCATCCATTAACCATTCCCATCTCTGCCCCACCTTCCCACTAGGGTGGGTGTCTTTTTTTTTTTTTCTTTTTTCTTGAGACAGGGTCTCGTTCTGTCACTCAGGTTGGAGTGCAGTGGCATGATCATGGCTCACTGCAGCCTTGAACTCCTGAGCTCAGGTAATCTCCCACCTCAGCCTCCCAAGCAGCGGGGACTACAGGCACATATCGCCATACCTGGCTATTTTACTTTTGTGTTTTGTAGAGATGGAGTCTTACTTTTTGCCCAAACTGGTCTCAAATTTCTGGGCTCAGACAATTCTTCCGCCTCAGCTTCCCAAAGTACTTGGCCTCACAGGTATGAGCTACCGTGCCTGGTGCGTCACCAAATTCTCATGACCAAACCCTTCTCTGTTCTGTTGGGAGGGAGGGTAGACAAGATGACCTTTCTCATCCTTTGCAGGACTCTCTGCAGTATTTATGCTGGTCTTGGCAAAGCAAGTAGACTAAAAAAAATTTTTTTTAACTTTTTAAGCAGTTCCTTTGAATGCATTCTTTTCTAAGAATTTGTGATTATTACCATTTTCATCTTTATATTGGAACAAGTTAAAATCATAGATACATCTTCACAGTTAATTTCAGCACAATGAAATAATGTTTTGCTATCTGCTTTATTTTTATTTATTTCAGGCTAATTCTCTAATTTTACTGTTAATTTAAGAATTATCAATACACTATATAGCAGCCTCAGATTTACAAAGAAATTGTGTTTTCAAAATTTGTGTGCTAACTTGTCTTTTAACAATTTGGTCCCCATTATTTATGACAGTTGGGTTTTCCTAGCATCTCACGTATGTCCTCTTGCCCCATACTGCAATTAAACCATGGGAAACCGTCTTATCTGTTTCTGTGTCACATTCTGGCTTGCTGGAGCACGTATGCAGTGGGAACACTTTGAGCATCTCTTTCTACTTCTCCATCGTTCAACTCAGGACATAACAACCATATCTCGGACATTGCTCAAAAACGTTAAATTGGATACCTAGCAATACCATGGCATATGACTTAATTAATTTGCCTCGGTAGGTTAATACTTCTCTTATATTTAAGAAAACTTTTTTTCTTTCAAAGTAACTGTTGAACTTTACACACAAGTAAAAGCAAACATTTCATAGAAAATTTCAAATATGCAAAAGTAAATATAAATAATGAGTGAATTCTTCTGTACTCATCACTCTCTTTCACAGTTATCCATTTATGGCCAATCTTATTTCACTTCTTTCTACCCACTTCTCTGCCAGTATTATTTGGAAGGAATTCCCAGATACTGTTTCAGTTTTCTCATCTGCAAATATTTTAGTATGTGTCTCTGAAAGATGCGAGCTCTGTTTAAAAACATAATCACAATTCCACCGTCATACCTAAAATGAAACAATCTCTTCATATAATCTCATGTCCAGTCAGCCTTCCAGTTTCCAATTAGACATATTTAAAGATGGACTGTAGTATCTGTGCATTGTGTATAATAAGCACATGTGTATGATGAGCACGTTGGTCCTGTTGCAAAACAAATGTGAGAGAGAAACAACTGATGTTAACCCCTGTAACTTTTAGGGCAAAGTTGATTTCTGTGTCCTTGTTGAATGCCACATTTTAGCCCCCATTACAAGGCCATTCTGCAAATAGCAGCAAGTCGCCAATTGGAATAATATGCAGAAGAACCCTGAATGTTGAAATATGGGGGTTTTGTTCCAACTCTTACTCTTTCAGAACTAAACATGAGTTCCTCACCCTCTCTTTTCTGCATGCTAAGTCCTGGGTCTCTTTAGCAGGGACGGTATTGATTTTTGTTCTGTATGCTTTCAGCTCGGGTTGATGTTTAGCCTTTGACCCAGCCACTTTCTTACAATAAACAGTTTGTTGATGAGAGCAGCTGCTCAGCAGATTGTTTCCAGATTGTTCTCTGACAGCTGAGGACAGAGTGCACCTTACGAAGAAGTTGGCTTGAAGCTGATGGCGTCTCCTTCTTACCCTCTCTGCCTTTGAAGCCAACTGTCAGCCTCTGATCATTCCTCTATTTATATCCAGTGAAATGGTGTGAATCTGTGGCACTAGAAATCAGGCCTCACCTACAATCCTGAATATTTAATTTTGTTCTCTGAATGAATGGTTGCAGCATTTTCTAGAAGTTTCTGCCATATGGAGCAATTCCTTACTTTGCAGGAAGAATTTCCGGCACTCAGTACATAGGAGTTAGTGTACCATGGGGTGCTATGTAAGAAAGCAGACAGGCTGGGCTTTATTTTGTTCAGGAATCTGTGCTCCTTGAATATTTAAAGGCTTTCTATGCAAGTAAGGAATGAGATTACTTTCAAACTGAGTATGTATTATCTGCCTTGTGACTTGAGCCCTTTTAAAACAGTTCTCTTTATTTATTTTTCTACTTTTGAAAGAGAGTACTTCATTTTTTTTTTTTTTTAATGCAAGAGACAGATCATCCAATGACTTGGTGATTTACGTGGTCCAAAGTCACACCTTCGTTTGGATTTCTGCAGCTTCCCCAGTCACCTCCAGCTGTTACCTAGAATGGCCTGTCTGCTTGCAGCGACCTTCATTAAGAAGGGAAGGTCCGAGCTTTCAGCATGAGAGCCAACACTTTTTACTAAACTGGCCACCAGAGGCTGCTGTCAGAATGGTGAGGCTGAGCTCACCTCCCCGGAGGCAAGTTTACTTTTTCTACAACCAGTAAATTTTGTTAAGCTACCAATCCTGGTTTCAAAACTCAGGTCTCACTACACAGCCTCCAGTCACCAAGCATGCTTACGGCTGTAGCCCTTACAGCCAGGTATGACGTAGGAACTGGACAAAATTCAAGACCTAAGATTAAGACTTGTGTGTTTTTCATTCGGTGCCAATAAGCTGTTATTAATGCACTGATTCTGCATATACTGAACAGCTTCATGAAACGCACTGGGGTTTGTACTCGGGGAAAGTGCGCCCTGCATTTGGGCTGTACAAGATCTGGGTCTGTGGAGGGATGGCTCCATGAGGATGGAAATCTGTGGTTTTTCAGGGAGGTGTTCTTGCCTCAGAATGGTTCAGCAGCCCTTCCCCGGCAAAGGCAGCATGAAGGCTTGTTCAGATCAAAAGCTAAAAGGTGTTCTTCATTGCTGTTTTGCTTTTTGATTCTTTATGAAGGCTGTTTCTTTGATGATTCCACGATTAACAGCAGAACAAAAATCTACAGATCATGTAGGAGCTGGCAGGGCCTTTCAAGCTTCTGGGGAAAATCCTTTATTTCTCCCCCAATTTTTTGTTAAAAAAAATTGGAACTGAAGAAAAGGTAAAAGAGTCATACACCAACCCTATAAGCCCTGTGGAGCCTTCACCCAGATTTACCACTGGTGAACCTTTTGCCACATTTTCCTGATAAAGAGGGCCTTTTGTTTTTGTTTTGAAGATGCAAATGTTACTTCCTTTAAGTAAACCACAAAGCCCAGACCCTATTGTGGGTTGTTTCTAAGAGTGAGAGGCTTTGACATCTTTGCTTCCAGGAGAACGGCTCTAGTTTCTACTTGGCCCGGGGAGTATTTGTTTTATTTGAAGTAAAAGCAGTAGCCTACTAGTTTGTGATGGTTCCGTATGGCTGTGTATCACCCTACAGGGTTGAGGGGGATATTCCATCTTCATATGAACCAGCATTTATAAAGCACATGTGTATAAAGTTCTTAGAGTAGTAAGATTTTAAGTTTTAAATTGGTCAGGTGCAGCGGCTCATGCCCGTAATCTCAGCACTTCGGGAGGCTGAGGTGGGAGGATCGCTTGAGTCCAGGTGTTGAAGACCAGGTTGGGCAACACAGCGAGACTCCACCTCTACAAAAGATAAAAAAAAAAAAAAAAAAAAAAAAAAATTAGCTAGGCATGATGGTGTGCACCTATAATCCCAGCTACTTGGGAGGCTGAGATGAGAGGTTCTCTTGAGCCCGGGAGTTGAGTTTGTGATCGCGCCACTGCACTCCAGCCTGAGGAACATGTTGAGCAAGCAAGACCCTATCTCTTAAAAGAAAAGTCTTAAATTACAGAACATAAAAAAATCTTACAGCCGGATGCTATGAGGACAGATAGTTGATCTTTTATACTCAACAAAGGGATTCTACCCCTCTGATCTAGGAAAATTCCACTGATGATCATGTCACGGGTATAGGATTTGAATTTTTTCTTGCAATTTCCTAACCCAAGTATCGTGACTTGGAACCTTAGATCTAGTCACTTCCATAAGATTTTTTTTAGGTGGTTTGTATAAGTGCTATTGTTGTATTATTTGTATAAATATCTGTTTTCCCCATTAAACTGTCATGCAAGCTGATTTGAAAGCAAGGACCATATGTTGTTAATCTTTGTATCCCTTTCCCAGTATTTTGCTTATAGTAGACATTTAGTAAGCACATTTTATTTGGACACTTGCAAAGTGTTTTGGTTTTTCCCCCTAATGGATTGGGAGCTGCTTCCTTGGCTCCTGTGCACCGAGAGCCCCCAGAGACCCCAGGGACAGGCCGGCAGTGCACAGCCCTCTCTGCCCGAGCGGCTGCCCGCACAGTCCAGCTCTGTATTCTGGGAAAGCAGGATAAATAACCTAACAGGTTGTTAGGTTATTCTTAACAATCATGTTAAACAGTTTCTAGAAGAATCAGCTGTGGGCATGCCGGAGGAAACTGGCCAGATGGAGTTTCAGGGAAAAGTTGGAATTGTTTTGTGTGTTATTAAAAACACTTTTCAGTAGAAACTCTGCTTTTCTCCTATGAACGAATGCACCTTCTGAGCCGGAGCTTCTTAGACCGTGGCCTTGAGTGTGTGGGGTTAGACCCGCCCTCTCCTTGCACACGTAGGGCAGTGTTGGACGCCGCTCCCCTCTCTCCTGCCAGGCCTGGCCAGGTGTTATTCCCTGGGATTCTCTGAATGTTCCCAAGTGTCATGGTGACAGCCAGTTGGACCAGTGAACCTTTGCTAAGATAAGGTCCTGGAGCAGAAAGCTCTTGGCCTCTTGATATGGGGCCGCTTCTCTCTTTCCAGGTAACATATATTTTAACATAACATGATGTTAAAATTTCAACTGAGAATTAAACAGTGGAGGCTAAACATTGAATCTTGAAGCTCCGTTTTACCAGAGAGAGATGTTCTCGTTTTCTCGTTAGAAAAATGAAGAAGCTGCGGTCAGCCCAGGGAGTGCCTCTTGCGGCCTCACAGCTGATGGTGGCAGAGCTGAGGGCAGGATCCCATGCCAGAGTCCCCTGCCCCCACAAGAAGCCCAGGTGGGGCTGGCAGGTAACAGGCAAATAGCTGAGGATGGTGGGGCGGGGGGACATGTCAGCATCAGAAGGAAGGGAACGTGTGAATGGTCACGTTGGTGTGCATGTCGGCTAGGATGGGCACCTCTGGGTGCACCAGGCAGGGCTGCCTATGGGCCCCCAGGGCTCAGCCCCAGCGTTTTCCATGCCCTCCACCCCCACGCTGCCTGCTCTGTCAGAAGCCTGTTTGTGTTGGGCTGAGACAAATGGCGGGCGTTTTCCTTGGGCAGGCTTAATGAAGGCCCCAGAGACTCCTGTGGGTGTCGGTCCCGCACCCACGAGACCAGTGAGTGGAAGTTCGCGTCTCTCATTGTGGAGGCAGTGGCTGAGCTGCCCCATAGAGCCGCCCTCGCCGTTAGAGCCAACCCTGGCTTTCTCTTTGGTCTCTGCACTTGCAGAATAGATTCCGCTTCTACAGTGAGCCTGTTTGGCTTGGTGGAGGTGTGATGCCTATAAAACCAGCCTTATTAGAAATGACTTATTCACTCCCTGCTTTTACTGTTCTACTCAAGCCTTTTGTGGTCTTCGCTAGTTGGCAGGTAACAAAAAAATGCAGTAAATCCTGGGCCTTTCAGCGTCTGAGCCTGAGCTATCACTTTACATTATAAAAGGAAGACCGCTTAACAGACATTTATTGAGTGCCTACTGTGTCCCAGGCATTGGGGATCTAGAAAGCCCTGTGGCAAGTTCAGCCCTGGAGGAACTCATATTCCTGGGGGTTAGATAGCCAATGACATCAATCCTAAGTCCTTTGGAGTTGCTGAATCGATTTGGGCTCATCGCTAGATCAGGCTGTGTAGAAGTTCATGTTGTTGCTGGGACTAAGTCAGAGTTGTGCAGGGCTGGATGTGAGAGGGGACGCATAACCAGCAAGCCCACCCAGCCAGATGTGCTGGCCCCTGGACCGTTCACCTGTCGGCCCATCCCTGGGCTCCCGTGCTCCTAACTCTGGATGTTTCTCATCACTGGCTGCACTGGCAGGAGATTGATGGGCAGGATTTGAGAGAGGTCAAGGTATTAATATTATTTCCCATTAGCAGCTCCCCCTCTTGCTCCTTCAGTCCCTTGCTGGTTCCAAGTGCTTTGGCACCCCTTCCTTGTTCTTGGGTTCTCTTACCTCTGCCCACAGTCCTTCCATTACAGAACCCTTGTGAATATGACACCTCTTTCCTGCAGAAACCAGATAGGGGTGAGGTCAGCAGTAGCTCACTTACATGATAAAACCTTTATTTCTTTGTGAAAGTGTCCTCTCACAGCCTTGTCTAAGTAGGCACAGCTAGTGGGTGGTAGCTTCAAGGTTCACATTCAAGTTTCTTTTTTTTTAAGATGGAGTCTTTGTTGCCCAGGCTGGAGTGTTGCAGTGGCCCACCATCTCGGCTCACTGCAACCTTCACTTCCTGGGTTTAAGTGAATCTTCTGCCTCAGCTTCCCAAGTAGCTGGGACTACAGGCACCCACCACCATGCCCTGCTAATTTTTGTATTTTTAGTAGAGACGGAGTTTCACGATGTTGGCCAGGCTGGTCTCAAACTCCTGGCCTCAGGTGATCTGCCTGCCTGGGCCTCCCAAATTGCTGGGATTACAGCGTGAGCCACCACACCCCGCCAAATTGAAGTTTTTCTTATCAAACACTCTGCTCCCACCCCTGCCCACTGCCCTTCTCCCTCCTACCCCACCCCCAGCTCTGAGCCATACACATCCATTTTATGTTTATTCATAGTTGCATATTGAGTTTATATCTTTGTGATACCATCAGCATTTTGATTATAGAAAATAGGCATTTCCTAATTTGCTGCATTTTGGGTTAGGTAGGTCTCTTTGTGAGGACCGTGGGATAGGAATTAGAGCAAGGATTTGGGAGCCAGACAGATTTGGTTTCATGGGTTCAAATTCCAGCTCTGCGGTATACTGCCTGTGTGGTTTGGGCAGTCGTTAATGCTGTCTGGGGTCCCATTTCTTCTGCTGTGGACGGTGCTAATGATGCAGAGGTGTCGCCTGGAAAGGACTGGGGATCTTGGGTCCACAGCACCCAGCAGTGCTTGGCAGTGGATGGATGTGCAGAAAGTGGTGGCTTTCATACTCTTGTTGTAGCTAAGTGGGTGCCTAAGCAGAACTTAAAATCATTTAGCTGGAGAAGTGGGTGGAAAGTCACCTTGGAAATGACTTTTGTTCTGAGAGGTCCTTTGAGTGGCCTCTCTTAGTGATACTCAGGGACAGCAAGGAGGGACCCAGAGGAGAGCACAGCGAGACCCCTCGGTTGCCTGTGCAAGCTGTCCCTTTGCTCCCCCTGGTCTGCAGGGCTAATTGATGGCAGGGGTTGGGGGGGGTGGCTAATTGCATAGAGGACAGGGAGCTTTGTGAGAGTAAAGGAACTGAGATCCTGACTCCTTCTCTCTCTCCCTTTCTCTCTTTAATGTGATAAAATATATATAAAATAAGTTTACTGTTAGAACCACCTTTAAGTCTCCGATTCAGTGGTGTAAATTACACCCACACTATTTTACAACCATTTTCACTCTATATTTCCAAAACTTTTTTTTTAAGCGTCCTAAATAGAAACTCTGTAACAGTGAATAAATAATTCCCCTTCCCCTCTCCCTGTGGCTCCTGGTAACCTCTGTTCTACTTTCCATTTTTATGAATTTTCCTATTCTGGATATTTCATACAAGTGACATCATACAATATTTGTCCTTTTGTGTCTGGCTTTTATTTAACTTAGTGTAATGTTTTCAAGGTCCATCCATGTTATAACATGTATCAGAACTTCATACCTTGTTTTTTTTTTTTGGCTGAATAATATCCCCTTAATTGTATATGCCACATTTTGTTTATCCATTTGTCTATTGAGGGACACCTGGGTTATTTCCAGCCTTGGCTGTTGTGAATAATGCTGCCATGATCATTGGCACACACATATCTGGGTCCCTGCTGTCAGTTCTTTTGGGTTTATACCTGGGAGTGGAATTGCTGGATCATGTATTAATTCTCTGTTTAATTTTTTTTTTTTTTTTTTGAGACGGAGTTTTGCTCTTGTTGCCCAGGCTGGAGTGCAATGGCATGATCTTGGCTCACTATAGCCTCCGCCTCCTGGGTTCAAGCGATTCTTCTGTCTCCGCCTCCCAAGTAGCTGAGATTACAGGTGCTCACCACCACGCCTGGCTAATTTTTGTATTTTTGGTAGAGACAGGGTTTCACCATGTTGGTCAGGCTGGTCTCAAACTTCTGACCTCAGGTGATCCACCCACCTCGGCCCCTCCCAAAGTGTTGGGAGTACAGGTGAGAGCCACCGCGCCCGGCCCTCTCTGTTTAATGTTTTTTTTTTTTTTTTTTTTTTTTGAGACGGAGTCTCGCTCTATCGCCCAGGCTGGAGTGCAGTGGCGCGATCTCGGCTCACTGCAAGCTCCGCCTCCCGAGTCCACACCATTCTCCTGCCTCAGCCTCCCAAGTAGCTGGGACTACAGGCACCTGCCACAACACCCGGTTAATTTTTTTTTTTGTATTTTTAGTAGATACGGGGTTTCACCGTGTTAGCCAGGATGGTCTCGATCTCCTTACCTTGTGATCCGCCCGCCTCAGCCTCCCAAAGTGCTGAGATTACGGGCATGAGCCACTGTGCCTGGCCTCTTGTTTAACTTTTTGAGGAACTACCAAAATAGTCCCCTTCTGTTCTGAGAGTCAGTGTCACTAGACTCAGTCTGGGGAGTTAAAATGGACCTAACTGGAAGGACGCATCATCAGGGCCCCAGAGAAGGATGGCTGGATGGGTTCCAGGCTTGCTGCTGGGGCTGAGACGAGTGGTCTCTAACCCAGAGGCCAGGGGAGGGGGCAGGAGAGGCAGCGCAGAGTGCAGCTGGCTGCTGGGGACACACAGGGCCAGCTGGAGCGCGTTCTCCACGGGATGAGGGTGGCTACTTGGCTGTAGCCCATTACTGCTGTGTGGAAAGAGTTGCTGCTGCTTCAAAAGAGGCAGGAAATTTGATATGAAATATCTCAATTTTTAAGTGTTGCAGCTGGTTCAAAATGTGGGCTAAATAAACCACATCTCCAGATTCATTTTGGCCCGAGGGTGTCCCTAAGTGACGGTCAGCCTGGATGTTTGTGAAAATGGACTGGTTTCAGCAAAGTAAGCCACTGGAAGGTGGAAGCCCTTCAGAGCCGTTCGCTTTTGTGTGCCGGTGCTTGGGGCTAGTGGCAGAACACAGGGTGGGAAGCAGGAAGCAGCAGTTTTGGGAACTCATGCCAGGGTGCAGTGCCGTGCAGCGTGGAACCTGGACAGGTCAGGCAGGGGTTGGTTAGACCACAGGGGACCAGTGTGGCTAGACAGAAGCTGCCGCATAAGGGACCAGGCTGGTGAGGAGGTGCACACACGCAGACACCCAGACAGGCATTTCGCAAACCTGCATGGAGCCTTGCTTTGCTTGGTACTGGCACGCTGAATAAACGCCCACCCCAAGGGTTGTCAGATGATCAATCCCTGCCTTAGATGAAGTCAGGAAAAAAAAATAGTCCTATTTCAGGAGCGCCATTTTTTTTTTTTTCCATACAGAGTCTTGCCCTGTCCCCCATGCTGGAGTGCAGTGGCGCGATCTCTGCTCACTGCACCCTCCACCTCCGGAGTTCAAGCGATTCTCTTGCCTCAGCCTCCCACGTAGCTGGGACTACAGGTGTCCATCACCACGCCTGGCTAATTTTTGTATTTTTTAGTAGAGATGGGGTTTCACCATGTTGGCCAGGCTGGTCTCAAACTCCTGACCTCAGGTGATCCACCCACCTCAGCCTCCCAAAGTGCCGGGATTACAGGCATTAGCCACTGCGCCCGGCCCAGGAGTGCCATCTTTTGATTATAAAGATTTGCTGTGCCATCTGGCTTTGTCCTGTGAGTGAAGACACCAAGCGAACATGAAATTGCGTGTGAGTATTTTGCGTGTCAAATACCAATAGTAAGAATTGGATTGCGTCATATAAATTCCATACGAGTAGACAAATATTTGCTTCTGCTTCCTTGAAAGTGTTTTAAGAATGAGACACCCATAAAAGGAGATTGCGTACCATGTCTTTGATGATTCATTTTCTGATTAACTCACTTCTGGCTGCCTAGCAACTTACGATGTTATGACTGAAGCACAACTAATCTTATTATTTGCAATGAGGCAAATGTGTCTCTGAGATAGAAAACCTTTATGGGTTAAGATCAATTATTTGGTGTTTCTTGGGAAAAGAAGCTCCAAAACATACATGGAGATCATAAGAAATATTTTGAATTCAACACTGAATCTTGTTAGCTGGGTAAATTTAGCAGATAAGACAAGTAACAGGGGTGGAACCGCTCTAAAGTGATGTGGCCCACACCTGTAAACCCAGCACTTTGGGAGTCTGAGGTGGGAGGATTGCTTGAGCCCAGGAGTTCAAGGTTACAGTGATCTATGATCACGTCATTGCACTCCAGCCTGGGCAACAAAGCAAGACGCTGCCTCCAATCAATAAATAAAGTGGCGAGACACAGTATAACATGGGTTTCTGATCTTAATTGCACTCTGTCTGTAGCAGATGCTGCAATATGTTTACCCACCATAGAGTAGTCACTTCTGTGAATTTGCACTAGATACAGATTCAAGCATTCACTCTCTTTAGAAGTGGAGATATTGGTGTTATTTGGACGTTAGTGAATATGGAGTCTCCTGGGCCTTAGTATTGTTTAATGTTGCATAGGTTTGTTGCTGTTTGCTTTTTTAAAAAATCAACTTTATTTAGTTATGATTTATATTCAAGAAAATGCACCCATTTTAGTGTACAGTTTGATAAATGTTTTACATGTAACTACCTTTACAATCAAGACACAGAACATTTCCAGTATTCCGAAAGATTCCTTTGTTACCTTTCTTTTTTTTGAGATGGAGTCTCGCTCTGTTGCCCAGGCTGGAGTGCAGTGGCGCGATCTAGGCTCACTGCAAACTCCGCTTCCGAGGTTCATGCCATTCTGCTGCCTCAGTCTCCCTCAGTAGCTGGGACTACAGGCACCTGCCACCACGCCCGGCTAATTTTTTGTCTTTTTTTGGTAGAGGTGGAGTTTCACCGTGTTAGCCAGGATGGTCTCGATCTCCTGACCTTGTGATCCGCCCGCCTCAGCCTCCCAAAGTGCTAGGATTACAGGCGTGAGCCACTGCCTTTGTTACTTTTCTTAATCAGTTCTCATGCGCTCATCCACCCCTAAGCCTGGAGCCTCAGGAGATCACTGATATACTGTCTATCACTAGATGATTAGATTGGCCTTTTCTGAAACGTCATCTAAGTGGAATCATATAGTGTACTGGATACCCTTCTTTTTTTTGATCAGTGTTATGTTTTTGAGACTTGTCCTTATTGCATGTGTGGGTAGCCCATTACTTTTTATTCCTGAGTAGTATTCCATTGTATGGATATGCTGTCATTTATGGCTGTTTTGAGTAAAGCTGCTATGAACATCCACATACAGGTCTTTGTGTGGACATGTGTTTTCATTTCTTTTGGGTAAATACCTAGGAGTAGAATTTCTCGGTCATATGAGAAGTGTGTGTTTAACTTTACAAGAAACTGCCAACTGTTTTTCAAAACCATTGTACCATTTTACATTCCCACCAGTAGGGCATGAGAGTTCTAGTTACTCCACATCTTTGCCAACCATTGTAAAGTGTCAGATTCTTTTTTTTTTTTTTTAAGAGACAGGATCTTGCTCTGTTGCCCAGGCTGTCAGTGCAGTGGCACAGTCATGGCTCACTGCAGCCTTGAATTCCTGGGCTCAAGTGATCCTGCCACCTCAACCTCCTGAATAGCTGGGATATAGGTGTGTACGACCACTCTTGACTAGTTTTGTTTTTTTATTTTTTGTAGAGACTGGGTGTCACTGTGTTGCTTAGGCTGGTCTCAGATTCCTGGGCTCAAGCAATCCTCTTGCCTCAGCCTCCCAGAATGCTGGGATTACAGATATGAGCCACTGTGGCCGGCCAGAATGTTTTTTTTTTTCTTTTTCTTTTTTTTTGGAGACAGGGTCTTGCTCTGTTGTTCAGGCTAGAATGCAGTGGTGTGCTCACAGCTCATTGCAGGCCCAAATTCCTGGGCTTAAAATAGTTTTTTAATTTTAACCATTCAGGTGGATGTATAGTGGTATCTAATTGTGGTTTTAATTTGCATTTTCCTGTTGCCAAATGGTGCCAAGCATTTCTTCATGTGCTTATTGGCGATCCGATATTTTCTTTTGGGCAGTGTCTATTCAGCTCTTTTGCTCAGGCTTTAAGTTGAATTGTTTGTTTTCTTACAATTTTAAGACTTCTTTTTTATATTCCGGATACAAGTCCTTTGTCTGATATAAGTATTGAGAATAATTTCTCCCAGTTTGTTGTTTGTCTTTTCACTGTTCTTAGCATTATCTCTCTTTCCCTTTCTCTCTCTTTTTTTTTGAGATGGAGTCTCGCTCTGTCGCCCAGGCTGGAGTGCGCATGATCTCAACTTACTGCAACCTCCGCCTCCTGGGTTGAAGCAATTCTGCTGCCTCAGCCTCCTAAGTAGCTGGGATTACAGGTTCATGCCACCATGCCTGGCTAATTTTTGTATTTTTAGTAGAGATGGGGTTTCACCATGTTGGCCAGGCTGGTCTCAAACTGCTGACCTCAGGTGATCCACCCACCTCAGCCTCCCAAAGTTCTGGGATTACAGGTGTGGGCTACCATGTCTGGCCAGCATTATCTCTTCAAGAACAGCAGTTGTTAATATTCTTAATTTTTATAAAGTCCAGCTTATCACTTTTTTCCTTTTATGGTTCATGCTTATTTTGTTCCATCTGAAAAAAACTTTACCTACCCAAAGTCAGAAAGGTTTTCTCCTGTATTTTATTTTAGAAGGTTTGTAGTTTTACATTTAGGTCTATGATTTATTTCAAGTTAATTTTTATATACATGTGAGATAGAGATCAAGGTTTCATATTCTTGCATATGAATGTTTGTTTCAGCACCATGTATTGCAAAGATTATCATTTTTCAAGTCAGTTATCTTGGGCACTGTTGTCAAAAATCAATCAAACAGGCCAAGGTGGGAGGTTGGCTTGAGCTCAGGAATTTGAGGCTGCAGTGAGCTGTAATCACACCACTGCACTCCCCACTGGGTGGTAGCGCAAGACGCTGTCTCAAAAAAATTAAAAAAAATCAATCACACTTATATGTTTGGCCCTATTTCTGTACCCTATTCTGTGCCAGTAATCTATACCTATCTCTGTGTGCCAATACCACACCGTCTTGATATACTGCAACTTTATAGTAAGTCTTGAAAGCAGATAATGTAGGTTTTCCAACTTTTTGTTCCTTCCCAAAATTGTTTTGACCATTTAAAATAGTTTCTATTTTCAGCTTGTTAATTTCTACAAAAAAAAAAAAAAAAAGCCTTCTGGGATTTTGACTGGGATTACATTGAACCCATAGATTAATTTGAAGAATTGACATCTTAACAGTGTTAGTCTTCTGATCCATGAACATGGTGTATCTTTTCAGTTATTTACAGCCTCTTTAATTTTCTTTTTGTGTTTTTGAGATGGGGTCTCGCTCTGTCGCTTAGACTGGAGTGCAGTGGTGCCATCATGGCTTGTTGCAGCCTAGCTCCTGGGCTCAAGTGATCCTCTCACCTCAGCCTCCTGACTAGCTGGGACTACAGGTGCATGCCACCACACCCAGCTAATTAAAGAAAAACTCTTTTTTTTAGACATGAGGTCTTTCCATGTTGCCCAAGCTGGTGTCAAATTCCTGGGCTCAAGTGATCCTCCATACTCAGCCTTCCAAAGTGCTGGGATTACGAGTATGAGTTATGATGCTCAGACATCTTTAATTTTTAATTCAGGAGTGTTTTGTAGTTTTCAGTAAACAGGTCTGGCACATATTTTGTTAAATATGTCCCTAAATATTTCAGATCTATTGATGCCATTAAAATGATATTTTAAAGAAGTTCAGGCTCCAAATATTTATTGTTAGTATATGGAAATGCACCCAATTTTTGTTTTGTTTTTTTTTTTTTTTGAGATGGAGTCTCACTCTGTTGCCCAGCCTGGAGTGCAATGGTACAATCTTAGGTCACTGCAACCTCTGCCTCCCAGGTTCAAGTGATTCTCGTGTCTCAGCCTCCCAAGTACCTGAGATTATAGGTGTGTGCCACCACACCCGGCTAATTTTGTATTTTTGTAGAAGTGGGGTTTCACCATGTTGGCCAGGCTGGTCTTGAACTCCTGACCTCAAGTGATCCACCCACTTTGGCCTCCCAAAGGGCTGGGATTACAGACGTGAGCCACTGTGCCCAGCCAATTTTTGTATATTGACCTTGTATCCCACAACCTTGCTAAACTCACTTATTAGTTCTATTTTTTTTTTTAAGATTCCTTTGGATTTTCATGTCCTGTGCAACATGACCCAATAAAAGACAAAGAATATATTCACCTTTCTTGAGAATGACTGGTGCTGTGGCTGATTTAAAAGGGCCACATTTATGTGACTATAAAGCATTCAGCTGTTGGTTCCACCCAAATCATATTTAATTAACCTGAAATCCTAGAAGAAGAGAAATACTAAATTCTTGAAGATTAAATGTTAGAAAAATAACATTAATTAGAATTTTATAAACCCCCTTGAAGTGGAATCTGATAGTGGTTGTTTGTTGTCAATAGAACTAGCTGTAATGATTTCAAAGACTGTGCATTATTTTTGATGCTTACGTAGCCATCTCAAGACCATACTCTCTCATTGTCTTTTTTGAGTTTTACCTCTTGATTACCTATCTATCTGTTATTTGGAGAGTTTTCCTTGGTAAGGTTTTAATGTGCATTTATACAGTAAATGCTTATTAAGCATGCACTTTTGTCCTAGGTTCCATGGATACCGTTGGGAGCAAAACAGGAACATATGTATATTATCTTTATGGAACTTATATTCTAATAAGACAGTGTGGCATTGAATAAGCACTTATACAAATTATGTATAGTCGTGATAAGTGCTATAAAGTAACTAAGGGTTTACGAAAGTTTGTGAACGGCTGTGGGTCAGAGACATCCTCCCTATAGAAGTGACGTTTTAGCTATCCTCTGATAGTTGAGTTCAAAGAAATAGGTGCATTTGCGTATTGCAGAGTGGGTAGTGCTACTTATATGTCAGCCCACTTGTCTTGATGTCTATGATCCAAACCTTTTTTCTTCAGTAACATTTTTACATTGCATGGTCATTAGGAGAGTTTAGGCAAGAGTCATGAATTAATTCCTTTTCCCTACATGTATTATTAGCAGCTGTATATGCAACTCTCAAGTCATAATCATAATTTGAGTGCATTTGAGAAGACATGCCAGGCAGATTTATATCAAACAGATAGTAATTTTGGTATTTCTTACAACCAGAATTTTATTCAGAATTTTTATGTTGTCCAGGGTTAATGGTGGAGCGGGGAGAAAGTTTTGGGGGAGGCTAAATGCTTCCTATGGTACTTAAAATGTATTTGACTATAGTGAATATAAATATTTAAGAGAATTATGGGTGGTATATAGTTATGTTTCATAAGAGGGCCCTGGTTTCATTTGATACCTTTTAGATTCTCTTTGTTCTGAGTAATTCACTTGGTTCTGAGTAAGCCCTGAAAGATTATGTAAAATAAGTATAAGAAAAAAACCTGCATGCCTTGCTTTTATCAGTTTTATTTTGCAGATTTGTACGTGTCTAAGTATTGCTTTCAAAAACAAATAATTTAGATTGTTACTTTAGTAATTAGTAGACATAACAATGATGATGTAATTTCTTGAGAATATGGCTCTCAACTTGCATGCACATAAGAATAGATGATTAAATTTGGCAAGTCAGGTTGACTTACTTTGCCAAAGAGAAGTGTATGTTTGAATAGTTTGAGTGAATTTTTGTCTTGTAGTTATGTGTATGCATCTCTCTTAGTCCGTTTTCTGTTGCTATAACAGAATACCTGAGATTGGGCAATTTAGAAAGAATAGACGTTTATTTAGCTCTTGGTTCTGGAGACTGGAAAATCCAAGAGTGTGGTGCCAGCATCTAGTGAGGGCCTTCTTGCTGCATTATAACATGGGAAGGGAATCACATGGTGAGAGGGCAGGAGTGTGCCAGCTTAGGTCTTTCTTTCTCTTCTTATAAAGCCACCAATCCCACCATAGGTGCCCTACCCTGATGACCCCATTCAATCTCAATTTCTTCCCAAAGGCCCCACCTCCAAGTACCATCAACATATAATTGGGGGATTATGTTTCCAACACATGAAATTTGGAGGACAGATTCAAACTATAGCAATATCTGTCCTTCCTCTTCTCTTTCTACCATGGTACTGTGTTTGAGACACCGTGGGTACTCCATACATGTTTCTTAAATGAATGATGTATACCATAGTCAATCTGGATGATTCACTTTAGAGGATAATTCCTGCATTATTCCTGTTCTGAAAGTTCTACTTAGTGCTGGTTGTTTCTTTTTCATTTTATCCTGGTTTTCATTGACTTTGAATGGGATATTTGTATTACCATCATCTGATGAATAACCTCTTAGCTCTCTGCTTGAGTTAAATAATAGTTTTATCTTTCTGTTTTTGTGATTTAACCTAATTCACCTATATGTATCTCTAGCCTGTGTGGTGACCTGGTGACATCCAGCTGCCCTGGGGAAAGTGATGGAAATTCAGATCTGTGCATTTTATGCTTTAAGGGCATTGACCAAAGTTTTAGGGGCAGAGTTGGTTATAACTAATGGCCAGATTTGAGGTTTGGGGATCACCTTTGTATGTTATTTATTCATTTCTTCTTCTTCTTCCAATAGAGTATATACCAAGGAAAGAATGATGAACAGGGAATAATCCATTTGAAATATATCTTGGTATTCTGTAGTCCGAAAACCGAAAATTAGTACTGTGATAGGACCCAAATGTAGCTTTTGGTAGCTCATTTGAGCTTGACCTCTTCCAACAACTTTTCTGGTTTCTTTGCAAGCAGGATCACCCCTTATTTTGCATGCCTTCTCTGGGAGCTCTCTCTGGTGCTGACCTAAGCTTTTTGGTCCTGGGGCATTCCTCTCACTCTCCTCCCCAACAGGATCACTCATATTTATCTTCCTGTCTCCAGCAGTGTCTCATTTGTGGTCGGTTAGTCTCAGTTACTGCTTTCTGTACACCTTCAGCTCACTGCCTCCTCTCTGCTAAGCCCACATGGCTGGATAGCTGACTGTGGCAGGATAAAAACACAAAATCATGCGGACTTCTCACTCTCAGTTCAGAGTCGCTGACCTTCCGTGGTGCTCAAATGCTTCCAGCTGCCCTGGGGAAGGCGCTGCTCAGAAGATTCTCCCCACTGCATTCGTCTTCTCATTCTCCCTGTTGTCATGTTCGTTCCTCCCTCCCCAAACTTCAACACCTCCTTCCTTCTTTTCTCTCTTAGCCGATGATCTTGCTTCCTATTTATTGAGAACATAGAAGCAATCATAAGATGACTTCTACCGGCTGCCAGCACCAGGATTCCCACCTCCCTGCAGCTGTGGAGCAGGGTGGGAGCAGCGAATTTCAGTTACCAGGCTGTCCCGTATGGCTGTGCAACCGGCAAGGGCCAAGGGAGTTCTGCAGCCAGTGGGGTCATAAGACCAGGTGTCCGCAGAGGGGAACCTGAGCCACCCCCATCCCTATGGGTGAGCTGTCTCTGCTCCCAAGGCTGACCTTTCTGCTTCTGTGCTAGGTCCCACCCCACTTGGCCCTTTGGATTCTTTTCTCTAGGGGACCTTTCACATCAATCTGAAAATGCTGCTGTTTCTCCCCTCTAAACCAAACAAAACCTGCTTTCACCCCATTCCTCCCTCTAGCCACTGCCCCATTCCTCTCTACCCTTTAAAGGAGACCCTTTGCCAGAGTTTTATCCTGGAGTCTGCAGTTTTTCTCTTTTCACTACTCCCATCTGACTTTGGCCTCCATCACGCCTCTCAAACTGCTCTCATCAGAGTCTGGGCTCTGTGGCACCAAGGCCAGCGGTGACTTCTCAGCCCTCTCCCCACGGCACTGTCATCGTCTTCCAACCTTCCAAACTGGAGTCAGGAGACTCCCGCAACCACCGCCCCCCACTGCTGTCCACAGACACACTTGATTTTTCTCTCCCTTTCTCAATCTCTTTTGCACACTCTTTTTGATCTCCCTGAAACCTAAGCATGGACTGCTATTGTTGGTTGAGTTGTGTCCCCCAAAAAGATATGTGAAAGCCCCAGCCCTGGAGCCTGTGAATATGACCTTATTTGGAAGCTGGGTCTTTGCAGATGTAATCAAGTGAAGATGAGGTCATTAGGGTGGATCCCTAATCCAGTACGACTGCTGTCCTCAGAAGACTAGAGGACACACAGAATCGGGACACTTAAAGAGGAGAACGCCATGTGATGATGGCCACAGAGATGGGGGTGATGTGTGTACAAGCCGAGGGGCACCATGGAGTGCCAGCGGCACCAGAAGCAAAGGCGTGAACACTAGTTTCCCCAGAGCCTTCCCAGGAGGCACGGCCCCGTTGACGTGTTCATTTTTGACTTCTGTCCTCCAAAACTGTAAGAATAGATTTCTGGCATCTCAAGCCACCCGGTTTGTAGTCCTTTGTGACAGCAGCCCTACTTTGCATCCTCTTTTTAACTACAGTCACTCTTTTCATGGATCTTATCCTCTTTCTTGGCTTTAAATGATCACCCATAGTCTGACAATTCTCAAATTGATATCCATGGTGCAGACCTCTCCCCTGGATTCTGGACTCACATGTTCTACTGCCAATTCATTGTTTTCAAGGGATTTTTTTTTTCCTTTTTTAAAAAAAATTTTGAGACCGAGTCTTTCTCTGTTGCTCAGGCTGGAATGCAGTGGCATGATCTCAGCTCACTGCAACCTCCACCTCCTGAGTTCAGCCTCCCAGGTAGCTGGGACTACAGATGCCCACCACCATGCCCAGCTAATTTTTGTATTTTTAGTAGAGGTGGGGTTTCACCATGTTGGCCAGGCTGGTCTTGAACTCCTGACCTCAAGTGATTTGACTGCCTGGGCCTCCCAAAGTGCTGGGATTACAGGTGTGAGCCACCGCGCCCAGCCCCCGTGGGATTTTTAATAGATATCTCAAGCTTAGCACACCCAGGGCTCACCTCCTGCCTCTTCCTCTCCAAACCTGCTCTTCCTATAGTATTTCCAGCAGCAGATCTGTCCTTCCAGATGTTTAGGCCAGAAATCTTGGGCTCTTTTTTGAGCCCCTGTTTTCTCTAACATCTCAGATATGACTTGTTAGCAAATCTTGTAGCCTGTACTTCAGAGTCTACTGTGAATCCTATCCTTTCTCACCATGTCTGCTGCATGCTGGTCCAGGCAGTAGTCTCACTCCTAGCTCATTTAGGTGACTTTATAACTAGTTTCTCTGCTTGTTTGTTCCCCTTCAGGCTCTTCTCAACACAGGAGTCAGAGTGGGGTGATCCTGCTCCAACAGAGGTAGGACATCCCACGACCTTCCCCAGAACCTTCTGGGGCTCCCTGTTGCTCCTCGAGTGAAAGCCCCGTCCTTACTGTGGCCTTTGAGGCCCTCCGCGATGTGGACGGTGGCTCTCACCACCCCCTCTGCCTTTCTGGCCCCGGCACTCCACCTTCTGCCCAGGCTCACTCTGCTCAAATGCTGTGCCCTGATCAGGCTCTTTCCCTGCTCCGGGAGCCTCTGCACTTGCTGGAATCCCTTTATAAATAAATATAAAAACATAGTTCTGTGGATTTTGTCCCAGCATCCTCCTTCACTTGCTCCAGGCCTTTCCTTAAGCGTTGCCTTCTTAGCAGGTCCTCCATCTGTCTGGTCTGAAGTGGCCTCCCTCTCTTCTGTGCTTTCTTGTCCCTCCTTTGTACGTGTTACTCTCTAACATTCTGTGTATTGTGTTTACTGTTTTTTAACTTTGTTTTTTTTGTTGTTTTTTGTTTTTTGTTTTTTTTCGAGACTGAGTCTCACTCTATCACCCAGTCTGGAGTGCAGTGGCGCAATCTTGGCTCACTGCAACCTCTGCCTCCTGGGTTCAAGTGATTCTTGTGCCTCAGCCTCCCAAGTAGCCGGGATTACAGGCACCCACCACGATGCATGGCTAATTTTTTGTATTTTTAGTAGAGATGGAGTTTTGTCATGTTGGCCAGGCTGGTCTCAAACTCCTGACCTCGAGTGATCCGCCTTCCTTAGCCTCTCAAAGTGCTGGGATTACAGGCCTGAGCCACTGCGCCCGGACTTTTTTAACTTTCTGACTCCCACATTATAGCATTAACCCTCCAAAGACAGGAATTTTGACCCCTTTGATCATTGCTCCGTCCTCAGAGCCTGTGAGACTGCCTGCCATATGGGAGATATCCCGTAACATTTGTTGAATGGATGACAGAGGGAATAGGTTGCCAGTGTATGGTCAATTGAATTCATTATTATTATTATTTGAGATGCAGTTTTGCTCTGTCTCCAGGCTGGAGTGTGATGGCGTGATCTCGGCTCACTGCAACCTCCGCCACCTGGGTTCAAGAGATTTTCCTGCCTCAGCCTCCTGAGTAGCTGGGATTATAGGTGCATGCCACCATGCCCAGTTAATTTTTGTATTTTTATTAGAGACGGGGTCTCACCATGTTGCCCAGGTTAGTCTTGAACTCCTGGCCTCAAGTGATCCACCCTCTTCAGCCTCCCAAAGTGTTGGGATTACAGGCGTGAACCACTGTGCCCGGCCTGAATTTATTATTTTTAAATAGCTTATGTTTATTTCACCACTTTTTTTTACTCTTAATTATGACAGTTCTCAAACATGGAAAAGAATAGAGAGAATACTGTAACACATACCCCAAATACCCATCATCTAGATTTAATAATTATCAACATAGTTGAATAATTATCAACATTTTGCCTTACTTTATGTATTTTGGGGGTAAATTTTACAGATTTCATGACGTATATACATTTTTAAAAATTAAGGACTTTTCCTATGTCACCACAGTACTTCCTTTTTTTCTTGAGACAGGGTTTGGTTCTGTCACTCAGGCTGGAGTGCAGTGGCGCCATCTTGGCTCACTGCAGCCTCTGCTTCTTGGGCTCAAGCAATCTTTCCACCGCTGCCACCTGAGTATCTGGGACTACAGTTGCACGCCACCATGCCCGGCTAATTTTTGTATTTTTAGGAGAGACAGGGTTTCACCATGTTGCCCAGGCTGGTCTCAGACTCTTGAGCTCAAGCAATTCGCCTGCCTCAGCCTCCCAAAGTGCTGGGATTACAGGTGTGAGCCACTGCGCCTGGCCCCCACAGTACCCTTGTCACACCTATTAAAACTGACAGTAATTCCAGTTTGCTGTCTAATGCATACTGTTCACATTCAGATTTCCTAATTGTCCTTTCCAGCTAGTTTGTTCAAGTTGGGATCCAATAAAGAACCACCCATTGTGTTTCATTATGTCTTTTAAGCCCCTTCTAATCTAGACGGGGTCTCCCTCTCCACCTCTGTGTCCCCACCCCATCTCCACCGTGACATTGACTAGTTGAAGATTCCAGCCCGGCTGTTCTGTAAAATGTTTTATCCCCTGGATTTCTTCTGAATGCTTTCTTTTCTTGTCTTTTTTTTTTTTTTTTTTTTGAGATGGAGTTTCACTCTTTGTTGCCAGGCTGGAGTGCAGTGGAGTGATCTTGGCTCACTGCAGCCTCTGCCTCCCAGGTTCAAGCGATTCTCCTGTCTCAGCCTCCTGAGTAGCTGGGATTACAGGCACCCGCCACCATGCCTGGCAAGTTTTTGTATTTTTAGTAGAGACGGAGTTTCACCATGTTGGTCAGGCTGGTCTTGAACTACTGACCTGAGGTGATCTGCCCGCCTGGGCCTCCCAAAGTGCTGGGATTACAGGTGTGAACCACTGCGCGCGGACCTGAATGCTTTCTTCTGAAGTCATTTGACTCGTTCTCTTCTCCTCTGTATTATCTGCAAACTAGATGTGAGTTTTAAAGGTTGATCAATTGAAATTAGTTGAATTAAGTTTCATCTCTGATGCCACTACTCTGTAGCCACAGGGAGCTTTGGGACGTAAAGGGCCTGGTGTTTGCAGGAGGATGGCCTAAGAGCCTGGATCTGTGTTTACTGAGATCTTAGTAAGTTTTGTACAGGCCTCTTGAGATGATGACTTCCCTCAGCCCTCAGTTCCTGATAAACCACCCTGGAGGAAGGCCTCTGGGACCTCTAAGGTCTGGCGTGGGGGAACCTCCTCCAGCCTTGTGGTTTTGGGGATAGAGTAGAGAGCTCTGTGCCTGGATTGGACAACGTCTCTTCTAGGTTTTGCCTTCCTTCTCCTCCTTGTACCTCCATTTGGGGCAAACAGAAAGCAGCTTTGGGGTACCCCACTTTCCCTTTGTGAAGATTATTGTCTTCTTTGTTGGTGATCAACTTGCCTTGTCTTTACAAGAGGAAGCGGAGATTCTCTAAGATGTGAGGCTGAGACCGAGTGTTCTTGTATTTGAGTGCTTTGTGTTCTGTGACTTCTTTCACCCAGGGTTTTCTGTTGTTGTTTTTGCAAATAGGATAATGAATTTCTTTGTGGGGCAAAAAGATAAAAGTTTTCCGTAAAATGAACGGAGGACTGGAGAACTACTTATGAACTCTGGACTGGAGGGGAATCTTGAAAATCATGAGAGAATGTAAGATGTAAGATAGGAAGTATAATCATGAACTGAACTGATTTTCTTGGATCCTGGTTTCTGAAGAGCTTATTTTATAGTATAAGTATACTAAGTATATGATTATCATATTGTCTAATCGTTTAGATGTATGGAATATGTTAATCTAGCTTTTCTTGGTCATGAATTAGGAAGTACTCATATTACCAAAATGGCATTATAAGGAAAAGCTACCATGATCTAATGTAATGCCAAATTACGACCATCTCATTTCTTTCTTTATGACACAGGAAATCAGGGATCCTCTTATGCAGTGGCTTGGGAAACATGTGGACTCCGAGGGAGAAATAAAATCCGGCCAGCTCTCTCTTAGATTTGTTTCATCCTACGTGTCTGAAGTAGAAATAACCCCATCTTGTATACCTGTGGTGACCAACATGGAGGCCTTCTCATCAGAACATTTCAACTTAGAGATCTATCGCCAAAATCTGCAGACCAAGCAGTTGGGGAAAGTAATTTTGTTTGCCGAAGTGACCCCCACAACGATGCGTCTCCTGGATGGGTAAGGTGTGAGCAGGTCTGCATCTGCTCAGAGGAGTCCTGTTCCATTGATCATCCTCTCTTACCAATAGACGGGGAGGGGATAGAGTTGTAGAGGAATACGTTTGACCAGACCTATTAGCAAGGTGGAAGTACTCTTGTCCTAGAAGAGTTAAATCGTGGGAAAGGAAATTGAAGTTCTTTGATCACAGGTTTGTTTTTTATGGGAATGGAAGGTGGTTGTGCTTTGTGTCTTGCTTCTTTGAATCAGGCCCTCAGAATGTTCTTTGATAAACGAATATTATGAAAAAAGATGTTTAACCGGTGGCATTATTGCTCAGGTTATCATTCTTCTTTTGTGCAGTTACAATCAGTGTTAGACATTTAATACAGGATGTTTTTCAGGGGCATTTGAATAGGAAGTTTGAATGACACCTAAGCTGTGTAAATTGAAAAAGGTCAGAGCTTTGTATTTTGAAAAGTGTTTTTGGTACATTGCTATCCAATACATTTATTCATTGATTGATTGATTGAGATAGGATCTTGCTCTGTCACCCAGGCTGGAGTCCAGTGGTACAATCACAGCTCACTGCAGCCTCGACCTTCTGAGCTCAAGGGTTGCTCCTGCCTCAGCCTCCCAAGTAGCTGGGACTATAGGCACACGCCACTATGCCCAGCTAAGTTTTGTATTTTTAGTAGAGACAGGGTTTCACCATGTTGCCCAGGCTGGCCTCGAACTCCTGGGTTCAAGTGATCCTTCTGAGTCAGCCTCCCAGAGTGCTGGGATTTTAGGCGTGAGCCACCCATTCCCAACCCCCATACCTTTTTTAAGCAGTTGATAACCCCATTTGGATATTAGAAATTTACTCTTACTGCAGGTTTTCCTTTTGATTCCTTCTGTTACATAGACTCTGATTAAAGATTAAAAAAATAGAAAACAAATGAAAGGAATTTTTTAAAACTCCCCAATAGTACTAATACTATTTTAGTTTAAAAAATTTGGTTATAGAGGGAGGGAATAACAAAAGTGCCTTCCCTCAGTGCGGTGTTAAAATTTAAGGCGTGAAATATTCCAAAAATAACTGGATTCATAGTTTCTAGGCATTTCACTCATGGGACCACATGATTAGACAGATGTATAATTCAATGTATGGGAATATTTTGGCCTTTTTCTTGATAATAGTTTCTGGAATTTAATGCTATATGGATATAAAATGATGAGCCAACTTTAGCATTTTCTTGACTGTCACACTTAGAGTCATCAGAATGACAGTGTTAGTATGTGTGTTGTATTAGAGGAGGCATTGGCAGAGTTGTTTGGGAGGATTATCAGAGCAATGGGGGCAGGCTGGGAGGGGAGCTGTGAGCCGTGTTCATTAGTAATTGTTGTGTACTGAGTTAATTTGTGATGTCATAGGTACTTTCATTTTTCAGCGCTTCTTAACTCTCCTGTTTCCACCTCACCCCTGACATCCATTGATTCCCAGTAGAAAAGGAAAAAGCCTGTTCTTTTAGATGGAACAGTCATCACTTGCTTGTTGCAAACTCTGTAATAATCCTTTGTTACTCAAGCGAAGACTTCATTATATCGAAGGGGTAACTCGCGATAGTTACATTTTCTGAATAAAAAAATGAGACAAGTTATTGAACAAAAGATTTGGGGAGGTGAAGTTCAGATAGAAAAATACGGGTACTTCCAGGCCATTTTTGTTGTTTCTGTGGAGAATACTGAAGAATATTTCGTGTCATTGCCACCTGGGAACCTTGGAAGTGTGGTCCTGGAGCTCGTGGCCAGGCAGCGTGTCACCAAGAGGGCAGCGCGTCACCAAGAGGGCAGCGCGTCACCAAGAGGGCAGCACACGCCCTGAGAGTGCGGACAGGCTGAGGCTCCCGCACATCCGCAGAGGGCTGGGCTTCACCACACGCTGTCCAGCCTGTGTTTTTGGGTGAAAAAAGAACCTGTATAAATATATTGCCTTAATATTCTTGGATATCAGGAAGTTCACTTTTGATATTAAACTTAAAAAAAAAAAAACCTCTGCCTTAGGAAACTTGGGTCTGTAAAAGTGTTTGACAGACATTGAAGCTGAGCTTGCCAACACTAGAGGTGGAACCTCCCATAGGGTTAAGAGTTTTTACTTTTACAAAGGGGAAAAATATTTTGGCCTTTCTGAGGGTGTTTAGGAATCTTTGTTTCTCTTCTTGTTTGGTTTGATTATTAATTATGAATCCCTTGCTTGGTGCAGAGCTGATACTGGATGAATGGTTGTTGGCGGCCTTAGCTTACCAGATGCCCTGCATCCGCTGTTCCCAGGGTTCCTTCCTAACACTACGAAGTGAGGTTACTCACAGAAACCTACTGAGTCAGTGAACCTGGGAAGAAATTCCTGGCGCGGGGAGGCAGTTGCCTTTTTAAGGAGAAGACATTTGAAGAGGTCATCTTGATGTCAGAGGGACCACGAGATAGATGGATGCACAAAATACATGGCCTGTTACATTCTAAGAATAAGACTAAAATATTTCTAAAACTATATTTGATCCTACATGAGTGTATCAGTTCGTTCTCGCATTGCTATAAAGAACTGAGACTGGGTAGTTTACAAAGAAAAGAGGTTTAATTGGCTCACAGTTCTGCAGGCTGTACAGGAAGCATGGCTGGGGAGGCCGCAGGAAACTTACAATCGTTGCAGAAGGTGAAGGGGAAGCAGGCACGTCCTACATGATGGGAGCAGGAGGAAGAGAGCAAAGGGGGTGGTGTCACACACTTTTAAACAACCAGATCTCATGAGAACTCACTATCATGAGAACAGCAAGGGGAATATCCACCTCTACGATCAAATCACCTCCCACCAGGCCCTCCTCCAACACTGATTACAATTTGACATGAGATTTGGGCAGGAACACAAATCCAAACCATGTTAACGAGCTATACTTATGGAAACATAGTCTATTTGTGATAGTAATAATAGGTTATGTGTACTGGCAGCTGTTCTCTTCCAGTTGCTGCTTTTGTGTGCTTTAAACAAATCCACGAATCTCATACATTATTTTTTAGTGCAGGGATCCCCGACCCCCGGGCTGTGGTCTGCAGCCTGTTAGGAACGGGGCGGCGCAGCAGTAGGTGAGTGGTGCAAGTGAGCATTACTGGCTGAGCCCCGCCCCCTGTCAGATCAGCGGCAGCATTAGATTCTCATAGGAGCTCAAACCCTATTGTGAACTGTGCATGTGAGGGATCTAGATTGCGTGCTCCTTATGAGAATCTGACTAATGCCTCGTGATCTGAGGTGGAGCAGTTTCATCCCGAAACCCCCTGTCCATGGACAAACTGTCTTCCACAAAACCGGACCCTGGTGCCAAAAAGGTTGGGGACTGTTGTTTTAGTGCTTTGGAGTTGTTACTGGAACAGTGTCAAACACTAGTATTATACCAGTGTGTAGAATTCTAGGTAACAGAATTTACTGTGTGTGGAATTGTTCCTGTTTCTGAATATTTATAAAAAATGTTGGATATGGCCAGGCGCGGTGGCTCACACCTGTAATCCCAGCATTTTGGGAGGCCGAGGTGGGTGGATCACTTGAGGTCAGGAGTTCGAGACCAGCCTGACCAATATAGTGAAACCCTGTCTCTACTAAAAATACAAAAATTAGCCAGGCAGTTGTGGTGCACTCCTGTAATCCCAGCTACTCAAGAGGCTGAGGCAGGAGAATTGCTTGAACTTTGGAGGCAGAGGTTGCAGTGAGCCAAGATCGCGCCATTGCACTCTAGCCTGGGTGACCGAACAAGACTCCCATCTCAAAAAAAAGTGGGATACTTTTTTTGTGGCTCATGCCTGTAATTGCAGCACTTTGGGAGGCTGAGGCAGGAGAATTGCTTAAGCCCTGGAGTTTGAGACCAGCCTGGGCAACATGATGAGACTATCACTTTGATGAAACTATTGGATAGAACAAGAAGAATTTTCAGAACTATGGACTGGGTTCTCTCAATGCTTATTTCTCTCTTCGTCTGTGTGTATCATTTCTTCAGCAATTGAGCAGCTCTTTCCTAATGGGCTGAAGTAGGAGTGAAATTTATGTTAGATATAGATCTTGATCATATGATTTACAAAATCTCTTTTTCTCCGTCTACCATTCCCCATCATGGAACCTGCACCAGCTGAAAATTGGGAGTTGTATTCCTAAGGAAGACGGGGAAGGACACAGTGGGGAACAGCCAGCAGTTTCTGCTGAGGTCCCAGATATCCACATGCATTTGTCTTCCCCTCCATAGAAAACTCTCACCTCTTCCTCAAGGAAGATGGCCCTGGTATGACATTCATTTCCTTCCACTTGATCAGATTCAGGATCTCTGGATGATGTGCCGTTTTCTCTTTTAGGGCCGGATGTACCTGTTGAGGTCTTGCAATCTGTTAGCTGAAACAGACGAGCTCTCTGCCCCCAGCACACCATGTGCCACACTGCTGTAGTAGAAATCACGACCATCAAGTCTCCCTGCACCCCCTGCACTGGCGGCCACTATGTTTCCTTGTCGCTGTCTGGCAACCCGCGTTCTGCCCTCCGGGAACTCTCTTGCCTGGGATCTTTTGGAGTCATGGCTTTGCCTTCTGAAAGGGTCTTCTCTGCACCACATCGGAGATGGATGCTGGAGAGGATGGGCTTCCAAAACCCGCTTGCTGGGAGGATTTGGGGTCTGGGTGTTGTTTTGAGGACTGAATAGTCACAGCTTTTTATAGGCCAGCCTTAAGGTTTCTGTAGAGATACAAGTCTCTCAGGACTTTAGTAGCCCTCTAGTCTGTTTGCTTCTGATTGGTTCCATGTGAGTAACCATCAAGATCTTGTCTAGACAGTTTTTCAGCCTAAAAACTCTGGTCTTTTAAAGGCCTCAGCGCTCTGCCATTCCTTTCCCTCCCAATTTAATAGCAACTCCCTTGGGCCAAATGAAACCGTGGGCTTGGGTGGAAGGCCAGGCCCTTAATCATATCTTTGGCACAAGGCTTCTGGGCTCTATGTGGTAAAGCATCTGTCTTATCTCCTGCTGGGGCTGCAGGGACAGCCCCATAGGCTCACTTAGATTGCTGGTTGCTGACACAGAGCTCCTTTCTAATCAAATCTGTATTCTTTCCCACTTTCTTGAGACTAGTTAGCTTTAGTTGGAGATCATTTCTCTTGATTGAACCTTGCTGAGAGTGTCAAGGACTGGCAAGCACTGACATTTTGAATTTTCAGAGCTGTTTCCTGTAAGGATACAGCTTCTAACAGACACCAGGTCTACCTCCCAACATATAGAAGGTCAGGACTCGATCAAAGGTTTTGCTGCGGCAGTCAGCAGTCGAGAACCTGTGAGACCTGTGTCTTTGCCAGTGATCCTCTGCCCATCTCCTCCATATCAGGCTGCATTTTTAGGCCTTGTTTCTGGGGCATACATAAAATCTGAGACCTAGCACCCCCGGTTCAGGTACCGGTTCCTAGGTCAATTAAGATTAGGTTTCACTGTGTGCAACAGATATCTGAAAATAGAAGTGGCTTGAACAGGATGGAAGTTTACTTTTCTCTCCTGCAAATGAGATAGGCTGAGATGGGAAGTCCAGCATTGGTGCGTTGGCTCACGTGTCAAGGACCCAGCTGAGTTGCTCGGCCACCTTCAGCACATGTCCAGGATGGTGATCCCAGTGTTTATGTTCTTACTTGAGCCAGTAAGTGGGAGGAAGGGGTAAAGAAGCTACATCCCCATTCTTCAAGGGACAGAAGTTGCACATGGCCTTTTTGTTTATGTATTATGAACAGGACCTAGTCACGTGACCTACAAACAAGGCTGGGAAATAAATGTGGTCTTTATAGTAGGCAACCATGGATCTAACTGGAAACCAGGCTTCTATCACTAAGGAGGAAAGGAGGGTAGACATTGGTAGACATTGGAAGACAATTAGAATTCTGCCTCAGGCATGTACTTTCAGTTTTTCAGACTACCAAGAAAAATACTTGGAGGCCCTGAAAGTAGTATACCTTCTGATAGTGCCAGGGTCTACCAGATTTAGGATCACAGGTGAAGATAATTATTTGACTTATAACACTGCTTTTGTTTCAGTGCTTACTCAAGGTAATTAGAGGAATTTTTTTTAGGTGTTTACACATCTAGGAGGATTTGGAGATTTCTGACAGATTTTTGAGGGTGTGGTATTTTTTGAGGGCTGGTATTTCAGTACCAGCTGAGCTACCATGGTACTGGTGTAGAGAGCTTTCTTTTGATCTCTCTGGGCATGTGAGTGGCTTGTCTTAGAGCATGAACCCCCCACCGCCTTCACCTTGTGTCTCCACCCCACAAATTTGGAAGTGTGTTTGTGATTGAATAGAGGGGAGAGCACTCTGGGGAGAGGAAGTAGCACAGGGCAATGTGGGTGCCGCTTGCTGATGACTGAGTCCCCTCCACCCCCAGAGTAAAAACTCAAAACCCCGTTAGTGATGCGCTTTCCCCAGGAATCTGACTTGGCTGTGCCACCCAACTCATTTGCTTAGAAAACGTGATTTCATCCTTTATCCTGGGCTCCAGTCATTTTCTCTGACATGTCTTCCCGACCATGAATTGCTTTTCCACACTATTGTCAGGGTAACACCTTCTGGATGCCATGTGTATTAGTCTGTTTCCACATTGCTATAAAGTACTGCCCAAGACTGGGTAATTTACAAAGGAAAGAGGTTTAACTGACTCACAGTTCAGCACGGCTGGGGAGGCCTCAGGAGACTTACAATCGTGGCGGAAGGTGAAGGGAAGCAAGGCACCTTCTTCACAAGGCGGCAGGCAGGAGAATGAACACAGGAGGAACTACCAAACACTTACAAAACCATCAGATCTCATGAGAACTCACCATCACAAGGACAGCATGGGAGAAACAACCCCCATGATCCGATTACCTCCACCCAGTCTCTCCCTTGGCACCTGGGGATTATGGGGATTACAGGGATTATAATTCAAGATGAGATTTGTGTGGGGGCACAGGGCATAACCATATCACCATGCTGTGTGTATTGCCAGTTTTGTTTCACGCCAGAGACCTTTATTTTTCTGTGCTATTTCCTAGTAGGTTTCCCTGTGAGCAGTTAGCTCAGCCAGTTAAGTAGAGTCCCAGGGACATGGGTCCAGTCTGTGTCTGTGTCTGTGTCTGGGACAGTGAACTTCTCCGTGTTCCAGGCTCACATCCCACAGCTACAGCTCAGGAATCCCTTTGCAAAATGTGAGCTATTGGTGGTGATGGGGTCTAGGGAAGTGGGTGTGGACCAGCCACTGCAAATCCATTGTCACTGCAGGAAAAGCCCCTCCCAGAGTTCAGTCTGCCTTGACGTAGTGGGTGTGTGGCACATTCCATTTAATCTCCTGATAAATGATAGTCAACCCTCTGGAGACAGCATGAGGCTAGACTGTGAAACATAGGAGCTTGGGGTAACTGAGTCATTGTGCTATTTTTGGAATCATCTTTTATTTGGCCAATAGCGTCTTTTTTGATTGACTTATACCAAGTCTCCATCAGAGAGTGAAATGACGTGAAACCGCAGTGTGTGGTGAGCAGATGGGCATAAACTTGCTTACGCCAATTTCCTTCGTATACTTGTGCATCCTGAATAAGTTGTCCAAGGTTGGACGTTTTGTATTTGTAAAGAATATTTTAGATTTTCTTATTAAATAAGCTGATTTCTCATTTGTCACCGTTTGAGTCCCTTGATGTTTCAGGCTTAGATTTGACTTCTTTGCCTCATGGGATAAGCAGTTCTGGAGCAACTCCTGTATGCCAGGCACTGTGTTAGGCACTGGAGAGGTGTCCTGGCGGCTCAGGCAGCGTCCATGCCTGACGGTGCGTTTGCAGAAGGAGATCCTAGTGCCTGTGCCAGTTTGTAAAGTTGTGTACACCGTTCTTGGTCTGATCATTGGGGCTTTGGGCAGAAAGGAGGTGGGCACAGTGATATAGGAGCGATGTGTGGTGTTTTGTTTTTGTTTTTGCAGTTACTGTGTGTTGGGCCTTGTTTCTGATGCTGTAGAGCTCGTAATCTAGTAGGGAAAATGCTGGAACCAAGACTTTGTCATTCACTAGCTCTGTGACCTTGACAGTCTCTCCTCCCTGAGCCTTACTGTCTTCAGCTGTGAGATCAGGGGCGTTGGAACACTAGATGCTCTCCAGGCATCTTCAGCTCACCTCCTTTGACCTGGTGATGCGCCCACGCCAGAGCCTCCACCAACCAGCCTTTTATCTCTCAGTGACTTCTGGCGCTTTTAGGTTGCTGAGCTAGTTTTGTGAATCAGCCTCATGTGAGTTGAGGAAATGTTGTGTGGGAGACAGTTGACTTTCTACAAATGAAGGAGAAGAAAAGGAAACACAATCCCATAAAATAAATAAATAAATATATATATATATATATATATATATATATATATATATATATATATATATATTTTTTTTTTTTTTAAATGGGAAGGGGGCAGGATCGCATTGGGGAGAATAGCTGCAGTCATTTAAGAAAGATAGTATTTCGATTTCAGAGTTTGGGACCAACTCCAGCTTTTCAGCTTTGTGCACACCTACCTAGTCAGTCCCAAACATCTTTTCCCCCTTTTCTTCCCTTCTGGGTCTGTGCTGCTAACTGACTCAACTCTGCACCCTCCTCCCCTGAAGTCGAGGCCCGAGAGGACAGAAATTGGGCTGGAACTAATTTAATGGCTGAGTGACCTCACAGTAGAGAAACAGCCGGATCCTAATAGGGGTCTTTGTCTACATTTCCACCCTGGCTGGTAGCATGCCAGTCAAGAGTCAAGCTGGAGACACAGGTGGAAGCGATTAGACCTGTCATAAAGTTTGAAAAATTGATTCTGGAGGCGAAGTGAATAGATTGAGCTTGACAGTGTTGTCCTAAAGATTCTAAGGGAAAATTCTGTAGTTTAATTTGAAATCCCTTGATTATTCATTAGCTTTCCAGATGGCTTTTGTTGATGTTTTACATATTAATGCCTGTATTGTGTTATTGGTGTACTCTTAATGTGCACATAGGTAATGAGCAAAGAATAAATACATTGGTAAGTGTCCCAAATTAATGGGATATTAGCGTAATTGTGAAATAAAGGGTTTTAAAGAAGTTGATTGCTTGGGATAATTAGCACGAATTTTTTTATGTGTCAGTTTGGTACTTTAAAAGTGAAAATTATTGGAGAATTTTAAGAAACCTTCATTTTAATGTTTACTTCTAAAATTTAAAATATAACTTTGGCCTTTGACTTTGGCAACGGTTGTGACTGAAGGGTTATTCTGGCAAATTCTCCATCAAATTTTTTTTGTTGTTCCAATTCAACACCTGAATAAGTTAACCTTTCACATGCCAAGCTCCTGAAGTTGAATTATTCTGTGGCCTGGTATTTTTCAGAGAAGCTTCTACATTAATTTTTAGTGTTCTTGGTTGTTTATTTTCATATTTTGTCACCGATTTTTCAAGTATGGTAGAGTTATTTTGATGTTTACCATTTTGTGATAGTGATAATGTGTTCTATTTAGGTGCATTTTCATTAGAACTGAGCCGTCCCAGTGTCCTCTCAGCGTTGATGTTGATGTCTTCATCATTCCGGGGTGCAGTAACAAAGTGGCATCCACTGAATGGCCTATAAACAACAGAAATTTGTTTCTCACCGTTCTGGAGGCTAGAAGTCTGAGATCAAGGTGCTACCCGGCTTGGTCAAATTATCTTCTAGATTGTAGACTGCTGACTTTTTTTTTTTTTTTTGAGACAGAATCTCACTCTGTGGCCCAGGCTGGAGTGCAGTGGCAGGATCTTGGCTCACTGCAACCTCTGTCTCCGGGGATCAAGCAATTATCCTGCCCCAGCCTCCTGCGCAGCTGGGATTACAGGCATGTGCCACCACACCCAGCTAATTTTTTTTGTATTTTTAGTAGAGACAGGGTTTCACCATGTTGGCCAGTCTGGTCTCGAACCCCTGACCTCAAATGATCCTCCTGCCTCGGCCTTTCAAAGTGCTGGGATTACAGGCATGAGCCACCAGACCCTGCTGACTGCTGACTTCTTGTATCCGCACATGGCAGAAAGAGGGTGAGAGAGCTCTCAACGGTCCTCAGATAGAAGGGCATTAATCCCATTAGTTAGGGCTCCACCCTCATGACTTAATCACCTGCAAAAGTGATTACCATCACATTGGGGGCTGGGATTTCAACACATGAATTTTGACAGAGGGTTGGGGAGGGAACACAAACATTCAATCCATTGCAGTTGAGTATCATTTTACTATTGGACAACTTGAAGCATCCCAAATTTGACTGCGCAGAACAGCAGGAGTGAATGTCACCTGGAGTGGAGCGAACATGGCCTCCTTCAGGGTAGGGCAAGCTGCCCAGCCATGGCAGGGATTCTGCTGAAGCTCTTTCAAACCCATAGCACCCATCTTTTTTTTTTTTTTTTTTTTTTTGAGATGGAGTCTCGCTCTGTTGCTCAGGCTGGAGTGCGGTGGTGCGATATCAGCTCGCTGCAAGCTCTGCCTTCCGGGTTCACGCCATTCTTCTGCCTCAGCCTCCCAAGTAGCTGAGACTACAGACACCTGCTACCACGCCCGGCTAATTTTTTTTGTATTTTTAGTAGAGACGGGGTTTCACCGTGTTCACCAGGATGGTCTCGATTTCCTGACCTCGTGATCCGCCCGTCTCGGCCTCCCAAAGTGCTGGGATTACAGGCCTGAGCCACGGTGCCTGGCCAACAGCACCTATCTTTTGAATGTTCTCAATGGTGGCAGTCTTCATCTTTTGAGGGTGTATGAGACTTTTAGGAAAAAAAAAAAAGTAGATAACATGGTAGAAAAGCTGGGGTAGAAAGTATTTGCAGAAATTGCATATCAGCCCGTGGTTCATTCATTTTACATTACTTAGATCTTGGGATGGGGTCCTGCTGGCCCTGGTTTGGAATCCCAATTTATTAGACGAGTAAACTTGGGAAAATCAGTAACCTTTTATGCCTCTATTTCCTTATCTGTGTCATGTAGCTGGTAATAGTCTACTTAAAAATAAAAAGTTTAATTACTTAACTACTTTCTCTGGCACACCAGCTGTGTGCAAGATCCTGTGTGAGGCTCTGGGACCCATGGGGAATAGAGAAGATGTGGGGCCCTCCTTCAGGGTGCCTCACTGGATAGGGTGAGGATGCGCCGAGATAATATGTCAGCAGACTCTTAGTACATAGATAATATTTATGGAACTCTCATTATTATTTAAACTTTGTGTGCAATTCTTTTTAGCCTTTATAACGCATCCTTCAGCAGCAGTGCTGTGGACGTCCATGAAACAGATTGGTGTGGTCTGTGTTCAGGACTGTGATATGTGTATCTTTTTTTTTTTTTTTTTGAGACAGGATCTTGCTCTGTCACCCAGGCTGGAGTACAGTGGTCTGATCATGGCTCACTGCAGTCTCAACTTCCTGGGCCCAAGTGATCCTCCCACCTCAGCGTCCCGAGTAGCTGGGACCACAGGCGTGAGCCACCATGCCTGGATAATTTTTAAATTTTTTGTAGAGACAGGGGTCCCACTATGTTACCCAGGTTGGCCTTGAACTGTTGAATTTAAGCGATCCTCCCACCTTGGCCTCCCAAAGTGCTGGGATTATAGGCATGAGCCACCGTGCCTGGTGTGGTAGGTGTTTTCTTGGAATGGAGTTTTTGTTTGAAGATTTCGACAGTTTTTTTCTCATACTAGAACCAATTGTTTGTTGCTGGTTACTGTTGTGCCAAAAATATTTTAGTCCAACTTTTTTTGAAAGATGAGAAAACATAGTCAGTTGTCCATGTTTGTGTTTCTCTTATATGTGAAGCAAGTCTCTTTTTCATTGAACCTTCTCTTTTTTTGAAATCTTAACCCTTTAGTTATCATTTTCACAGGTAATTCACAGTCATTTCAAAAGAGCCAAATCTGCAGTGGTTTGAACATTTTCGCAGTCCCTTGGATATGCCTTGTGCATCACCCACACCTTCCTGAGACCCCTGAACCTTCCATGACAGTCAGAAACACGTGCACCTGACATTACTACATTCTCTTTAAGCTCTAAAAAAAACCCCAGATGTTTATTACTCTGCAGAATTGCTTGATTGTAACTACATTTAATATTCATTTTGTCAAATGCCTCTGTTTTATTTAAACAAGCAATAAAAGACCACAAAAGGTAATAAGGCAAGGTTTAGGGTTAGAAAAGATAATCAATAAAGAGGGTGACAGGGACTTCTCTATGCTCTTTTCCCCCCAGTTCAGGTTTACCTTAGAGAAAAATCCAAATGTGTTGATTTTAGTTTAGTAGTGAGCTGAATCTGCTGAGGGTTGGAACTGCTTCCACTCTAGTCTTTAGATTGTAAAGGAGTTATTCTTTAGCAGAAGGGCCAAAGACATGACCTTGGAATAACCAGCCTGAGTTTATTAGAAGTCTGGTTTCCCACTGGGCAAGGCTGCATGGGATGCTGAAAGCAGGGCAGGCTCTGGAGCTTCATTGGCTACTGGCCTGGGGCAAATTCCATGACATCTCATCTTAAAATGGACAAGCTGCAATAATGCCCACTCATGGTAATGCCATTTGTAGGAGATTGGTAAGGGTGGTGGGAAAAATTGCAGAAGATGCAAACCTTCTTGGAAGGCTGGAAGGTTTTACAAAAGCTTCGGAAAAGGATTTGGCTGAAGGCAGCCAGATTCTTTTATCTGGTGCCTGAAAGCTTACGTTAGATAACAAGGGGATATAAATAAACTGATCTAGGTAAGTTAGTTTACTTAGGCCTTGGAACCTCGCCCTTAAGCATCCACGCACAGAACTACTCTCTCCGGGTCTGGGTGACCATGTGAATTGCCCACAAATGTGTTGACTCAAGGCCTTTGTCATTAAATCTATACTGAATAAATGCCCACAGTGCCGGCTTTTCGGGGCTGTGGCTGCTGACTCATTACAGCACCCTCCTTGGTGTCTGTGGGTGGCCGGGTCCCCTAGCCTGCTCTTTCACTGGATTCTTGTGTCTGAGTGCATTTGTTCATCCGTTGTTCAGCCATGGTCTGCGGGTCGGACCTGGCAGCCATTCATGTGGGGAAGGTCAGAGCAGGTGGTGCTGTGGAAAGCCCATTGCATAGTCTCTGACACGGAGTGGGGTGGCCACCAAGAGTTGGTTTAATCTCCTCTTCAGCTACCAAGGAAGACAGGTGCTTTCCCCACACAGCGCTGCTGATAGCCACCGACAGTGGAAACTGCAAATAAAACCTGAGCATATGTTTCAAGATTCTGATGCAGTAAGAAATCTATGATAAGAAAGCAGCATTGCCCAAACTTGGATTATGATTTAACAGTAGTTTCTAAGTAGAAACTTTTTTAGATATTCTTAGACGTTAGTGTTCATGATTGAGGTCTGACCAGTCACCTGGACACATGGGGTGTGCAGATAGAGGTTGAGTTCCGGCTTAAAAATATGTTTTAGTCAAAATCTGTCAATGTTTAAAATAAATGTGCCAGTTATCCCAGCAGGTATTTTTCCTCCTACTTGTTAGGCATCCCTCTCTTCCATTTCTTTTTCTCCCCTGACTTAGCTTTGTGGCTTATTTAGAGGGAACTTTTGTTTTTCTTTCAAATAAAACAGTTACCTGCTTTGGAGGTGAGAGTTGATTTGCTTTCACCTGCCCCTTTAAAATCTTTTACACACCTACCATTTGGCAAAACACCTTCTGAGCTCTGAAATACCTTTGTTGTTTCTGCTTTTTGTTTTGGAGAGAAGCATGTTCTGTTTCTGCATGAGGGGTATTCCGTCACTGTGAGATCCCAAACGCCACATTTTTTCTGCATTGCACAAGGAGTCATTCATCATTTTCATTTTTTGTTTGGCTCTCCCATAAGAGTATTCAAATTAGTGAGAAGGAAACGATGAAGTCATTGCCTGGCGGAGAAGGATTTTCCCTGGTTGTGGAAGGGCAAGGAGATGAGAAGGAGGAATGATGGGGAAGTCTGTACCTGCCTCTTTCTTTGCCCTTTGGTTCCAGAGGTCACCTTGATGCTAATAGAGTTTTCAGTTTAAAATTGGGTAATATGTGCATACAGAATTTACCTAAAAATGAAATACAAAAACCTCAGACTGGGCCGGGCACGGTGGCTCACACCTGTAATCCCAACACTTTGGGAGGCCGAGGTGGGTGGATCACGAGGTCAGGAGATCGAGGCCATCCTGGTTAACATGGAGAAACCCCATCTCTACTAAAAAAAAAAAAAAAAAAAAAAGAAAGAAAGAAAATTAGCCAGGCGTGGTGACACGCACCTATAGTCCCAGCTACTCAGGAGGCTAAGGCAGGAGAATTGCTTGAACCCAGGAGGTGGAGGTTGCAGTGAGCTGAGATTGCGGCACTGCACTCCAGCCTGGGCGACAGAGTGAGACTCTATTTCAAAAACAAAACAAAACAAAACAAAAAAACCCCAAAATCTCAGACTGTAACTTTCTTGCCTGCCATTTTGACACAGCAGCTTGTGCGATGTTGGTGAATCACTCAGCCTCTCCGGGTCTGTTTCTCATCTGTGAGATTAGAGGGTTATACTAGATCTGTGGCTTAATTTTTTTTTTCCAAGACGAAGTCTCGCTCTGTCACCCAGGCTGGAGTGCAGTGGCACAATCCTGGCTCACTGCAAGCTCCGCCTTCCGGGTTCATGCCATTCTCCTGCCTCAGCCTCCCGAGTAGCTAGGACTACAGGCACCTGCCACCACGCCCGGCTAATTTTTTGTATTTTTAGTAGAGACGGGGTTTCACCGTGTTAGCCAGGATGATCTCGATGATCTGACCTTGGGATCCGCCCGCTTCGGCCTCCCAAAATGCTGGGATTACAGGCGTGAGCCACCATGCCCGGCCGACGTGGAGTCTCACTCTTGCTCAAGCTGGAGTGCAGTGGCACAATCTTGGTTCACTGCAACCTCTGCTTCCCAGATTCAAGTGATCCTCCTGCCTCAGCCTCCCTAGTAGCTGGGATTAAGGCACGTGCCACCATGCCTGTAAAGCCCCCTTTCAAGTAAAATGGTGCAGAGCCCCCCTGTCCACATGGGTCCTGGGAGCCTTCTCAGAGGCCAGGTTCCTCAGGGTATGGACATCAAGACCACCAAAGCTGGAAGTGTCCTTCCAACACGGACACTGAGGCCCAGCTGGCCTGAGGACAGTTCTTTTCTTTTCATGTCTGGCTGATCATCTGGATTACTTCTTTTTATGCCCTGCCCTGTTCCAAAAAGGAATTACGGCAATGGGGATTTCATATGATCTGTTACAAGTTCTCTCTGCCTCCTGCAGGTGCTGTCCCATCAACACGGAATATGTGTGGCCCCTCTGGTTGGCATGCATCCCCCGACAGCTGTCTGTGTGTGCATGATTCATAACTCGGCTTCATTCCGTGCTTCCCAGCTTCCCACGCTAACAGTAGTGGTGGCTGAGTAATTGGAGTTTCCTTCTGGAACCCAGGGAAAGTCGAATGAGTTCCATGCCCCTGTTAGACAAAGTGGCTCCTGGGGTGGGAGTGGGGGTGATGATCCGGGTGGGTGTTCAGATGTCTCCAATTACAGCTGAGTGATATCCGAGAAGAAAAATCTCTGCCGGGCCAGGCGTGGTGGCTCACGTCTGTAATCCCAGCACTTTGGGAGGCCGAGGTAGGTGGATCACTTGAGGTCAGGAGTTTGAGACCATCCTGGCCAACATGGTGAAACCCCATCTCTACTAAAAATACAAAAATTAGTCGGGCATGGTGGTGCACACCTGTAGTCCCAGCTAGTTGAGGGGCTGAGGCAGGAGATTGCTTGAATCTGGGAGGTGGAGGTTGCAGTGAGCCGAGATCACGCCACTGCACTCCAGCCTGGGTGACAGTGAGACTCTATCTCAAAACAAACAAACAAACAAACAAACAAACAAACAAAAACTCTCTGCTGGCATCGCTTCCAACCCAAACACCCAGAACGCAGGAGGGGATGATACAGTGGCGTGAAGAACTCAGCTGTGGTGGAAAATGCCCCTCGGCTCCCACGCCCTAAGGAGTGCTCTGGGAGGGGTAAGGGGAGTTTGGGCAGATGTGGAGTGGTCTTGGATGAGGTCGTGGCTGACATTTTGGATTTCGATGTTTTGTTAAAGCTTATTTGACTTACTAACATAGTATAGAACCTGCCGTGGAATCGGAGTGTGGGGTCTGATATGCTTGGAATCCTGGTGGAGTGTTCGAGGTGGATTCTGCAAGTCGTGGCAATCTCCCTGCTTTCCTGGTTTTTATTTTCATCCTTTCTACTCATTTTCAATACCCTTTCCACTTCCGGAAACAACCTATGGCATCTTCTCTTTTATAAATGGAAACAAGATGAAATGTAATATGATTTTTTTTTTTGCATTCTGTGATGCCCATTGAGGTAATACAAGAAACTTAGATGTTGCAAACCTGGGCTGTGAATCTCTGATGTGGAGCTACTTTTAGAATTTGTTTTTGTTTTGTTTTGTTTTGTTTTTTAGCTCAATTAAAATGCCTTCTCTAGCTTCGTTTCAGATCTTGTTCTCTTTTCTTCCTTCTCCTGCCTCCTCTTCCCTTCTTTCTGTTGCAAAATATGAGCATGTTTCCTAACTGCTAAGAGGCCTTCTTGGAACCTTTGTTCCAGGCAGTGGAGATAGAGCACCGTTGTAAGATTACAGGCAGTTTCTGTTTTTACTGTTGATACCTGGAAAATTGTCATGAAGTGCACCAAATGTTTCCAGCACCATGTTGTCATCATTGGAAACGAATGAGGGATTTGACTTCTACTGAACCTTAAATCAGACAAACAAATGTCTGTCCAAACTCTGGCAGGCACCTCAGGGGCCAGAGGGCTTGAATGCCCTCTGCAGTGTTGTGGATGTGTCTGAGCACCAGATACTGGGCAATTTCCTACCATTTGTTCAGTCAAATATTTACTGAGCTCTTTTTTTTTTTTTTTTCTTTAAGAGATGGGATCTTGCTCTGTCATCCAGGCTGGAGTGTAGTGGTGCAATCTCGGCTCACTGCAGCCTCGAACTCCTGGGCTCAAGCAGTCCTCCCACCTCAGCCTCTTGAGTAGCTGGGACTACAGGCGCGTGCCACCATGCTTGGCTAACTTTTCGTAGCTTTTGTAGAGACAAGGTCTCACTTTTTTGCCCAAGGCTGGTTTTGAATTCCTGGCCTCCCAAAGTTCTGGGACTATAGGTGTGAGCCACTGTGCTTGGTCTGTTGAGCTCTTATAACTTGAGGCATCCCCTTCCAGTCACCTTGGAGATAGTTCTGTCTCCCAGAATGGCTCCTTATAAACCCACCCCATTCCAAAATGGAAATCTGAATCCAAATACTGTTGAAAAAAATGTAATCTTTTCCCAAATGGTATTTAATATGTTTGTTAATTAGTTGAAGAGATATGAATCATGTTAATCTTCTGGTGTATCTCCTTCTAGTCTTTTATTTCCTCCTACACTACATGTGCAAGATTAGTCTATCATAATTTATTTAAGCAATCTTCTGTGAATGCATTCTTGTCATTGCTGGTGATTTCCTATTATAAATAATCATATTTCTTTTTGAGCCAGCAGTTCTGTATAATTCTGTAGTGACCCCATTACAATCTTTCTTTTCTGGAAGATACTTGGTGAATTATAAAACAAAGCAGACATTGACAGAAGTTGAATAGGAATGGGGTTAATAACTGTTGTTTACAATACTTCATGAATATTCATAATTATGTTATATTCCAATTATTTTTGTTCAAGAGATATCATGCCTTAATAATAATAGTTAACACTAATTTACCATTTACTATGTGACAGTACTATGCTAAATGCATTCTGTAGATTTTTACCATTCGGTCTTAACTAAAACCTGGTGAGATAGTATCATCATGGTTCCCCTTTAAAGAGATAAGGGGGAAGCTATAGCTTAGAGAGTTTAAATGCTTGGACAGAGTGACATAAAGAGTAAGTGATAGAAGCAGCATTTAAGAGTTTTATCTGTGTTAAGAGCCCTAATTGTTAGTTTGTAATACTATATTACTTCTGACAGATGCTTTGCTGAAATCGTAATGTACTATGTTCCCCATACTTCCAATATCTACTTGTATACTAATCTTATTACAAAAGAAAATCAGGCTAGCTAATATGTCTAACTCTTGACAATTCTCTTAATTTTTTATTTTTTCAATGAGATGAGTGGTAAAGCTATAACGGGAGTCCTAAGTTAAAGTCTCAGCTCTTGAGCTAATTAGTGGGACAAGTTACTTTTTTGTTCCTCTGTACTACTATGTGTATATTGTGGGCAGTAATACCTTTATTAATGAGCTGTGATCTAAATTAAATACAATGGTAAGTATGAAAGTGCCAGTACAATTTCTGACCTTTAATAGGTGCTCAGTAGTAGTAGTTTCGTTTATTTACTTGAATTTCACTTGGGATAGAATATCTCTGGTTAGTACAATTTCCTTTTAAAATTAGAATTGTATGTTTCTTCTAGCTTCTGTCTAGTTCACAATGACCCTTCAATGATTACCCACAGAGAATGTAATTTTATCATCTTCATGTTCTCAGGTTCTATGAACTTGAAAATAAGACAGTAATAATTATCTAATCTGAAGAAGAGAGAAAAAGATTTAAAAAATAAACAGAGCCTCAGGGACCTATGGATAATATCAGAATGTTTAATATATGTGTAGGAGAGATGGAAAAAAAATTTGAAAAAATGATGGCCAGATGTTCCCTCAGTTTGGCAGAAGACATAAATTTCCAGGCTCAAGAAGTTCAGCAAACTCCAAGCCAGATGAATATGATGAAAATACATCTAGGCATATTATAGTCCAACTGCTGCAGACCAAAGATTAAAAAAAAAAACAAGTACTGAAAGTAATCTGAGGAAAACAGCATTTCATGCAGTGAGGAACAATGATTTGAATGTCTGTGGACTTTTTCTCAGAAATTATTAAAGCCAGAAGAGAGTGGAACAATATTTTTAGAGGGCTCAAGGAAGATAAACTTGTCAACCCAGAATTCCATATCCAACAAAATGTTTCAATAATGATGGCAAAATACATGTCCAGGTAAAAGAACACTAAGATAATGTGTCATAGTGCAGGTCTGCTGGAAGGAAATGCCAAAGGAAGTTTCAAAAGGTGAAAGGAAAAACACTAGAGGGAAACTTGAGTCTTTAGGAAGGAATGCTCTCTGGACAAATATCTGGGTAAATTTAAAATACTCCCCCAACACACATATATCTACCTAAAGCAAAATTGTAGCATCATCTTACATAGTCTTACATTCATTGGTAGAATACATATGACAACTCTAGCAAAAAGGAACAACAAAGGGGTGGTAAATGGACCTATAAGATTGTAACATTTCTGCATTTGATCTGACATGGTACAATATTAATGCTAAGTTGATATAAAAGGTAAGGATGTACATTGTAATCCCTAGGATAACCACTAAACACATAAGGCAAAAGATACAGTTCAAAAGCCAATAGATAAAATGCCATTCTAAAAAAAAAATCTAAAAGAAGTCAGGAAAAGAGGACTAGAAACACACACAAAAAAAAGAGAGAAAAAAATAAAAATTAACCAAATGGTTTAACTCAATTCAACCTTATCAATATTTACATTAAATGATAATAGACTAAGCCCTGTTATTAAAAGGCAGAAAATGTTAGAATGGATTTTTTAAAAAGCAAGACCTGAGTATATGTTCTCTTCAAGACACACTTCAATTATAAAGACACAGGTTAGAAGTAAAAGGATAGGAAATTATATACCACATTAACAGCCTAAGGAGGTTGGAGTGACTTTTTAAGCAGCAGACAAAATTCACTTTAAGACAAAGAAGTACAAAAGATGGGGAGGGATATTTCACAGTGACAATAGGGGTAATTCATAGAGAACAGATAACAACTCATGGATGTGTATTTACCTAATAACAGAGCTTTAAAGTATATGATGCAAAAATGGACAGAATAAAAGAAATAGAGAAGTCCACCGTCATAGTTGGAGATTTCAGCAATGCTCTCTTAGCCCATGATGGAACAGCTAACCAAAAATCATGAAAAACATAGATAATCTGGATAACACTCTCAACCACTTTCACCTTCCTGATACCTAATACTTCCAGAACACTATACCTTGCCAAACTCACCTTGTTTCAAGTGTGCTTGGTATGTTCACCAAGGTAGACTATGTGCTGGGTCATAAAACAAGTCTCCAAAAGCCTAAAGTGATTGAAATCACAGAGTATATTCCCTGTCCACCATGGAATTAAATTAGAAATCAATAACAAAAATGGATCTAGGAAACCCACAAGTATTTAGAAAGTAAACAGCACACATCTAAATAGTCCATTGGTCAAGCAAGAAATCACAAGGGAAAGTACGAACTGTTTTGAAACTGCATAAGACCTACGTAGAGAAACCATGATCATGGTTTGGAAGAGTTAGTACTGGTAAAATGCCAGTTTGCTGTAAGTTGATGTACGAATTTGGTACAAGCTCAATCAAAATCACGGCAGGTATTTTTGTGGAAATGTATACGAAAATGTCACAGGATCCTTAGAGTATTGCTTTTCCAGCCAGAAACCTCTGTGGCTGGTGGTACCTTTGCCTGAGTTTTGTTCGGGCCTGCTGGGCTCATTCAGCCCTGGCAGGCTGCACTTGGCTCGCACTCTCAGCCTGGATCCCATGCCTGCCACGGGTGAGCCAGGCGCACACTGGCGAGGGGTTGTGAACGAGCAAGCTTGGGGTCTGGCCACTGTGCACAGGCAGGCCAGTGCACAGTGGCTGCTGCGGTGGGGCAGGCAGCTCCATGCCCTGGCACGGGTGCTGCCTCCGTGCAAGGCTGAGGCTAGATCAGATGTACCACAAGTGGCTTCTGCTGCAGGCACCAGCACCTAGACAAGGGGAATGTGGTGGCATCCAGAAACTTGGAGACACCAGGAACTGCAGAGCCCCAAAGAGGGTGTCACAGCCCTGGCTTGGGGAGCCCCTAGGTCTGGCTCCCCGAAGAGCTGCCTCTCTTCTCTCCTCATCACCTGCAACATGGCGAGCAGGGGGACGTTGCCCCTGTTTGTGTTACAGCTCTCTTAGTTCCACCATTGGGCAGGTCCCAAGTTCTTGTCCTGCATCCAGGAAGAAGGAGGTATGTGGACAATTGGAGGGCGAGCAAGGCAGAGAGAAGCTTCATTGAGTGGCAGAACAGCTCTCAGGAGACTTGAAGTGGGTAGCTCCTTCCTGCAGGCAGATCGTCCCGATGAGTGTCCAGCTCTTAGTGGACAGGAGACCTGTAGTGTGTAGCTCCTTTCCGCAGACATGTTATCCCAACATCTGTCTGGCTCTCAGCGAAGAGGAGACCCATGGTGGGTAGCTCCTTTCTGCAGACAGGTTGTCCCGACATGTGTCCAGCTCTCAGCGGGGTCTTCCAGAGGAGAGTGTGAGTGGCTGAATCTGGGGTTTTTATGTTGTCACAATGGAGGAAGTGTGTGCTGACTGGTCCTTGGGTGTCCCTGGCTGGTCCTGGAAAAAGCACCATCCGAATGGCCAAACAGTTGTCAATGAAATTCTCACTCCAGGCCGTGGACCTCACCTGGAACTGGCAGCCTGGAGCCCAGGCTTCAGGCTTGAAGGTGTGGTTTCACCAGGAACTGGCTTCTTCCTGCTTAGGAGCCTGTCTGCCTCCCGCTGCCATCAACATGCTGTCCGTGGTGCCCAGCTGTCTATGCTGAGGGGCACCCACAGGCCTGTACAAAGTCACGCTTAGTCCTCTGGTCTCCCTCCTGCGTTCATTGGTGACCAAAGTCTAGAGGGGGCTGAAGCACCAGTCGGGGAGGGGAGTGCTGGCTACTCTGCATATGTGCACACCTGGCTGGGTCATGACAGCACCCGCGCTTGGCTACAACTTTGCACTGAAGTGGGTGCCGGGAGCGGGGAGAGGCCAGGGAGTGCGAGTAGGCACTTCCAAGCCTGCAGGGACCGGGGGTGCTTCCTGGACCCCCGAGAGTGCAGGGATGCCTGGGTCCAGAGCCGTGGCTGGGTGGCCGCAGCTGCACCTGGGAGCATGGGGCTCCTGCCCAGCCGACTTGGTAGGGGGCAGGGCTCCCGCCCATTCCTGGCCTGTGTTAGCTCCATGGAGTGCAGCAGCCCTGGCCACACCTCCCCCATTGCAGCTGGTGTCCCCACAGTGGCTGCTCCAGATGGGCCACCACGTCCTCACTAATTCTAACATGTACATAGAAATGCAAAAGTTCTATAATGGAGAAAGTAATTTAGAACAAAGTTGGTGGAGAAGTCATACTACTTAACTTTAAGACTTACTATAAAATGACAATAATCAAAGCTATATGGTACTGGCATTAACAAGAAAATAGAACAATAGAGCAGAATACCCTGGAAATAGATCTGCACCTTATTGGCTTTTTAATTTATTTATTTTATTTTATTTTATTTTATTTTATTTTTTTGAGACGGAGTCTCGCTCTGTCGCTCAGGCTGGAGTGCAGTGGCGCGATCTCGGCTCACTGCAAGCTCCACCTCCTGGGTTCATGCCATTCTCCTGCCTCAGCCTCCCGAGTAGCTGAGACTACAGGCGCCCACCACAACACCTGGCTAATTTTTTGTATTTTTAGTAGAGACGGGGTTTCACTGTGTTAGGGCCTTTGATTTTTGAGACAGGTGTTAAAGCAATCCGATGGGGAAAGAAATGTGTTTTCAAGAAGTGGTGATACAGTAAGTAGATATGTGCTCCATATAGGAAAAGAAGGGAATCTTGTGCTGTACTTCACCTCATACAGGAAAATTGATTTGAGATGAATCATAGACCTTAATACAGAAGTGAAAAATCGTAAAGTTTTAAAGGAAAACAATATCTTCATGACTTGCGACTAAGAAGAAATTTCTTAAACTGATGACAGAAAGCAATAACTATAAAAGAAAAATGATGTTAGACTTCATTTAAAAATTCTAGCCAGGTGCAGTGGTTCATTCCTGTAATCTCAGCATTTTGAGAGGTCAAGGCAGGAGGATAGCTTGATCCTAGGAGTTTGAGACCAGCCTGGGCAACATAGTGAAACTCCATCTCTACAAAATATTTTTAAAATTAGCTGGATGTGGTGGCACATGCCTGTGGTCCCAGTTGCCCAGGAGGCCTGAACCTAAAAGGTCAGGGCTGCAGTGAGATATGATTGCACCACTGCACTTCAGGCTGGATGACAGAGTGACACCCTGTCTCTAAAAAGAAAAATTCTGCTCATCAAGAGGTACTGATGAGGAAATGAATAGATAAGTCACACACTGGGAGTTAATATTTGCAAAACATATGTCTGACAAAGGACTCGTATCTGACATATACAAAGAACTTCTACAACTCAGTAATAAAATGACAAATACTCCAATTTAAAAATGGGCAAAAGATTTGAACAACACTTCACAAATTAAGAATGCCAGCAATGGCTGGGTGTGGTGGCTCACGCTTGTGATCCCAGCACTTTGGGAGGCTGAGGCAGGCGGATCACAAGGTCAAGAGATCGAGACCATCCTGGCCAACATGGTGAAACCCTGTCTCTACTAAAAATACAAAAATTAGCTTGGTGTGGTGGTACACGCCTGTAGTCCCAGCTACTGGGGAGGCTGAGGCAGGAGAATCGCTTCAACCCGGGAGGTGGAGGTTGCAGTGAGTCGAGATTGTGCCACTGTACTCCAGCCTGGCGACAGAGCGAGACTCTGTCTCAAACAAACAAAAAAAAAGAAGAATGCCAGCAGTATAATAAGTGTAATAATCCTTAACAATATCTGTTTTCAGGAAAATGCAGATTAAAAGCACAGTGAGATACCACTGCATATCCCCCAGATCAGCTGAAAATGAAAAGACTGACACACCAAATATTGGTGAAGTTGTAGAGGAACTGCAATTTCTGAACATCGTTGGTGGGAATATAAAATGATACGACCATTTTGAAAAAAAATAGTGGAGCAATTTTTAAATAAAAGCACACATATGCCTACCCTGTAACCCCATCCCTAGATATTTACCCAAGATAAACAAAAATACATGTCTATGCAGACTTGTAGGTCGTATTCATAGAAGCTTATTTGTAATTGCCAAAACCTGGAAGCAACCTAGATGTCCACTGACAGATGAATGGATAAACTGTAGCATATTTATACAAAGGTACACTACTTAGCAATAAAAAGGAATGAGCTTGCACGAATCTCAAAAACATTATGCAGAGTGAAAGAAACATCCCATGAACAAGTACATAGTGTGCTATTCCATTTTATGAAATTGAAGAACAGACACATCTAATCTATGGTGGGAGAAAATTAGAAGAATGGTTGTTTCTGGGATTGGCGGTGGTGTACACATTTGTCAAAACCCAGCAGATCTTAGCATATCAAGGTAGGCCAATTTTACATAAAAACTAAAATATTGAACTCTAGTTAATGGTATGCAGCTGAAGTTTTTTTTTTTTTTTTGAGACAGAGGCTCGCTCTGTCACCCAGGCTGGAGTGCACTGGTGCGATCTCGGCTCACTGCAAACTCCGCCTCCCGAGTAGCTGGGACTACAGGCGCCCGCCACCACGCCTGGCTAATTTTTTTGTATTTTTAGTAGAGACGGGGTTTCACCATGTTAGCCAGGATGGTCTCTATCTCCTGACCTTGTGATCCGCCCGCCTCAGCCTCCCAAAGTGCTAGGATTACAGGTGTGAGCCACCGCGCCCAGCCCAGCTGAAGTATTAAAGGGTATATCTGCAATTTACATTGAAAGGCATAAAGCAAGAAGATGAATTAATGGCTGGATGCATAGGTTGATATGTACTAAAGCAAGTATAAGAAAATGTTAATGGTAGGTGGTCCTCTACATCTTCACCAATATTTGGTGTGGTCAGTCTTTTACTTTCAACTGGTCTGGTGGGTGTGCAGTTGTATCTCACTGTGCTTTCAATCTGCATTTTCCTGAAAACAGATATTGTTGAGGATGATTATACTTATTGTACCTATTACACTGCTGGCATTCTTAATTTGTGAAATGTTGTTCAAATCTTTTGCCCATTTTGAAGTTGGGGTACTTGTCATTTTATTATTGAGTTGTAGAAGTTCTTTGTATATCTCAGATACCAGTCCTTTTTCAGATATATGTTTTGCGAATATTAACTCCCAGTATGTGACTTGTCTAGGTGGTGGGTATGTGGATGTTCATGCTAAATTCCAACCTTGTGGTAAAGTGTCAATATTTTTATAATGGGGGCAAATAACTGTGGACAGTTTTTTCAAGTGCTATGGTATAATAAAAATCAGTGTAAATTGATGGAAATTGTATTTTCGTAGCGTTTTTGGTAGCCCTTGTTGCATGGATGTGTCATGGTAGCCTGATAAAGGGCCGTCTGTGGTGGTGCCTGTGTCCCTTTGTTTTCCTTCCTTGTCTCCTTTCTTTTATTTAAATGTGTGCAATTTTCTCTCCTTCCTTGAACAAAATAGCTCAAATTATATAAAAAGTATAAAGTTAAAAGTGAAGTGTTACTTTTGGTAACTTGCTGAATTATTTACTTCTTTAGGTATTGGGGTACTCTAAGTACCAAAATTTAAAACAAAAATCACAGTCTGTATTCTCGTTTTCTGAAATCCCAGTGGTCTAATTTCTCTTTATTTATGCCCCTAGTGAAAATATTTTAAAAATCTAAATTTGTATGCACATAAAGTTTTCATTTCTCACACCTCATATCATGCAGCCTGCTGTCATGGCCTTTCCAAGTGTGTGCGGAATACGAGGCTCCCTGCTGGGCACACGGCCGGTCTCAGGGTTGCTGTAAAATGTTCTACCTCGTGTTAAAAAGAAAAGATATAATTAGCAGCGTTTGCATTATTGAAAATACTCTCATTAATGTATATTCTGATGTAATTTTACTCTATAATTGCTCAAAAGAGCCTCTCTAAGGCTCCAGTTGAAGGTGGAGTGGGGGGCCAGGGCTGGGGTGTAGGTGCTAAATTTTCCTCCTTCTTAGATGCCATTTTCCAAACCCTTCTGCCCAGGTCTTTTAAAACAGTTGGACCAGACCTGTGGGAGTTAGGAACATTTTCTTCTCTTAGTATTTGAATTTTAGCCTTGATATCTCTAGCTCATGATTTTATTGAAAATTCTCACTGCTAACTAGTCCTTAAGATATTTTTCCTCATGTGATGTTTTGTCATGAAGCCCCCTTTTAAGACTTCCAGTTACTTTAAGGGAAACTTGTAACTATGATTCCGAAACAATCACTTCTCACTGGAAAGCTGAGATGAAAATCCTCATATCTGCAAAGGTAGCAAATTTATCAATAACCGTTGGAGGATGACATAGGTAGAAATATAGGTCTATTTATTGATAACCTAGTTTTAAAATTAATAATTATATGGGAAGATACTTTAAGAAATGGTGGGGGAAATATGCTCATATAAGTGAAAATCATGCAAGTAATAACTAAGAAAAATAAGGAATTAATAGCTAATAATCATGAGAGTGACTGTTAAGACCGTATCAGGCCTGCTAAGGAGAACTTAGGTGTATTCTCTTTTCTTCCTCCCCCCACCCCTTCATGGTAATAAGCCTGTGGTGTCAATGAGGTTCCCGGGGAGATGCAGTGGTCCAGACGCAGCTTCTCAGAGGGGTAGCTGGGTGTGTGTCCAGGTCACTGGTGGCCAGAGGCTGCACTCCTAATAGCAGTACTGGGGCGAGACACAAAAGCAACCAGGTTTCGCTGCTGACAGTCCTTCAGAGTCAATTTCTGAAGTCTCTTAAATGAAAAACATGCATGCTTTGGTGTGGAATTAATTTTAAAATCGTGGCAAACAACTTCTCAGATTCTTTGCAATTCAAAGGTGCTATAACTAGGGTTCACGGGTTTTATTTTAAAGGTGGTTTTCTCCTGTTCATATTCCTGTTCCCACTCCTAAAGGATTCCAAAGCAGGAATCTAGGGTTTTCCCAGAAGTTAAAGTTCCCCTATTGTTCATAAAATGATTCTAGGTGGAAGACCTCTGTTCTTTCTCTTTAAGTAGGGGGGTTGGATTTGTTCTGTGAGTCTGTGATTTTAACCCAGATGTTATAAACACAAGATTAAGGACATCAATACACTTAAGATGGAGGATTAACAAAATAAGGATATGGTATCTAGAAGAAAATTTATTTTAGGGTGGATAATTTAATTGTACTAAGCAAGTCTGGTAAAGATGAGAATGATCAAAAGTAGAATTTTTTTGTTCTCCGTGTATCATGAAATTTCTTAAGCATGTCTGTGTTCTCACAGTGCTTTTTAATAAGCAAAGGGCATTTTGAAAGTATGAAATGCAGTTTGCATGGGTAATCCTTAGGAAAGAAATGAGGTTTGAAAATGAAAATCTCTTTTCTGGTAGATGCTGAGATGGGGAAAGAAACTCATCTAAAATTAAACATCGTTTGGGCTGGGCACGGTGGCTCACGCCTGTAACCCCAGCACTTTGGGAGGCCGAGGTGGGCGGATCACGAGGTCAGGAGATCGAGATCATCCTGGCTAACACGGTGAAACCCTGTCTCTACGAAAAATACAAAAGATTAGAAGATTAGCCGGGCGTGGTGGCGGGCGCCTGTAGTCCCAGCTACTCCGGAGGCTGAGGCGGGAGAATGGCGTGAACCTGGAAGGCGGAGCTTGCAGTGAGCCGAGATCGCACCACTGCACTCCAGCCTGGGTGACAGAGCGAGACTCTGTCTCAAAATAAATAAATAAATAAATAAATAAATAAATAAATAAATAAATTAAACATCTTTTGCTTAATGCATGGACTCAGGTCATTGAAAAAAAGTTGCAGTTGTTTCCTTAGGGCCTTCCAGCTGAGACTTGAATGCGAGGAGTCGTATCTCAGACACAACCTGTGCGGTGCCTCAGTTTTTCATTGGAAGAAACTGTCCCTTGGAGAGAGGGAGGTTGTACTATACCTGATGGCTGGCAGGGGACAGAGCCTTCACTTCGTCTCCTGGAGCCTGTGCTGTCTCCCAGACTAGGGTGGATGGACTTCTCCCAGGTTCCGGAGACCCTGAGATGGGGACAACTGCCCACACTCACATGGTAGCCTGGTGGAAGAATGCTTGTACGGTACAACGCTCCGTGGGGACAAAGTCGTCGTGCCAGCCAATTGTTTTTTCCCCTTTCCAGAGTGTGAGTGCCAGACAATGTTCTCATGACGCCTTTTTTTTTTATGACTATTTTTATTTTGGTCATCATTTTCTTTATATTTTATGGAAAGATATATTGACTGGAATCACTTAGAATCCAAATGCCACCTCAATGAAAAACTTAGAGGAAAAAATAGAATTGGTCATTAAAATTGTTACGTTCTATAGATTATCAGCTTTCAATTGTATGAGTAATACATGGATATATTTTCTGTTCATATATTTAAAAGTGAAATCTAAAGTTTTCCCTAATCCCATCTGTCTTGTTTTGCCTGTGCCCTTCCTTTCTCTCATTCCCACCTCTATAATCACTGTCAGGAGATTGATCTGCTTTTTCAAGTCTTTTTGATATGGTGTTAATATAGAAGGGGTCTTACTGTTTTTCTTTTTCTTTCTTTCTTTCTTTCCTTCCTTCCTTCCTTCTCTCTTTCTTTCTTTCTTTCTCTTTCTCTTTCTCTCTCTTTTTTCCCTTCCCTTCCCTTTTCCCTTCCTTTTTCCCCTCCCTTTTCCCTTCCCTTTTTTCCTTTCTTTCGTGATGGGGTCTTGCTCTGTGGCCCAGGCTGGAATGCAGTGGTGTGATCTTGGCTCATTACAACCTCTGCCTCCCCATTCAAACGATTCTCCTGCCTCAGCCTCCAAGTAGCTGGGATTACAGGCGTGTGCCACCACACCTGGCTAATTTTTGTATTTTTAGTAGAGATGGGGTTTCACCATGTTGGCCAGGCTGATCTCGAACTCCTGACCTCAAGAGATCCTCCCAACCGTAAGAGATCCTCCCACCTTGGCCTCCAAAAGTATTGGGATTACAGGCGTGAGCCACCGCACCTGGTCATCTTACTGTATGTTTCTATGTTGGGATAAAAGATTAAGTTGCTATAGTAAGAGACTTGACAGTAATTTGGCTTTAAAAGAAGGGCATGTAGTTCTCCCTCATGTGACAGAACATAATAAGTAGTGTATGTAGGTCATTGGGCTGCAGTGTTCCATGCAGTCATTCAGAGACCCAGGCTGACAGGGGCTCTGCCGTCTTTAACATGTGACTTTCTAGGTCAGTCATCTGGTCATTGCTTTTCCACACAGCAGATAAGACAAAGGAGTGGAAATAGAGGGGTAGAGATTTTCTCTTAAACGTGTGAGGCTGGAGTGGTATGCTTCATTGGCAAGAACCTGGTCCTAGCCTGCCTAGCTGAAAGGAGGGGAGTCAGGGAGATGCACTTTGCAGCCAAAATTCTGTTGCCAAGAAGGGGAAAGTAGATTTGGTTGGATTTTGATCTGTGTTTGCTGCTGTGTTACTCTATAATTCAGCCATGTACTCTGGAGGTTTAGCTATGTTGTAGCCAATTGATCTATCTCATTCCTTTTTACTACTGTACATTATACCACAATAAGAGCATGCTACGCTTTGTTTAGCTGCTAGCTGTTTCCTTCCTAATGGATAGTTAGCTGATTTCTGTTGTTTTTCTCTGAGAACCAATGTTGCAACGCCCATCGAGGAACTCTGCCCCCCAGATATATGTACATGTGTGATGTTTCTCTTTTATGGGAACTGGGTCATCAAGCATGTGTCTTTAGTCTGGATAGCTATTGTTAAACTGCCTACAAACTGAGCAGATCTATTAATATCAGTTTACACTTGGGCCTTTGGGGTTTGAGAGGACCTTTTTCTCTGCAACCATCTGTGGGCTGATTTTTGCATTTTACTTGTGATAACAAGGGAGGGTAACTGCCCCCTTTCCATCATCCCCCAAAAGGGAAAAAATGAGCACTAGCATAAAAGTTCTTTGGAGAAATATTATCGGATAGATTCAGTAGAGCAGAACCTTTAAAAAAAAAAAAAAAAACTACTCAAATTCTTGGCTTGGTTTTATAGCCAGCATCATCTACTACTAATTTATTTCTACTTAGTTACCCAATTTAGCATCAATTTAAAATCTGTGGTTGAAGATGATAGTTAGAGATGAAACTGAATTATTTAAAGGAAATGAAAGTTACCTTTTGATTTAGCACCAGCTGACATGGAGCAAGATTGCTTTTGAGGACTTTATGATCGAAGGAATGTGATCCCTGTGTTTCCTCTGTGAATTTGCCCAGTCATGAAAATAGTCGTGTAAATGAAAGGGACTCCACCTTTCCTAGACTGGAGTGGGAGATGTAATGCACTCGCAACAGCTTATATCTAGTCAGATGCACGATTTTAAGTTTGAACTTGCAGAAATCCATCTCATTTTTACACCAGTCTTTTACGCCACATTGTACACTAACCTCACATAAAGTGTAATGACCGTCAAAATGGCTATTTCCCTAATTATAAGATAATATTCATAATCATGTCACATTTGTTGATGTTTCCTACCTAGTGTGTATCTTCAGTTTATGTCTTCAATTTCCTTTTTGAAAAAATAATGAATTCCTCCAAGTCTCAAGTTATTGGTTTAATTTCCAGCATTTCTGCCCTTCCCTTACCATTCCCTTCCCCCACCTCTGCCCCGAAACATACATGTATATTACTTTGGTGCTACTAACCAACTAATTTGGTCCAGATTGAAAGGTATAAAATGTATACAATTCACGCTCACAAAAGTAAGACAGCACATGTGAATTCAAGAAACTGTTAGTTATGAAGCTCTTTACCTTTCTGAAAGGAAAGTACTTTTAAGCTTCATTGAATGGATCTGTGAAAAAAGTTGAGTATTATTTTACAATAATTTTAGACTTTCATGACTGGAAATTAAATACAGCAGTTTTAAAGGCATATTTTACTTGAGCTTTTACAAGCTCAGGCCATGTTTTTATTAAAAAATCGGACTCAGCACCTTATATGGAGTACAATACCAGATGTGAGATATAAGAGAAATTGCTGGGGCCACCTGCTTACTGTGTATTAAAAACTTGTGTGGTAGCTGATGTTATATAAAGTATGTATGATAGGGAATAATTCTGAGTTATTAGACCATATCAGAATAGTAAGGGTCACTGGTGGTGGAATGTTCAGAATTTTCTATCACAGTTTACTATTCGTTTGGAACAACCAGGGTTGAAATGATGACCCTCTGCTTAAAAATAACAATAACAAAACGGTACAAAGACTGAAGAGGTTCTCTGGGTATGTTTAGGAGAGGCAGGAGCTGGGGAGGAGAAAGCCGAAGAGGGTCTGCTCCCTAATCTGATGGCTTTGTGTGGGGCAAGCCACAGAGTTCTAATTTATAGAGCTTTTCTCTGTTTTTCTGAAAAACACTTTATTGTTTGTTTTTATGCCATTTTCTAACATTTTTCATCTTTTTCCATCTTTGCTTCTTTCCTGCTTGCATCTCCTTTCTCGGGGTCCCCAGGAACAGAGCTTCTGTTTCAAGGTTTAACCGGAGTAGGAGACCCAGGAGTCTACAAACCTGCCTCAGAGCCATTCCTTTAAACTGGCGCGCATTCTGGGGCACATAAGTGGGGAGTGGTGGAGTTTTCAGACCCTTAGCCTCCACGTGGACTCTTGCCTGAGATTGATCCGCCCGAGCAGATGTCAGTGGTGGGGGTATCAGCCTGTTTTCTTCTCCCACCCACTGCCACGCACCCCACCCTGCCCCGCCCCACAACTGACTTTTCTCACCCATCCATAATCTTGCTATGGATGGAGCCTGTCTGAGACGGAGCAGCCTCTAGGGTGGCAGACAGGGCAACATGAAATATTGGTGTCAGAAAGCAAAAGACAAGATTTTAAAAAACACTTTTTAATGATAGATAAGGCATGATTTTTGACAAATATGTTGGAAGCAGTTTAAAGAATTGAGCAGCATTGCTATAATAAAACTCCTTTATTTCCCTGTACTTAGGTATATGGACAAGGTTTCTCAGTGTTAACATCTATAAAAAATGGAAAGTAGAAATAGAATTGATGTTAACCTTGTCTTATTCTAGCCATAAGTAATATTCATCTATAGAAAGGATAAAAAGGCCCATTCATCTTTTTAAAAGATGGATTTCCAATGGATTTCAAGTTATACATAATACTTTTATTAAAATTTAAAACATTTATATTTTGATCCATTCTGTACTATTGGTAATTGTAACTGAATCAATTCATAATATGAAAACTTAACACTTAGAGCTTAATGGTTACAGGAAATAAAAACTACAATTTTTTGATGTGTATTTTTATTGTAGATAAAACAGAGAAGTAAGACTTTTAAGCAGGATTAGGATGGAATTGGGGTGAAGTAGAATTTTCTTGAAGGAGGAAAGGGAATGCAAATTTTTGACTAAAGGAAATGTTTGTTCATGTACTTTTTTTTTTTTTTGAGACGTAGTCTTTGTTGCCCAGGCTGGAGTGCAGTGGCACAACCTCGGCTCACTGCAGCCTCCATCTCCCAGGTTCAAGTGATTCTCCTGCCTCAGCCTCCCAAGTAGCTGGAATTACAGGCACACGCCACCATGCCCAGCTAATTTTTGTATTTTTAGTAGAGACAAGGTTTCACCATGTTGGCCAGGCTGGTCTCAAACTCCTGACCTCAAGTGATCCGCCCGCCTCAGCCTCCCAAAGTGCTGGAATTACAGGCATGAGCCACGAAACCCAGCCTGTTCATGCACTTTAGATGATGGTGGATAACACATTTTTATGATAATTTGATTCCTTTGAACACACTTACAAGAGTGATATAATAGTTTCATTTAAATGTCAATATTGATCCCAAACCAGAAATTGCATCCTTTGCAACTGTCCTAGCTTAGACGGAAAACTTTTATGTGAACTTAAAAATATGCAGGGCTTTCATAGTTTTTTTTGTAATTCTACTAGGGGACATTTAAGCCAAAGGTTTGAAGCCCACTACTTTGTGGCAACATAGCTGAGTTCCAACACCACAGCATCAGAGCATTTCTTAACCTTGTGGTGAGTGGTTGAGATGAATTGTTGGGTCTTGAGCAGCGGAACTTTGCCAAGAAGAAATGATACAAAGAGAATCTTGAACAAGTTTAGGCATTTTGCAGTAATTTTCAGTTTTCATTACTATGCTGAAAAGATCTATCTGTATGATATCCAGAGATGTGGTTGCTGCAGTGAGGTCTTTAAGTGCAAATCTAATCACGTTCCTTCCTTTCTCAAAAACTCACAGGCTTTGCATTTCAGAACCTACAAAATCCCAACCCTGAGCATGGCAGGGAAGACTGACAAGCACTGGCCCCAGCCTCTCTTTCCAGCCTTGACCCTTTCTGTGACCCCGCCTGTGACCCTCATGCTTTCTGTTTTAGTTTCACTAAACACCTGCTATTTCCTGAAACTGGATCTTTGAATGTGCTGTTCCCATCCCTGATTATTCCCCACCCCCACATTTTCCATCTGATTCCTTCTCAGTGGATCGGCGATGGTCAGTTCTCTCTCCTCTGCAAGCCTTGCTGATGTCTCCAGGTGGAATCTCCCTGTTTAGAGCTTTTATGGTGCTATTTCTAAATCTCTGTGCATCATTCTATGCGACTGTTTTTATGTTTCTTCACTGACTCTGCACCCAGAAAGCAGGATTACTGTTTTACTTGTTCCATGTCATGCCTGGGAGAATAATGTGCACTCATATTTATGACTGAACATACATTTCTGTCTCATGGGATTTGGGGAATTTGTAGCAATTAAGAAATGGTGAAGCCAGGCTCAGTGGCGCGATGTAGTCCCAGCTATTCGGGAAGCTGAAGTGGGAGGATCGCTTGAGGCCTGAGCAACATAATGAGACCCCGTCGCTTTAAAAAAAAAAAAAAAAAGAGAGAAAGAGAAATGACAAGTGTTGAATTAGGGGCGTAACATGGCTTGGTGGAAAGAATAATCCAGAGACTTTGGGACTTCGGGGCTCACTTCTGCCATTGCTGAATTCCTTCCTTTTGGTGAGTCTCCAGGCCTTTCCTCTTCCTTCCCCTTCCAGGTCCAAGAGATGTGATGTAGGCTCTATAAGGCTCATCAGCCATGCGAGAGCAGCGATGGTGGCCCAGGCCCCGACTGTAGGAGCTGAAAGACAGGCGACCACACCACATTACAGGAGGGTGAGAGGAACGGATGCGGAGAGGTTCTGAACTTGTAGGTCAAAATGTGAAATTCGAAAGAATACCCAAAAAACCTAAGAAAATTTTGTAAAGGAAAATAGATTTATTATTAAGCACATGAAAAGATGCCCAACATCAGTAGCCATCAGGGAGATGCCAATCAAAACCACAATGAGATACCACCTCACACCTGGGGCTGTCAGAAAAAAGGCAGTAACAAGTATTCGCAAGGATGTGGAGACACTGGAACTCTTCCACACTGTTGATGGGAATGTAAAATGGGGCAGCTGCTTTGGAAAACAGGCAGCGCCTTGCAAGGTTAAATACAGAGTTAACCATGTGATACAGCAACTCTGCTCCTAGACACCTACCCAAGAGAGATGAAAACAGAGGTCCACACAAAAACTTGCATGTGGATATTCATGGCATCACGCTTCATGATAGCCAAAAGGTGGGAACAACCCAAATGTCCATCAGTGGATGAATGGATAAATAAAATGTCTAGTCATATGATGGAATATTATTGAGCCATAAAAAGGAATGCAGTACTGATGCATGCTGTACCATGGATGAACCTTGAAAACATTATGCTAAAATGAAAGAAGTCAGACACAGAAGAAGACCACATGTTGTGTGATTTCATTTATAGGAAATGCCTAGGATAGGCAAATCCATGGGGATAGTAAGTATAATAGATCAGTGGTTGCCAGGAGATTGGTTGAGGGGGGTGGAGGAGAGAGGAATGGGGAGTGGCTGCTAATGTGTGAGGGATTTCTTTTGGGGGTGATGAATCTGGAATTAGATAGTGGAAATGGTTATACAACTTTGTGAAAGTATCAAGACCGTTGAGTCTTATACTTTGAAAGGGTGGATTTATGGTATTTGAATTATGTCTCAGTAAAGCTATTATTTTTAAAAAGACAGATGGTACAGAAATTCTAAAGCTTACGTCAGAAGTGATGTAAGAGGGAGGTACTCTTTTAAAAGAAAGTATAAGCAAACGAACACAGTAACAGAAAACCAAATACTGTGTGTTCTCACTTACAAGTGGGAGCTAAATAATGAGAACCAATGAGCACAAAGAGGGGAACAATGGGCCCTGTGGCCTACTGGAGGGTAGAGGGTGAAAGGAGGGAGAGGATCAGGAAAAAATCTATTGGGTACTAGGCTTAGTACCTGGGTGACAAGATGGTCTGTACACCAAACCTCTGACACGAGTTTGCCTATATTAAACAAACCTGCACATGTACCCCTGAACCTAAAAGAAAAGTTTAAAAAGAAAAAAGAAAGTATAACAAACATCTTTTGGTGAAAGAGTATTTCCATATCTGGAAGCACCTGAGAGCTTGACGGACCACATAGGTAAACACCACAGGGACGTTACCTGGGCAAAGGGCAGTCTCTTGTGGTAGGGGAGGAAGGGGAGGGCTGTGGAGATTGTAGGGTCCAGAATTTTTCTCGTGGTTGCCTTCATTTGGGCTGTAGAGACACCGCCTGTGCTAAAAGGTAGGTTATATATGCTCTGTAATGAGAGGGACCACATTTCATTCCACTTGGTCATATCCTGTCTCCCAGCCCTTAGCACAGAACCTGGTCAGCATTCCATAAATGTCTGTTGAAATAAAATGAAGTAATTTTTCTGTCAACATAACCACCATTGGGAGAGGTGAAAAATTGAGAAAATGAATAGAATGTGTTTAACTTATTTTCACACTCATTTTATTGAAGCTCTCTGTAAAAATAAACCCAGGTGGACGGTAATTGATTGAGTGATAATTTCTAAGTAGCAAAGTGTTAAAGTAGATAAGTGCCTCCTACTGTGGAGAAACTGCCTGGCCAAAATCTGAACCGCTGAGGCGTTTATTTTAACACTGGGAAACATTTATTACCCTAAACTTGTTTCCATTCATACACAGCATCTATCATACCAGATGTGCCGTGTCTAAACTAGACATGGTTTAGAAAATGCAGTAATCCCTCTCTATCAGGTGAATTTCTAAGAGAAATAATTTTTCCTTTTTATTTATTGCTTTTTTTCTTCAGCCTCTCCTCCTTCCAAAATAAAATGAAAGTTGCAATTTAGCCTAATTCATTTGACTTACACAAAAATTAATATTAAATTACAGTGCATTTCAATTAAAAGTAATAATTAAAATTTGAACATCTCCAAATAAAACTTGAACTTGGGACCTTATTAACAATAAAACATCAGCAGCTTTCTCTGCATGTTGATCTGACCAGTCCTGGCCACTTTTAGTGGCTAGTTTGGGGAATTAGCCTGACTTCCTGGCGGGTGTGGCTTCCTGGAGGGGTGTGGCTTCCTGGAGGGGTGTGACTTCCTGGAGGGGGCATGGCTTTGGAGTCTGATCACCCTGGCTTGAGTCCCGCCCCGCCACTAACTAGCTGGCTGACCTTGGGGGAGGTTATGTGATCTGTCTCTGCTTAGTTTCCTCATTTGAAAAAAAGGAATAGTAATGCCTACTCAGAATAAGGTTGAAATCAAACACTATATTAGACACACCAAAGCAGGTGCTCAATTAAAAGTAACCCCTCCCACTGCAAAATGTACTATATATAGGGTTCGTGTGTGCACACATGCAGGGAACCCGAGCATTCTCATCCAGCTAATTCTGACCTAGAGCCTGCTGTAGAGTGGACTCTGCATGAATATTGATTGAGTAAATATGCGACCTGCAAGGAACAATTTCAGGATGGGGTCAGGGCCAGTGTGCCCTTAGGCAGCCAGGAGCCTCCAGTGGTGTAATTGATTATTGCGAAACCGTCTTCTTCCCCATCTCCTTGTCACTGTGCCTGAATGCCCACCTGAGCAGCATTGCTGCTGAAGGCTTCCCCACAAACATGTCTGGGAATGGTGGTTTGTGAAGCCCACCTTGGGACCACTTCTATTCCTTGTTGAAATCCTACAGTTTTATTTTAAACGAAATTCAAAAGGTTGAGGGATACTCCTGGGTTTGGAGTTGGATGCCCTTTAACCACAAGACAACTTGTATGAAAGTCACTGCTCTGTGCAGCAAGGCCACTCCAGCTGTGGGTTTGAGACAGACTTTTGAAACTAAAAGATGAAAATCTTCCATCTTCCTACCTCTGCAAAACTCAGTCCACTTACGCAAAAGAACAAGACTACAGTTGTCCTGCTCCCCTCTCCTCTTGTGGACCCTGTGGGGGTCCCAGTGGAGTTTGCAGAGTGGGGAGAGCTGAGGGTGCAAGGTCAGACTCAGAACAATGGATTCTTCAGCTTAGAAACCATTTGTGAGAAGCCAGGGAGGTTCTAGGAGAACCAAGTCAGGAAAGGAAGAATGCCAGGACAAAAGACAAAAAACTCCAAGCTGGCCAGGCATGGTGGCTCACGCCTGTAATCCCAGCACTTTGGGAGGCCAAGCGGGGCAGATCACGAGGTCAGGAGTTTGAGACCAGCCTGACCAACATGGTGAAACCCCGTCTCTACTAAAAATACAACAATTAGCTGGGCTTGGTGGCACACGCCTGTAATCCCAGCTACTCAGGAGGCTGAGGCAGGAGAATCGCTTGAACTCGGGAGGTGGAGGTTACAGTGAGCCAGGATCTCACCACTGCAATCCAGCCTGGGCGACAGAGTGAGACTCCATCTCAAAACAAAACAAAAAACAAAAAACTCCAAGCCAAACATTGGGTGACTTAGGGGCCTCAGAAGAGGTGTAGCCTGTAGATGACAAACCTGGTAGGAAGTCCTGCCCCAGTGGTTCCCAGCCTGTTGTAGATGTCCCAAGCCTGGGGAGGGGATGATGCACGAGGAGCATTTGGGAACTGGCTCACTCTGCAAATTTGGGTCATTTAGCCTCTGGTGCGTTGTGCATGGGCTTCCTCTTCACCTGGAAGGCACTTGCCCCGCACAGCTGCATGGCCTGCTCCCTGTCTCCTGCAGATGCCCAGAGGTCCTCATGGCAGGGCGGGCTCCCTCCCAGCCTGACAACAGCAGCCACCACCTCACTGCAGGCACCCTCCATCCACTATTCTTCAAGGCCTCCTCAGCCCTTGATGTACTGCGTTATTTAACATCTGTCTCTGTCTCTATCACTTAAACCTTACAAAGTCAGGAACTTTGCTCACTGCTGTATCCCTGGAACTTGGATGACACAGAGGCACGGTAAATATTTGTTGAGTGAGTGGATGCATTTCATAAACATATTCAGTGCTGTTTCAATCGTTTCCCCCCAATCTTCTGTTTTCTGTAAGACATTGATCTTTCCAACCTCAGTTTTATCAGTCATGGCATCTCTTGGAAACAAAGCTTGGTGGTGAGGACAGAGTCCCATCCTGAAATTTCAAGTAATGTTTAGCTAGCAACTCATTGTGGAATTATCTGTCTTTTAGAGATGTATCAAAAAGGACTCCAGATAAATGAGTGAATTAAATATTAAAATATGAATGAGGAGGAGAGGATAAAGTGGATATTTAGTCATGCTCTTGATGAGATAAGATTTCTTAAGTTTAAGGGCAGTGAAAGAAATTTTTTATAAAATCTTGATGACTTTAAATATCTAATGAAAATGTTTAAAATATAATAAAAAATAAACAAGATCCTGGCCAGGCGCAGTGGCTCACACCTGTAATCCCAGCACTTTGGGAGGTTGAGGCGGGTGGATCATTAGGTCAGGAGTTCAAGACCAGCCTGGCCAATATGGTGAAACCTTGTCTCTATTAAAAATACAAAAATTAGCCGGGTGTGGTGCCTCACGTCTGTAGTCCCAGCTACTCGGGAGGCTGAGGCAGGAGAATCACTTGAACCTGGGAGGGAGAGGTTGCATTGAGCCGAGATTGCACCACTGCACTTCAGCCTGGGTAACAGAGTGAGACTCCATCTCAAAAAACAACAACAACAAAAAACAAAAAACCAAGATCCTAAATTAAATGATGGCCAGCTAAAAACTGGGCTTTTATGGGGAAAACAGGATCACTCTGCTTTGTTGAGGGGAGCTTGGATGAAGCCACCAGAACTTGGGCCACTGAAATGCCATCCTAGGAGTGGGAGCTCTGAGCAGGAGCCCCAGCGAGGGCCCTGGAGGTTTGGGGTGGGTGAACAAAGGAGGATCGATGTGAGGACATTGGCATGACAGCTCATCTTCTTACCAAGCCTTGCTAAGACTGCTGGTATCATTGGTAACCTAGCTGGACTTCCTCCAGTAGTACACAAATGAAAGACCAAACAGCATGAATTCTTGTGAACCTCTTCGGAATAGGACTAGTGAGGAGAGTCTAGCAAGGAGACGGAGGTTCTCTGTATCTCTCCTACCCCACTCCTGCCTTCTGCCATTCCACCTACAGCTTTGGAATCGGATCGAACAAACAGAAAGGTTAAAGAAAGGGAAGAAGAAAGGATCTTGAGGGTTTGTTCATGTTCTCCTTTGGGAATATCGCTGAAGCAACTGACCTGGAACTGGAATGAATACCTGGTGTGGCTTGGGTTTTGAAACGGCAATGTTGAACAAGAGATAAGCAATCCTGATACGGGTTTTCAAACAGACCTCCATATTAGAGAAGACTTTTAAACATGTTGTTTGACCTATTTTGGTAGAGGCATTTATTGCTTTGCATGGCGCCATGTAAACTGAAATTTGTGCATATCAGAACAGTGTCCTCACTTTACACTGTTTGCAATGGACATGCGTGACTTTCAGTTAATGTGGGACCATGCAAAGTGAGAACTGCCTGCATTAGCAAATTACTAATTTAAGGTAATCAAAGTAAGATGCTGCCTGGAGAAATTACCTTGTATGTATGTCTGTGTGTGTGTGTGGTTTTACGTGCTAGTAAATCTTAGTTCCTTTGCTCTGGTTTTCTGATTTCAGAATACATTAGCTGTTTCATGCACTGGCTCATACCCGCCTCATAACTTGAGGTGAGGGAACTTGATCCCTAGATGTGGTTTTCTCTTAACTAGGTGATTATTGGTGGTGGGTGCTATTTGGACATTCATTTTTTTTTCCTTCCTTCTATTTTTCTTTTTGTTGCTGGGGGGACTGTGTTACCTTACCTGATGATATACTTCCTAGAACAGTTTATGTTTTTATGCTTTCTTAGTGTGTTAATTGGGTCTGGAGGGTTTCAAAGGACTACTATTGGCGGTGGTGTGTGTTATTTATGTCTTTTCGACCCATAGAAGCCGTGGTATTTATTTGCAATCTGAGATAGATTCTATTTTGGAAAGTCTCACCTATGTTCATTGCCATTTGTATGTCCTTTAAAATGAAAGCCTTCCGCAGTCTAAATAGCAGAAGTGTTCTGATACTTCATAGCTGTTTTAACCCTGTAGGGGTCCCACCTAGATGTTCTGGCCTACCTTTTTCCCCTCCAGTTCTCTTCCATGTGAGCAAGTCTGGAGTAGCGCTTTTCAACCAAATTTGACCAATACTTTAAAAAAGCTTTTTGAAATATAAACCACATCCCATACAATTCAACCACTTAAAGCATACAATTAATTCGGTGGTTTTTAAAATTATATTCTCACTTGTATGGTCATCACCACACTCAAATTTAGAACTTTTTAAAATCACCCCAAAAAGAAACCCTGTACCCATTAGCAGTCACTCCCCTTCCCCCTGCCCCCCACCCACCAGCCCTGGGTGTCACCATCTACTTTCTGTTTCTATGGATTTGCCTGTTCTGGACATTTCATAGCTATGGAATCATATAACATGCGGCCTTTCACCTCTGGCTTCTTTGATCTAGCATAATATTTTCAAGATTCACCCATGTTGTAGCATGTCCATATCTCTTTTTATAACAAATATTTTGGGCCAGGTGTGTGAGCTTACACCTGTAATCCCAGCACTTTGGGAAGCCAAGGAGGGCAGATCACTTGAGCTCAAGAGTTTGAGACCAGCCTGGGAAACACAGAAAAACCCCATCTCTACAAAAAAATACAAAAATTAGCCAGGTGTGGTGGCGTGCACCTGTGGTCCCAGCTACTTGGGAGACTGAGATGGGAGTATCGCCTGAGCCTGGGAGGCAGAGGTTGCAGTTAGCCATGATTGTGCCATTTCCAGCCTGGACAATAGAGCGAGATCCTGTCTACAAACAAACAAACATTTTGTACTGCCACCTTTAACCTTTTTTTTTTTTTTTTTTTTTTTTTTAGATGGAGTCTTGCTCTGTTGCCCAGGCTGGAGTGCAGTGGTGTGATCTCGGCTCACTGCAACCTCCATCTCCCTGGTTCAAGCAGTTCCCCTGCCTCAGCTTCCCGAGTAGCTGGGATTACAGGCACACATCATCAGGCCCAGCTAATTTTTTTTTTTTTTATTTTTAGTAGACACAGGGTTTCACCATGTTGACAAGACTGGTCTCGAACTCCTGACCTCAGGCAATCCACCCGCTTTGGCCTCCCAAAGTGCTGGGATTACAGGCGTGAGCCACCATGCGTGGCCAACTTCTTGAAGTTGGATTTATACATTATATAAACGATCTATACAGATAATTCTAAAAACCAATATAGAAATAAAAAGTTAAAGAAAATAATATGCATCGGAATATGTGCTCATATCTGACTGTTAAGAAGATGTGATGAAATAGACACATGCACCTATACAAAAAAAAAACATGAATATGATGGCTGCAAGGTCTTGGGCAGCCTGGACACTATGAATAGTGTAGCCTGAGATGATCTGGTCTCAGAGTGCGAAACAGATTGTGCTTGTATGGACTTTACCCAACTCCCCCTTGATTTACATGGTGGTCCTATCTTTGGAATATTTAGAGTTTAATACCGCTGTACAGAAAGTACTTGCTGTGTACCCGCAAAAATAGAATCAGATTCTCAAGTCAGATCATTGTGAACAAGTATTTCATCTAAATGTGTGTCCAGTGGAATATTAAAAATTTGTTTTAATAGTGGGAGAATCTTGTTGTCCAGGGCTGACCTTGTGTGTTGCAAGACATCGTGAATCCTTGGCCCCTCTGAGCACTACGTTCTGGTCATTATGACAACCAGAAAAATAGAGTTCTGAAATGTCCCCTAGGGGGCAGTCCTGCACCCACAGAGGACCTCGCTATGGGGTCCTTCCTGTGACCTCTGCTTCCTCAGTGCACTCAGTACTTAAGCTTTTCCCCACCTTGAACTGCTCAAATTATTAGTCCTACTCTCATAAACAGGAGGAAAACCAGCGCCTAAGAAGTCACTCCCCCTGCAGAGCTCCAAGGATCTGTACAGTCTGCACTTCCTTTTGATGCTTGTCTTACTGTTCCCTGTTAAAATGAGCTTTTTAAATGAGCATCACTCTAAGCGTCCTTCCCCGTGCCCCAGATGTGCCTGTCTCTGGTGGGAACCCCGGGAGCTTTTGTTCCTGTGGTAGAGTAATAGGGTGCCATTATAGCAGTGATTGTTCAGTGTTCTTAGTTGTGTACCCCTAAAATAATTTTGAAAATCTGTAAATCCCCTTACACGTGTTTAAGCTGACATCTAACAGTTCTCATCAAAAGCTTAATTGTAGGATGTGATTTTTAACATATGACAAATATTGACGTTCAAAGAGTCTCATGTCTTTCTAAAATTTATCCAATGAATTTAAATGCCATACCTATTTGATGCCTGCCATTATCCATTAAAAGTTATATGAGACTCTTTTTTAATAGTCAAAATTTCACATCGTTATTTTATATTTTTGAACTCATATTTCCATTCTTCCCCATAGAACAATATACTAATATAACCCATTTTTATGCTTGAAAAGTCTTTTATTAATCACTCCAGGATGCTTTTCTACAACAAAAACAAATGTTAATTCCATTTGGATGGAATTAATTTTTAAAAACAGCATTGCCACTCAGTTTTTTTGAAATGTTTACAAGTTATATGCCAAAAATTATATTGCACTCTCATCAGTAATTATTTTTATTGACTTAATAACTCAGTTAGGTCCTCCTTCAGTTTTGTTGAAAGCAAAGAACTGGAACCCACCTGATTTGTGAAAGAATCTGTTACTGGTTATTAGAGTTATTCACTTTATTAATATCTGAAGGATAGTTAAGAGACTTTACTGTGACTTACCAAATTGTTATCATTATACCTGTTAGTGCTTTAGTTAAAGACATTTAGTTTAATCTGCTGTACTTAAAACTATTTGAGAAAATTGAAATGGTTAATTTTAATACTACCTCATCAATACAATAACATACTTAAAAAAACTTGTATTTTATCCCATGTTTTAAACATACTGTTATAAAAACCTTGATCTGCACATTTTTTGCTGTCATCAGAATTTTGTATGACCTGTCTGTTGCCCCATGGAGGTTTTTACGCTTCCAGGATACTTCCTTCCATAGTTACACCCAGGGAGGGTGAGTGCTCTCCCTTTCTTTGTCACATGGGAGAAAGGCAGTTGTTTAAGGAGAGGTTTAAAGATAGAGCTTTGTGTGCCTGAACTCCAAGCTCGCTCCGAAATAACGTGTTTTAGGAAAGCACATATGGGAGAGTGAGGCTCTGTGGATTTTTTTGCCCTTAAGACCATTTGTACCTGTGTGCCCTCTTGGGAAGGTGTTTTACTGCAGTTTGAAGGTGGCTCTATTTTAGGACATTTTCAATCCTATTCATCATGAGAATCTCGAGGTGATAGTGTGCACTGAGTCATAGGAAGCCAAAACCCATGGCAAAAAGTTATACTTGCATTGAAAGATAGAGAATTTGTGTTTTTTCTTTTGGTTTCCCTCCTTCTCCTTCTTCTGTGCTGCTGTGTTCCAGAAATTACTGGAGGCAATTTATAAATCTGTCAGGTCCTGAATTAAAATTGGGAGGGGCAAAAGGAGAAGCTGCACCAGAGATGTGCACTGGCAGGGATGAGGAAGTGATGTCCTCAGCGGGGTCCTGTGTCTGAGGGATGGTTTCAGGCAGGTTGCATCTTTGCAGGAGGTACCTATTGTGCACTAGGACTTGGGGTGGGGTCCTCAAGGTCTTAGAATATGGCTTAACGATCAGGCTTTAGAGGCAGATGTACCAAGGATCTGGTCCTCTGATCCTTCTGGTACCCCTCTGAGAGGTGTGCTGGGCTCTGTGCTGGCCATGAAGTGTGAATGTGTTTTGGAGAAAGAACTCTGTTTCCTTACTGCTTTCATTTGGCATAGGAATTGTGAGAGCCCCTTGTCAGTGGGGCAGCAGCTGGCCTGGCACCAAGCAGCAGGACCTGGGGTGTTTGTTGGCTGCTGACCAGAATTGTCTGGGAAATCCAGCTGCCCTGTGCATGGACTTGAGGGCCCCTGGGAAGCTGGGTATGGTCCTCTCTGCCAGGAGAGAAAGCCTCTGGTCTTCCCGTGTTAGATAACCCAGAGGGGCTCCATGGTAATGTTCAGGTAATCCAGCTTATCTCATCAGTTAGGAATTTGTCTTTAGATTTACTAACAGCTGATGTAAAGAAGTCAACAAGTCACAGATTAAACTTAGAGAGACGCTTAGAAAAAAGTAGATGTATTCTGGAAGGTGAGACCAGACAGGAATTTCTTTGGGATCTTCATGAAAGAATTCCATGTGAGAACGAATGGCATCCTCAGAGCATCTCTGCAGCAGGAACAGTCATGGGTGCCACAGGGTGGCACTTTGACTTATAATCTGTCGTCTTAAAAAAATCTCTTTAAATTACTTAGACTTACTTAAATTTAAGCCTAGAGCACCCGGCATTCCTACATGGTCTCCCATGCAAGTACTAGCCAGGCCCAACCCCGCTTAGCGTCCGTGATCGGACAAGCAGGGTGCCTGCGGGCTCTTACGGCCATAGACTACTGTTTTTCTACCTTTTTCCTAATGTTTAAAAATATATGTTTCTGAAATGTGGAGGACTCTTAAGCTTTTTAAAATTTTTATTTTTTATTTTTGTGGGTACACAGTATGTGTATATTTTATGGGGTATATGGGATATTTTGATACAGACATGCAATGTGTAATAATCACCTCAGGGTAAATGGGGTGTCCATCACCTCAAGCATTTATCCTTTGTGTTACAAACAATCCAATTATATTCTTTTAGTTATTTAAAAATGTACAATTAAAATATTTTTTACTGTAGTCACCCTGTTGTGCTAGCAAATATTAGGTTTTTTCCATTCTTTCTAACTACTATTTTGTCCCCATTAACCATCCCCACCTACCTCCCTGCCCCCCACTACCCTTCCCAGCCTCTGATGACCATCCATCAACATGAGTTCAGTGTTTTAATTTTTAGCTCCCACACATAAATAAGGACATACAATGTTTGTCTTTCGATGTCTGGCTTATTTCACTGAGCATAATGACCTCCAGTTCCGTCCATGTTGTTGCAAATGACAATATCGCATTCTTTTTTGTGGCTGGATAGTGCTCCATTGTGTATCTGCAGCACGTTTTCTTTGTCCAGTCATCTGTTGATGGACGCTTAGGTTGCTCCCAGGTCTTGGCTACTGTGAATAGGCTGCAATAAACATGGGAGTGCAGATAGCTCTTCAGTATCCTGGTTTCCATTCTTTTGGGTATATGCCTAGGATTGGGATTGCTGGATTGTATGGTAGCTCTATTGAAATGTAGAAGGCTCTTAACCTAATATCTTTCTCTCTCATAACCTTTTTGTTTTTCCATGGAGGGAGGGGAGGTACAAAAAGCTTTTGCTGAGAGAAACCACAACCAGTTTTGGAGTACACAGTTCCTAACCCACCCTGCCCATCACCTGTGGCCGTAGGCTACAGCCCCTCAACAATGGCATATCCTCGCCTCACCCCTCCAGCAGGGGTAGTGTCCTCGAAGGCCTCTCCCTCTCTCCCTTTGCTTCCCTGGCTGGCTTGTAGACCCCGACTGGCCCAGGATAGGGGAGCTCCTCGCTGTAGATTGAGGGTGGAAGGGACACAGAAAATGTAGCATGAACATTTGAGGGCAAGAATTCAACCAGGACTCACATACCTGTTGACCAGTGTCACCCTGCTATTCCCTTGGACTCAGGACTTGTCCCCCGACCCCAGAATCTTAAGAGGTGGCTACGGTCCAAAACCCTCCCTGGGGACACCTCTCCCTTCGCCATTCCACAAGGAAGGGAACTGGGAGGAACAGGGGTCTCCGGACTCAAGGCGCTAAGGACAGGCATGCGTGTGTGGTCCATGCCCCGTCACCCTGCTGAATTGGGGCTGGCCTCTGGGAGGGGCTTCCCAAGACAACCCTGCAAGCCTGTGGAGCTTGGGGCTTGGGGGTGCAGGATAGAGAGCAGTCTCTCCGATTTTCTCAGACTCCCTGACCAGGTCAGGGGTTACCTAGTACCCAGTGTTCACCTTCCCTACAGCCTGCTGAATTCTAAAGAGGAAACCCCACACAGGGCCAGACAGGTGAGCTGCCCCGGAGTTGCCTCCCCATTCTCCTTTTTGCTCCCTCCATTCTCCGAGTCCCTTCTTTAGTAGAGAACATTTGTAGAGAACATATAGTTATTTAAAGTGTTGGCAATAATGTTAAGGTGCAAATCCAAGTCTGACTCACTTTTAATGTATTTATAGGAAAAAAATGTTAAGCCTTTGACAGGAAAGTGGCCACTGCCACACAGAATGTTTTCTGAAAAGTAATATCCAAAAGTTACTCACTTTCCTATTTTCTTCTCACCTCTGCTCTCTGCCTTCACCTCTGCCACCAGACCCATTTTAGGGAGGGGAGTTGGGCATGAAAAGAAGAAAGTTGAAAGGAACAAAATCAAGTATAAACCATGAGATAAGTACAAGGAGGCCAGGAGAGGAAGCAGAGGAGCTTTCTCATAGATAAGGCGTGCATCCATGCTGAGGCCCTTTTGCATCAAAGTGAGCTCATGCATCTTTTAATATCTGCCGGAAGCTAATAAGAGTTTGTCCAGTCAAGGTTCATGATTGCAAACAACAGAAATTGACCTGGGCCACTTAAGCAGAAAAGAAATGCACTGGAAGGATGAATGTTGGAGAGCTCTCAATGCCGAGGGGAAGGTCAGAGAATCAGGCTAGGAAAGCAAGCCAGAAGCCAAAGACAGGCAGAGCCGGATGCTGGCAGTTCAGTGGGGGCTGGGGTGGATACTGCCCGGTACTTGGCTGTGCCCTGACCACCCCTACCCCTGCCCCCAGCAGAAACTCTAGGCTGCCCTGGACATCTTTGCCACACTGGCTGGCATCCAGGCAAGCAAGTCTCCAGCCTCCGAGCCTTCCTTCCACCCAGATGCCCCCAGGGGCTCCTTTTCTACCCGCAGAAGGAGGTACCAGGGTCCCAGCAAAAAGCTGCCAGAGTCATTCTTTTCTGCTGGATCCTAATGAGATTATGATTACGTTGAATGGCTTTACAAAATAAACCAAATTCTATTTTTACCTTTTGATGCAAGTAAAATCTATATGTATATGCACATATATTTATGTGTAAGCTCTTTGTAGTCAGCCAGTTGGTGCACCATGATGGATGCATTGATTGCAGACAAAAAGGCCTTTTCCAGATATGTTTCTGAGAACCTGTGGCTCTCTAAGTGGGCCAAACTAGGCATGTAACAAACTTCTTTAGTTTAACATTTTCTGGGTCATTGTTAAAATAACATAGCTTAAATGGAATTTATTCACAGTGCTGTTATATCAATATATGCGTTATTATTTTAGGATTAGATTTCCATGTATAACAAGAATGTTGTTATTGTCTTCACAGGGGATTTTATTATTGCCATTCTAGAATGGACCTTTTATTTCTTCGCCATCTCCATTTTCTCCTTCATTAACTAAGAAGCAAATTAGACTTGCATTGAGCCGGTGTCTGCCAAATGTTATTTTTAGAAGCCTTCTCACCTCTTTCCCCATCCTTTGGGATTTCTTTTTTCTTTCCTTAAACTCTGTTTTGCCTTCTCAAATATTGCAATAAAAATCAGTACCATCCCAATATTAGTTCAATATGTAAAGCAGATTTTGTATTTGCTCTTAGGATAGGAAAGGCCTTTCTAAGCTTATAAATCCAAGGGAAAATGATAAAAGAAAAAGGCAGATTGATTGGTCTACAATAATAAAATTCTCTGCATTAAGCAGCACTATGAAACAGGTTACTAATGGAGGAAAAATAGTTGGAATATAATCATAAAAGTTTAATATTTTCAGTATACAAAAAGCTTTACAGTTGAGGCTGGGCGCGGTGGCTCAAGCCTGTAATCCCAGCACTTTGGAGGCTGAGGCAGGCAGATCGTTTGAGGTCAAGAGTTCAAGATCAGCCTGGCCAACATGGTAAAATCCCCTCTCTACTAAAATACAAAAATTAGCTGGGCGTGGTGGGGCGTGCCTGTAATCCCAGCTACTCCGGAGGCTGAGGCAGGAGAATTGCTTGAACTCGGGAGGCAGAGGTTGCAGTGAGCCGAGATTATGCCACTGCACTTCAGCCTGGGTGACAGAGCTAGACTCTGTTTCAAAAAAAAAAAAAAAACAACAATTATGTGGGCAAAGTTATGGAGAAAAGAGTACTCTCATACATTGTGCAGAATTAACACAATTTTTCTGGCATGTCTTGTATATCACATACCTTAAAATGTGCGTGTATTTTGACCCAACAATTCAGTTTGTAGGAATTTAACCCAAGTAGATGAAGTGATGCAAAGTTTTATATATGTGGATGTTCGTCGCTTTGCCATTTATAATACAGAAAAATAGAAGCTGTTCTTGGTGTTTAATAATGGGAGGTTAATTGTATATCCGTTTGATTAACTGTTGCACAGCATTTAAAAATTAGAAAAGCAGATCAGAAAACAATACCTATTGTATGACCCAATTTTGTTTTCGAAAAGTAAATAAACAAAAGGTTTCTGCATGCATTGAAAGAAGATGAGAGAATTTTGCCAGAATACATGAAAGGCAGTTCTCTTTGGGGAATAGAATTAGGGGAGAAATTTCCCCTTATCTCTGCAATTTTCTGAATTAAAAAAAATTCTTATATGTATTGCTGTTGTAAAACAGGAAGAAAACAATAAACCCTGTTGAAAGAAATAGAGTCACGTTTTTGGCATATCAGCAAGAAAATCCTCTTTCTGCTGTTTTTCTCTTTCTAGCTTAGTGATAGCCCAACTCTTTGGAGTTTTGACCCAAATGTTATTTTGGTTTTACAGTTTATCATATGCAACTTTAAATAAAAATTACTTTGGAGAACTTTTTTTAATTGACAGTACCTTAGATATCCATTACTTACCTTATATAAAATCCAGCAAACTGACTCTAACGTAGGATAGTAAATAAGTTGCTGGTATTACTGTCTAAGTGCTTATTCTGACTTTCTGTACTGATGCTGCTGGCACCATGAAATTCCTTTTCAATGATTCATAGAAACGAGTCTGTGCTAGAACTCAGATGATGTTGATTCTAGCGTGCTGCTATGACTGCTGGCTCTTATTTATTGATCAGTGTTTATACCAAATCCTGTGCTAAATACTTGATTTTTAAAAAAGGATTTATGCCCTCCAAGCCTTTATTTCAATGTCAAAAATGCCATCTCTCTCTTCTGAACGCCAGGTCGTCTTGCCCATCTCTCAGGTTTCTGTCTGAAGCTTTATAATAAATGATGGTAATTTGATTACAAAAGAGAAAGATACCATCATTTTATATTGTGGCTGTGGTGGCGTTTCTAACATCTCTATTTACAAAAGGAGAGATTTTAAAATTAGTTTAAGCTGGATGGCTGAAGCAGTGCAGCAAATGAATTAGATTTTTTGTGTTTTTGAAAAGGCTACAAAAATTGTGAGAGCTGTTCCTGGAATGGCCTTTTGAAAATCCCCTTGCATCCTGGAAGAAGGATGAGCGGATGGCTCTAAATCTGGTATTGTTGGACCAATCGAGCCAAGACGGGGTTTGTTGACAGGAATGTTGCTGAAGAACCACATGGAGTTGAGCTGTTTGCCTTCAGATTTAGCAGTTGTTTAGACAAGCAGGACTCTTTATTCTTGCTCAGACCTGAGTGAGCTGAGCCTCAAGGTTGAAAAGTAAAAAGGAGATGTAAGGGAAAAACAGTTCTTTCTCAACCTAGATTTCTGTGCGGTATATTGACTTTCCTTCAGAATTTTCTTTGTTCTGAAAACTATTTCTTCCCATTCTGCTGCCTCAAGGATTCTTCTTTTAGAATTTTTTTGTAGTTTCATTATCCACTCTTTGTTTCGCCAAAAACAAAGCAAATAATAACAACAACAATATCAACAACAGCACAAAAACTGGATATACCTCCCCCCGAAAATAAACAAATAGAAACATTCAGGGGAACTGCCCTGCCTGGTTGGAAACACCAGTCTAGGCCCCTTGGAAATGTCTTGGTGGAGGTCCCAAAGGTCTCAGGAGGACAGAGGACCTCGACATTTATTGAGTGCCTAATGTATAGGAACTTTAGGAAACCAACATTTATTGAGTGCCTACTGTGTATTTTCTTTAGGAAACCAACATTTATTGACTGCCGCTAGGTATCAACTTTAGGAAGCAACATTTATTATGTGCCTACTATGTACCAACTTTACAAAGCCAACATTTACTGAGTGCCCACCACACATCAACTTTAGGAAACTAAATTTATGGAGTGTCTACTATGTATCACTTTTAGGAAACCAACATTTATGGAGTACCTACTGTGTATCACCTTTAGGAACTCAACATTTATTGAGTACCTACTTTGTATCAACTTTTAGAGCTCTAGAAATGGCAATATTCCCATTTTATAGATGAGGAAACAGAGGCTTCGAGGTCACTCAGCTAAGAAGTGCAGAATTTGAATCTAGGTTTGCCCAACCTTGGTTTTTTTCTCTATATAAAGAGAGCAGTTGAGTGGTCTGGGCCACCAAGAAGAGGTGGCATAATATACTCCGGTGGCCATCACAGAGCTCATAGGAAGGAAGATAGGCCAGGCTTATTTCTTACTCTCCCAGAGGAGGCCATTTTGATGCCTGTGATACTTGGACTTTTTTTTACCTACTTAGCACAAGTAACGATTACACGTGCAGCTTTAAGAGAAATGACCTAGTAATGTTGAGCTGGACTGCTCTGCCTCTTTGCCGACCCTCAGTCTCTAAGTCCCGCTCCACCACTGGGGGCCAATTTTTGAGCAGCAAGTGGGCCTTAGACTTTGTAGCACTGGCCTGGAATTAACTGGGAGCGTGTCCCTGCTACTGCCTCTGACATGAATGAGCCTTGCATACCATGAGAATTTCAGTTTTACCTACTTAGAAGAGGGATAGTGCAGTTTGCCGTTGTATTTACGGTTCATGAAACTCATGATTTTCTAATAAAGGCTGGTGAAGGTGCCTAGGGTAGAAGCAGCAAATGCTCCCAGCAGTCCCATCCGTACAGCTGGGAGCACTGTTGTGTGCCGCGGCACGGAAGTTTCTGAAGGTGACACTTGCCCATGTTCATTATGGCTTAGAAAGGAAGCCCAGTATTCGGGATTCCTCACCTCCCTGGTAATATGGAACCCGCTTTGATCGGGGCCGAGTGGCCGGCTGTGAGCATGGGAGGGGAGGGAAGGAAAATGAGTCATCGTGAGGCAAAAGGTGTGCAGTGACTTCTTTGAACAGAAAGTTTTCTTCCATTTAAGAAGAATAACAATCAAAAATGGACAAAAGTTATTAAACCCATTTCCTGGGTTTAAAAAAAAATTGTGGTTGTAGAAAATGAAAGCATAAAAAATCAAGTCCATGTAAGCTTGAAAAGAAACCTGCAGTGGTGGATTTGCACATCGGCCTTAATTGGCCCAATTGACCTTCTCTGCTGTATTTACAATTGCCTTAAAATTGTAAGCAGATGTTTGAAACCCCGTCTTTAATAGGTCTCCAACATCTGTTTCACCACTGCTGCTGCCCACCAAAGCAGTTGTAATTAGGGAGCACCGAATGCATACATCTTTCCTTATGGACCCAATCGATCGGATTTCTCCCCACGGTATTAAAGTCGACCCTTATTCTTGCTTTTATTTGAATACATTTTCCAATATATTTTCTTACACAGGACAGTATCCAGCCAAGTACAAAAAAAAAAAAAAGATAGTCGTTCTCCATACTGAATTGTTAAGATCATGTCTGTATAAATCACTGACCGTGAGTGACAAAGATGTTCACACATACAAGCACAAAACCCTGAAAATAGTGAAAGCTTTTGTTCTTTCCTGTGGCCTGTGTATTCTAAACTAGGTGTTTCCTGCAGAAATGATCAAAGGTAAAATGTGGGCATCTTAGAAGGCGGGAGGAAGCATTATTTATTTATTTATTTATATTTTAATCAATAGACTTCACTTCTTAGAGCAGTTTAAGGTTAACAGAAAAATTGAACAGAGTATAGAGTTCCCATATACTCCCTCCCTGTCCTTCTGTCTCGCCCGCCGAATCCCCCTCCGTTTCCCCCTATTATTAACATCTTTCATTAGTGTGGTACATTTATTACAATTGACGAGCTTCTATTCATAAATTGTTGTTGAAGTCCATCAGTTCCACGATGGCTCATTCCTCGTGCTGCGGAGTTCTATGGGTGTTGCCAAATGTATAGTGATACGTATCCACCTTTACACTATTTTATAGTTTCTGTGCCCTAAACATTCCCTGTGCTGCACCGGAGAGAGGGAGCATTATTGACTGAAATATTCTCATATGAGCATGTGTTTACTTTGAGAAGAAACTATTTCTCATGCATAGTGATCCAAATAAGTAGTCATTTTGACATTTTATCTTTCAGAGACAGTGTCTTGCTCTGTCACACAGGCTAGAGTGCAGTGGTATGATCATGGCTCACTGCAGCCTCAATCTCCTGGGCTCTAGTGATCCTCCTGCCTCAGCCTTCCCAACAGCTGGTACTACAAGTGCATGCCACCAAACCCAGGTAATTTTTTAGAATATTTCATAGTGACGGGGTCTCTCTTTGTTGCCCAGGCTGGTCTTGAACTCCTGGGCTTGAAGCAGGCCTCCTACCTCTCGACCTCCTTAAGTGTTGGGATTACAGGCATGAGCCACTGCACTCAGCCTAGTTTGACATTTTAGAAGTGAATGTACAGAATTTCAGAAACTTTTGTTTTCCAGCATGCTTTATATTTTAAAATAACTTTGCGCACACTAGTAACTTTGAATTCACTAAGATTAGTAGGATATGATGTATGCCTAATTAGAAAATTCTGTACATTACTAGTGTTCATTTAAATTTTGTACAAATTATTCTTTTGTAGTTTCTTAAAAGATGTATCTTTAATATCTCAACAGATACTTCTTTTTCTTTCTTTGTTTCTTTTTTCGGGGGTGGGGTGGGCGGGGAGGACAGGGTCTCTCTCTGTCGCCCAGGCTAGAGTGCTGTGGCACGATCATGGCTCACTGGAGTCTCGACTTCCTGGGCTCATGTGATCGCCCTACCTCAGCCTCCCAAGTAGCTGGGACTACAGGGACATGCCACCACACCTGGCTAATTTTTTATTTTTTGTGGAGACAGGGTCTTGCCATGTTTCCCAGGCTGGTCTTGAACTCCTGGACTCAAGCTATCCTCCTACATTGGCCTTCCAAAGTGTTAGGATTGCAGATGTGAGCCACCATTCTTTCTAGTATCTTAACAGATATTTCTTTTAAATAACTTGCCTGAGGCAAGATGTGTTTAATTAAAAGAAGTTGGGTCCCATTTCAGCTTAGTATCCTGTGGCGTGTCTTTTACCTGAAGATTCCTTCCATACAGATGGCCACCAAAGTCTAGAAGATAAGACATGGCAGGAAGAACTGCTCAGTTTCAGACATGTGCAAAGCAACAGAGAGATGCCAGGCTTAGAAATGTAAAGAGATCATTGGTGAGAGAGGATGTTGCTCCCTGGCCCGGGGCCCCTCATCCTGCTGGTTAGGCTGACGTAGGTCTGCAGAATTTTTCAGGGCCTCAGAGTAGGGTGGTGTGGGCTACCCTGGATTCGTGGCCTTGAATTGTTTTATCAATAATAAAGATAGTTTTTTTGGTTGTTGTTTGTTTTTTTGAGACTGAGTCTTGCTCTGTTGCCCAGGGTGGAGTGCAGTGGCACAATCTTGGCTTACTGCAACCTCCACCTCCCGGGTTCAAGCAATTCTCGTGCCTCAGCCTCCCAAGTAGCTGGCATTACAGGCGTGCGTCACCACACCCAGCCAACTTCTTTTGTATTTTTAGTAGAAATGAGGTTTTGCATTGTTGGCCAGGCTGGTCTCGAACTCCTGGCCTCATGTGATCTGCCCACCTTGGCCTCCCGAAGTGCTGGGATTATAGGGATGAGCCACTGTGCCTGGCCAGAGAGTTTCTTAGAAGTTTTATTGAAGTATAATATGCCTCCAGAAAAGTGCACACATCCTGAGGGTGCAGCATTTGAATTTTTACGGCCTAAACTCTCTCACATGTAGCCAGATCAAGAAATGGGTTCCAGCAGTCAGAGGCACCTTCAGGTCCCTTCCCATCTGCATCCTCCCTTTGGGGAACACTGTCCTGATTTCTGACGCTATCTTAGTTTTGCCTGGTTTTATATTTTATACCGATGGAAACATACACCATGGCCTCTTGCATTCTGACTTGTCATCTGTGTTGTTGCTATAGTTTGTTCATTCTCATTGCCATAAAATACTTCTTTGGGTGAGTATCCCACAATTTGTTTATCTTCTACTATTAACGGGCATTTGGGTTGTTTCTGGTTTGGGGCTATTATGAATCATGCTGTTATGAACCATCTGATTCTTTTGGTGAACATATGTAAGCATTTTTGTTGAGTGTATACCCAGGAGTAGAATTGCTGGGTTGTGAGGTATGCATATGTCAGCCTTAGTGGGTCCTACCTAGCAGTTTTCCAATGAGCTGTGGATGACAGCTGAGGGTCATTAGACTTTCAGGAGTGACATTCGAATTCTCTGACTTGATGTCCCCGTGTTATCAATGACAAGCATTTCTGGGATGCCAGGCCTACCCTGTGGCTGCAGAACAGAGCCCAGCCAGTTGAGGAACATAGCTCACGTCTTAGTTGCCTGTGAAGCCAGGCGTTTGCCTACTGCTTTCACAAGATTAGTTCACAAGAATCGTACGTTGCATTATCCCCATTTTACAGATGAGAAGCCTGCCTGAAGATGATAGTGTTTTGCCCAAGATGATACTGTTTCCCAGCCTAGGATTTTGACTCCCGTGCTCTTAGCCACCACGTTGTGCAGCCCTAGCCCTTGCCATCTTCACACACAGATTGAATCCTCTTGCTTTCCACAAAAGTTGCGTTATGTGGCTTCTAGATCACGTGGCAGAGGCCATCGTCCTATCCTTTACACAGACCTCACATGACCATAGCATTTTACTCTTAGAGCAGTAATAATAAATAATGTACTCGTGGTTTGGGCTATTTATTATCGCATTTCATGAACTCTGGATCTTGACACACATTGTAAATTGTCTCTACTATTCGGACAGTGGTTTAGTTTTGTTTGTTTTGTTTGAAGACAGACAAATTCCCCGAAAAGCCAAAAGAATATCCTTGGTTAACATATTTGACCCATTAAAACTTAAATATAAGCCAATTCGGTTGAAATATTTTTAGCAAATTAAGAAATACCTTTAATTTATGGCTGTAAGATGGAAAAGAACTAAATGCTTCCAAAAGGTTTTTTCACGCCTAAGTCCCTGTCGTTTTAAAATTTAAGGTCATTTTAATTTTTTAATTGAGGTATAATTTATATACTATAAAATACCCACCCCAAACAGTTTCATCTTTATATTGTTGTCCCACCCCTCTTTGAAAAAACAAAAATCCTCATGGATTTTTCTTCCACTGAAGATTACAAATTTAATCTAAAAGCAATATTGTGGCCTGGTGCTGTGGCTCACACCTGTAATCCCAGCACTTTGGGAGGCCAAGGCAGGCAGATCACCTGAGGTCAAGAGTTCAAGACCAGCCTGGCCAACATGGTGAAACCCCATCTCTACTAAAAATATAAAAATTAGCCAGGCGTGGTGGTGGGCGCCTGTAATCCCAGCTATTCGGGAGGCTGAGGCGGCAGAATCTCTTGAACCTGGGAGGCGGAGGTTGAAGTGAGCCAAGATCACGCCATTGCACTCCAGCCTGGGCAACAAGAGCAAAAAACTCCATCTCAAAAAAATTAATTAATTGAAATAAAATAAAAGCAAAATTGTAATTTAGTCTCATCATATAGGAAGATTACTTTATAATCTTTATAATGACGATATGTCACTACTTAGTTTTAAAATATGGGAGACATTTATTATTTTTGTGGCTCATGATTTCACTATAAGAGGTCCAAAAATATTTCAAAGGAAACCATTACTATAAAATTTCTTCAGATGAATCCTTTTTTAGATACCTGAATATTTTTCCATAGAGGATATTTTTGGAGTCCCCATCAATAGTTATGAAGGCAGTACTTCAACACTAAAGGTAGACTGAATTATTATTTTAAAAAAATTTTTTTAAATATTCACCTACCTTTTCTAATGATAGGTTATTTTTGTATTTAGGAATAGTAATTTTTTTAAAGCCAAGTATAAATGTTAGGCAATATGGCTATTTCATGTAGTTCTATGATTATGTAAAAATTAGCAATAAAGCTTCTACTAGGATAAGTAAAGTTACAAGATGTTACAAGCTTCTCAAAGAAATCCACACATGCTTTTCCTGTTTGTGAGCTATTTAAGGTACATCCTTAACCTTTATTATGAGTGATGGAGCCATAGTGAAGATTAGTTTGTTTATGTTTTGAAGTTTTTCTTGCTCCTTGGAAAGCACTTCCAAAATTGTGCTAACAAATTACAAGTAGGCCATTTATAAGCTACATAACACTTTTGTTATTACGTCATCTTGGCCTCCAGCGAAATAAATGTTAACGTTAGAATTTGTCATTTAAGTTCACAGGCAGCATCATGTGGCTCTCTGGAGTTTTACTTGTGTTAATGTAGTTGGGTTGGAAAATGATCTTAGGGATCCATATTTGGGTTTGAAGGTTCTTCTGTCTGAAGACATTTTGGAATTTTCAGAAACATGTGTGTAGGATATTGCCAGTGAGCTGGACCATCTTCTTAAGAACTTTTTGACTGTTGGGATGTCTTCTGTGATGTGCCTGTTAATTTCTTTTGCCTGTATTTTGTGTGTTGGCTTTGAAGTTCTTCCTTCTGGCATATATCTGGTCCCCTCTCAGGTCATCTGCTGCTATCTGCTCTCCCTCAGTCCTTTCTTCCCTGGGCTACCACCTCTCCCGTCTCCCTTCTTTCAAGAATTACACTCCATCAGTGAGCAAAGCGTACTTATGTTTATATCTAGAAAGAAAAGCAAGTTCTTGCAAAAATAGTGAGTGGTTACAGTGTGTGTGAGACATTTCAGAGTCAGGCCTCTTCCCAGGCTACCTCCTAGCATGTGACTCCAAAGAAGATGGTCAGCAGTTTCAGATTCATTTCTGAAAGTGAGCCATTCACGTTGGACTGGATCCAGTATCCACTAAACCAACACGGAGAAGTGTGTCATTTTTTCATGAAGTGGACATGCTAATGCTGTCCATTGACCTCTCGTATTTTTCAGCCGTGTGTATTTGCACAGCAATTTCATATGTGAAGCAGTGCCTGTGTTTAATCCCATTTAATCTAATTGTAGAGAACAAATGCTTAGATTGCTCTAAAGACGGGAGGTTGGTCCCTGTTAACTGTTTAAGTGATGCTCCTTTGCTGCTCCAAAAATTAGAGTAATATATCTGTGTATCTGGAATGTACGTTTCTTGGTGCTGCTGTAACAAATTCCTGCAAACTGGCAGCTTAAAACAGCTGAAAATAATTCTCTGTCGGTTCTGGAGGCCACAAGTCTGAAATCAAGGTGTCAGCAGGGCCACACTCCCTCTGGAGGCTCCAGGGGAGGCCCCGTTCCTTGCCCCTTCCAGCTTCTTGTGGCTTTAGGCATTCCTTGGCTTGTGGCTATTTCACTGCAATCTCTACCCCCGTCTTCATGTGAACTCCTCTGTGTGTGTGTGTGTCTTCTCCTTTTCTGTCTCTCTCTTTTTTTTTTTTTTTCTTTTGAGACGGAGTCTCGCTCTGTCGCCCAGGCTGGAGTGCAGTGGCGTGATCTTGGCTCACTGCAAGCTCTGCCTCCCGGGTTCACGTCATTCTCCTGCCTCAGCCTCCCGAGTAGCTGCGACTGCAGGCACCCATCACCTCTCCCGGCTAATTTTTGTATTTTTAGTAGAGACAGAGTTTCACCGTGTTGGCCAGGATGGTCTCGATCTCCTGACCTTGTGATCTGCCCGCCTCGGCCTCCCAAAGTGCTGAGATTACAGGCATGAACCACTGCACCTGGCTAAGATTGTAATTTAATTCTATTCTATCTGCAAAGACCCTTTTTCCAAGTAAGTAAACATTTACAGAATGTGGGTACTAGGAGTTGGTTGTGGGGGTGTGTGTGTGTGTGTGTGTGTGTGTGTGTGATCATTCACCCCACTGCAGAAAGAAAGAAAACTCCCATTGTGACCAGCTACCTGGTGGCAGGAAGGGCAGAAGGGCAAGAGGGCAAGGGAATGTAAGTGTCTAGTTTCCTGGGAGGGTGGAGGCTGCGTCCCAGCGTTGGGCTCCAGGTGAGCTCAGAATGTCTTCCTCTGCTGCTTTGAAATCCAGTTGCTGCCTTGGTTACACTAGTCAACCAAAAATGGGATGAAATGACCTAAAAAAAATAGTTTCTAAATATTATCCGGCTTAAAAATTGGCCTGGATTTCCCTTTTACTTAAGAAAGAGGAAAGAAAAACTTGGGAAACTTATCAAGTGTATAAATGGTCATTACCTAAGGATTATTCAGATATTGGCTTCAGGAAACATATTTATTTTGTTTTCAATGTGTATTTTGTTGCCATTTCTTCCCCTCTCCGCTGTAAGAACTTGGTTAGCTGCAGAATGCATCAGAGTATCAACAGGGGCTGGGCTGGACCGAGCCCACCCAGGCAGGAGTGGCTTTCATTACTTGGCTTGATACAATGTTCATGATTGCAGCCGACTTGCAAATTTCCCTAAAATTCACTCATTTCTTCATGTTTGACCACTGTGCATCTTACTAATCCTTATTCTTCTATGGGCCAACCTTACTAAGAAAATAATTTTTTTAAGTATAATTATATTCCTGCTGCTAATTTTGTGAGTTTGATATTAAAGAGTTATAGATAATAGTACCCACTAGATAAGTTAACATTAATTCCCTCTTGATTAATAGTATTTTCACAAGGATTTATAATTCAGACACTTTCATTCTGTTTGGACTTTTTCCTACTTGACGTGGACATGGCCAAGATGAAGTTTTTTGTGTGCTGTATTTTTAAATGTCTAAAGTAGAAAGATGATGTGTAGTTGGGGATTTCGAGTTGCCTATTAGCAGAAGTTTCTATTTAAAAGGATCCCCACTTATTAAAACTTTACAGTATAGCATATAGTTTGTATAATGCTTCAGGTTTTCACAAAACTTTTATAAATAGCTTTCTGAACAATAAGCAGGTCAGGTCCCAATACCAAGAATGTCAAATGCCATGCAGTTTTTTATTTGTTTGTTTTGTTTTTTGAGACGGACTCTTGCTCTGTTGCCCAGGCTGGAGTGCAGTGGCACAATCTTGGCTCACTGCAACCTCCGCCTCCCAGGTTCAAGCGATTCTTCTGCCTCAGCCTCCAGAGTAGCTGGGATTACAGGCACATGCCACCACGCCTGGCTAATTTTTGTATTTTTGTAGACATGGGGTTTCACCATGTTGGCCAGGCTGGTCTTGAACTCATGACCTCAGGTGATCCACCTGCCTCAGTCTCCCAAAGTGCTGGATTACAGGCGTGAACCACCGTGCCCAGCCGCCGTGCAGTTTTTATATGTTTATTGACATTCAACAGGCAATTTTGGTCCAGTTCTGACTACATGAGAAAGAAGCTTAGATCATGCCTTGACACTTACCGCCTTAAAAAAAATTCCCTGATGAGCAGTGATGGTGAGCATTTTTTCATGTGTTTTTTGGCTGCATAAATGTCTTCTTTTGAGAAGTGTCTGTTCATGTCCTTTGCCCACTTTTTGATGGGGTTGTTTGTTTTTTTCTTGTAAATTTGTTTGAGTTCATTGTAGATTCTGGATATTAGCCCTTTGTCAGATGAGTAGGTTGCGAAAATTTTCTCCCATTTTGTGGGTTGCCTGTTCACTCTGATGGTAGTTTCTTTTGCTGTGCAGGGAATTGAACAATGAGAACACATGGACACAGGAAGGGAAACATCATACTCTGGGGACTGTTGTGGGGTGGGGGGAGGGGGGAGGGATAGCATTGGGAGATATACCTAATGCTAGATGACGAGTTAGTGGGTGCAGCGCACCAGCATGTCACATGTATACATATGTAACTAACCTGCACATTGTGCACATGTACCCTAAAACTTAAAGTATAATAAAAAAAAATTCCCTCAGGATTTTCACTGTCCTGGTAAGCAAATAATCATCCTGTTGCAGCCCCAGGGTAAGTGTAGCTCTTGCTCCTGTCTTGCAGTGGGAGAGGTGACTGTGGAAGGACATCGGCCCTTACCAGTATGGAGCTGTGTAAGTGGGGCCGTGTTCCAGAATAGTTTTGTCACAGTGACTAGGAGATTTTCTCGGGGGACTTTTGTGGGACTCTGCTACGAATACAAGCAAACCGTAATAAGAATGAAGGTTCGGACGTGGCACTGGGGATAGGAGTGGGGAGAGACCATGAGCAGATTTGCATGACATTCTTGGGTAAGGTGATGTGTTAGTTGTGGGCAGGGTGGTGGTGGGGTGTAGAAGGCCACTCTAAGCCAGGGGACTCCTGGTTTGATTTTAAAAATGGGAATCAGGTCTTTGTGGGTATTAAGAACACACAAAAGGGCCCATGGAAAGAGCATCACCTCTGACATGCCCGAAGGAATGTTCTCATGTCTAAAATTGTCTAGGTCCTCCTCATTGCTCACAAAACATGACATCTTCACAGAGGCTAATTAGACTACTCCATGGCATGCCTACTGGGGACAGCTGATCCAGGGTGTGTGGCAGCATCTTACTCCTGTGACAGCTGATTCTGCCCTGGATTGGGAGAGGTGCCCAGGGCCATAAACTCGGGAGAGCAGGGAGGCTGGGTGTGGCCTGCCTGGGCCAGTGAGAGTGGAGCTCCTCCCCAGAGTCTCACAGTGAGTAGGATACTACCCTGCAGCCCAGAGCTGCTGTCTGAACTATATTTGGATTTACAGGCTAGGGAGGGACAGAGTGATAAAATTACTGCTTCCAACTGTGATCTAGAGAAATTATGACTTCATAGTCCAGCTTTGACATATGCTCTGGATTTCATCTTACTGCTAATAAAATACATTTTAGTTGTCATTTGGCTTTAATCAAGTTTTTGACCCAAAAGGTGATAGTTATGATTATTGCTTTTGCCGCCTGATTTCTGTGGGGTTTGTATAGGCATATTCGTACTGAAAAGATCCTTGGCTCCATAAAACTCTTGACATAATGTGAAATTAAAATCTTTATGACTGTATTTAGGAAAGACTAAACCATCAGTGACTTTACTGATCATCTGAATCAGACGTCTTGGAATCCCCCATTTACTTTAAATCTTAGAAGCAGTTGCCTGCTCTGCTAGAAATGGCTCTTCCCCCAGCCTGTGGCTTTTGTCCGGCCAGGACATTGGGGAATGGGTGAGATGAGGCTGAAGACCCTCACCTGGGAATCTCGAGAATCTTCTGTTCTCGAGAAGGCTTCTAACAGGTGTCAGAGTGCTTAGCCTAACTCCTGACCCCCCACACTTCCTGCTGCTCATTGCTTTCTCCAAAGAAGTTATTCTCATCTTTCAGCCTAAAAATGTATTTTTGACCTCAGAATAGGATGCCTTAGAAGTGTCTGCTGGGGCCAGGTGTGGTGGCTCATGCCTGTAATCCCAGCACTATGGGAGGCCGAGGCAGGCGGATCACGAGGTCAAGAGATTGAGACCATCCTGGCCAACATGGTGAAACCCCATCTCTACTAAAAATACAAAAATTAGCTGGGCATGCTGGCATGTGCCTGTAGTCCCAGCTACACAGGAGGCTGAGGCAGGAGACTCGCTTGAACCCAGGAGGCAGAGGTTGCAGTGAGCCAAGATCGTGCCACTGCACTCCAGCCTGGCGACAGAGTGAGACTCCGTCTCAAAAAAAAAAGTGTTTGCTGGAAGAGTCTCTTCATACACAGCCTCAATCTGTGGGACCACTGAAAGCAGCCAGACAGTGTCAGGCTCGGCCACCCCTGGGCTCAGTCACTCTTGGGATTGGCCTCTCTGGCGCTTGGCCACTCGCCCACCTGGCTACTTTCAATGCTTGGCCCATCTTGGTCACACTTGGACATGCTCATGCTGGTGCTCAGTGACATTCCCTTTTCTCCCCTCATGCACACTCCCACAGACTCCCACACACTCACAAGGAGAAAAGAAGGAAGTTCACTTCCACATTTGGAATCTGGAACCTCATTACCTCAGTGTGTAGAACTTAGGTGAGTATAGTGACTCCCAGTATTCATGAAGAGCTGCAGTGTGTCAGGGGATAAATACAGCTATCCTTCAGTATCTGTGAGGGATTGGTTCCAGGACCCCGGCGTACGCCAAAGTCCGTGCGTACTCAAGTCTGGCAGTGAGCCCTGTGGAACCCTCGCCTAGGAAAAGTCAGCCCTCTGTACATTACAGGTTTTGCGTCCCACCAATACTATATTTTCAGTCTGCGTTTGGTTGGAAAAGAATCCACGTATAAGTGGACCCATGCAGTTCCAACCTGTGTCATTCACAGGTCCACTGTACTAAATTCTAGCAAATCCTCTTCAATCCGGGCAGTTGTGTAAAGGAGAATCATCTCTTCCCAAAACTCACGTCCATAGCTCGTGAGCAAATTTTGATCGCAGGAAATATTTTCAAGCTGCAGTTGTTCCAGTAGTCATTTTAGTTGGGAATCTTTGGCTCCTTTACCACTTGCTTATGTTTGAACTTCTTCATTTTATCTGATTTATCCCTCCCTGGTTTGACTGATGCCTTATCCTCTTCTGTTTATTTGAGGTATTTCCACAACTTATTCTGCCTTTACTGAATATTAAAATCTCCATACAGAGTCAGTGTCCAAATCAAATATATATATATATATATATAATTTTTTTTTAGACAGTCTCCAACTCTCTCCCTCAGGCTGGAGTGCAGTGGCATGATCTTGGCTCACTGCAACCTCCACCTCCCAGGTTCAAGCAATTCTCCTGCTTCAGCTTCCCGAGTAGCTGGGATTACAGGTGCATGCCACTACATCTGGCTTATTTTTGTATTTTTATTAGTGGCAGGGCTTCACCATGTTGGCCAGGCTGGTCTTGAACTCCTGACCTCAAGTGATCCACCCACCTTGGCCTCCCAAAGTGCTGAGATTACAGGTGTGAGCCATTGCACCCGGCCAATCCTAGCACTTTGGGAGGCCTAGGTAGGAGGATCACTTGAGCCCAGGAGTTCAAGAACCAGCCTGGGCAACAAAGTGAGACCTCATCTCTACTAAAATTAAAAAAAAAAAAATTTAGCTAGGCATGGTGGCATGTGCCTGTAGTCCCAGCAGGTTGGGAAGCTGAGCTGGGAGGATCACTTGAGCCTGGGAAGTCAAGGCTGCTATGGACTGATTGTGCCACTGTACACCAGCCTGGGTGACCTTGCCTAAAAAAAAAAAATGGTCTTCTATTTTTGGGTGCTGTGTGGCCTCTGTCTCATGGTATTCCCTTCCTTTGCCCTTCTAGAAGCTGGAAAATAAGGAACAAGCTCTTCATTCTCCTTAGTTGTCTAAGCAGTGGAACCAAAAGTGTGGTGCTAGAGAAGGCAGCTGTGCATCTGAGGCTCCTTACAACCCTTTGAAGGTTCAGGCTGTGATGAGGGCTGCCTTTGGAGGGAACATCCTTTTTTGTACCTACCTTCAAGGACACATTTTACTGACTCTTGAATTAGCATGATATTGCTAAATGAGAGAAAGTAATTCCAAGATCATGTTTTAAAGAAAACAGTGAACAAAGAGTTAGGGAATGGCCTCCCATGTCAGAGCTGAGGCTTTGCCTTGGACTAGCTGTGTGACTTTGGGCAAGTCACTTAACCTTTCTATGCCTTATTTTCCCTATCTGTAAAGTGAAGATACTGTGAGTGTCATTGTTGTGAGTATTAAATGAGCAATGGCTGTAAAGTGAACAGAACTGTGTCTGGCATGTGCTAATCTAGCCTAGACTGTGAGTGAGGTCGGGAAGCTGGAGCCCTCTTGTACTTTACTGTTTCATTGCTCACCAGCTCCCTTCCAACCCTTAACTGAGTCTCATGTTAAAGAGAAAAGCTTCAGAGTTGTGTGATCTATATTAGAATCTTCATCGAGATTCTCTGTGCTGTGTAATTTCACCTGCTGAGATTCTGGCTATGTGCATAGTCAGGGAAATCTTTGTCTTCCTTTTCTTTCCATCCTCTTCCTCCTCATCAGCCATCTCTTCTACCTTTTTGCCCTTTCGTTAGGTTATAACTTGGAGCACATACAGCCAGAGGACACTTGCCCAGTAATAGGACAGAGGAGAGGCGCCGAGGCATATCTAGCCGCAACCCACCCGGCTGGCCTTAAAGGACCAGGCCTTCAGTATCTAATTGAACCTAAATGCCAATTTATGTGCAAGAACACATCCTTCAGGGAACTGAAAGGATTTTTTTTCCCCTTCCACCGTGGTGATGGAAAGGCTGAAAATCTGAGCTGTGAAAGCTTAGCTGTGCCCTGTGTCCTGGGCTCCTTGTCTTGTGTCTAATCAATGATCTCGATGCTATTAGCTCAGGGCAGGTCATTAGGGAGCATTTCTAGCGAAATTGCTCAGAGCCAGTGATTTAGAACCAGTTCTGAAACTGAAATATAGGAAATTGTATTTAAAAAAAATTTTAAATATATTCCCTTCTACTCATAAAGGAGACCTAACCCTAAACCACTCCATACCTAAATAGAATATTTTGTTTCCAGATGACATAGCTGCTGTGATACAATAACTTTATTTTGATTGATTTATTGTTTTAGAGTTGGAGTCTTGCTCTGTTGCCCAGGCTGAAGTGCAGTGGCATGATCTTGGCTCACTGCAACCTCCACCTCCCAGGTTCAAGTGATTCTCCTACCTCAGCCTCCTGAGTAGCTGGGACTACAGGTGCATGCCACCACACCTGGCTAATGTTTTTTGTATTTTTAGTAGAGACAGGGTTTCACCATGTTGGCCAGGCTGGTCTCGAACTCCTGACCTGTAGTGATCTGCCCACCTCGCCCTCCCAAAGTGCTGAGATTACAGGTGTGAGCCACCATGCCGGCCCAGTAACTTTATTTCTATATTCTGAGACATGTAATTTATTTCCTTCCCTTTGGCTACCCTCAAAGATTTCTATGTCTTCCCACTTCCTTGAACACTTTCAAGAGAGCTTTAAAGAAACGTTTTGCATAACTTGTCATGTCCTTATTTAGCCATATGAGAGAGTTAATTGTAATCAGGAGAACCCTACATCTCTTATTTGATTTAATATCAGGAAACAATGTTAAAAAAAATAGATTGGAGCTTCTACTTGAATAAGGCCATGGGATCACGTGTTGAGTTTATCTTCTCCCCTTCTTAAAACCCTCCGAAAAGATTATACAAAACTAATAGTTAAACATCTACAACATCAAAGGAAATAAAGGTGGTTATCAGCAGATAAGATTTAAACCGAATTTGGGGAGATGAAAAGCAGGTGGAGGATGACAATGATGAAGCTGCCTTAGGGTGATTCCTCCCTTTAAAGAAATGGAATGGCTTTCTGGGGATAACTAGGGTAGATACCTCAGAGTAAAAGCCTCCTCATCCTGGATGTAGGGATCACCTGTGTCTACCCTTTTTTTTTTTTTTTTTTTTTTTTGAGAGAGGGTCTCACTCTGTTGCCCAGGCTGGAGTACAGTGGCATCATCATGGCTCACTGCAGCCTCAACTTCCAGGGGCTTGTCCAGAGTTGTTGAGACTACAGATGTGTGCCACCATGCCCTGCTAATTTTTTAAACTTTTTTTAGAGACAAGGTTTCGGGTTTCATCATGTTGCCCAGGCTGGTCTCGAACCCCTAGGCTCAAGCGATCAGCCCACCTCAGTCTCCCAAAATGCTGGGATTACAGGCATGAACCACCGCACCTGGCCCCTGTCTCCACTTTTACTAAAGTGAAACCTGTCTATTGACAAGCCCTATGTGCTACACAGAGCTCCCTGCTGCTAAGTCTGTAGCTACAGATACAGAGAAAGATATATTCTGACAAGAAACACGGGATCTCTGAGTCTAAGAACAAAGCACGCATTCCTCGCAGAGCTTTTTAATGCTCCCGTTACCACAGGACTGGATGGGAAAAGGCTGATGTTACTCTGTGTGTTATCTTGCGAGGGCTGCTGGGACAAAGTACCACAGCCTGGGGTAGCTTCAACAACAGACATTCATTTCTCCCAGCTCTGAAGGCCAGAAGTCCAGGATAAGGTGTCAGCAGGGCTGGCTCCTTCTGAGGCCGTGAGAGAGGCTCTGTTCCGGGCCCCTCTCTCTGGCTTGTAGAGGCTGTCGTCTCCCTGTGTGTTCCTGTCACCTCTCCTGTGTGTGTGTCTGTGTTCAAATGTCCTCTTCTTACAAGGACACGAGTCATACTGGATTAGGACCCACCTGAATTACCTCATGTTAACTTAATCGCCTCTGGAAAGACCCTGTCTCTAAATACAGTTCCATTTTGAGGTGCTGAGGTTGAGGACTTCAATATCTGAATTTTTAGGGGGACACAGTTCAGCCTCTAACCCTGTGCATGTGCAGCCGGGTTGTACTACAGGAGAGGGTCCCTAAACCATCAGACGTGAGCTCATATAGTGTAGCTGCGTGCCTGCCCCTCCTTCCCTCTGCGGGAGAGGGCCGGGGAGAGGGGCTGGCTTCACTCTGGAACTTAAGTAAGTCCTCTCTGGGAAGGGAATAGAGTGGGGAGATCTCTCAGGTTTTTTAGTATCTTGAAATAAAAGCAAATTACATGAGGGAGGAGACAGGGTCTTTTTTATTTTGATACTAGAAACATCTTCCATTGGATGGCACCGTGAACCCATTGAGAAGGAAATGTAATCCTAACAAACTAGGATTATAAATGTCTGCATAGTTACAAATATCTGTATAGTATATTAATATTCAGTAATATCTAGTAATATGACAATATTTATAGTAATACCTGTATATTATGCATTCTCTTGTAATAAGTATCATCTGTATAGTTAATACTGTAAATTATGTTTATATGTCATGACACACAAAATTGGAATGTGTCAACTTAATGAATCTGGAGACAAATCATGAAAGATAACAGTTGCTACTGAACAGAGTGTGAATGTTACTACATTTGACAAGGTAAAGGGTGACAGAGGTGGGCGGGGAAGCAGAGGAGGGGAAAGGGACTGAAAAGCTGAGTGTGGTTGTGCTTCTCATACAAACTGAGCAGCAAGACATACATCTCATAGGTAAAACAGTGAAGTACGCTATTTGGAGTTTCACAGGAATCCAGTAGAACTGACAACAGATGCGTAAGTGAGCAGGAGGAGAGATGGATGATGTGTGAGCTAGATCCTAACAGCAAGAATCCAAAGACAATGTGTAAAGTTGCCAAACCATGAAAACCAGTAAGGGGCCGTTGGAACCAGTTAAATAAAACAAGCTGCATTTCAGAAAGCATTTCTCCTGTTAGTTTAGGAACTTGGCTAGATCCCAAGGGACTTTTTAATCCTGCATTTTCCTTGATTAGTAGTAGCATAGTCTAATCATTGTGCATTTGTCTCCCATGGGTGGTTCAAAAATTTTAAAATGGATGTTTTATTTATTATTTTCTAGAAACTAGGTTTTGCAGCAATATTTTTATTGCATTTTATTTTCCAGTAAGTGAGATCAAAGTAGTGATCCTGAAAATTATGCTTATGGTGGACTTAAGTAAAAAGGATTTATGCAATCAAATTTACAGATTGTTTTTTTATTGATCACAACTTTTATGCTAGGGATCAATTTTAATCTACTTGGCATCTTTAATTGCTTATCCACTTAAAAAATTAACTCTGGTGAATGGAAGAACCCCTTCTAATGTGAATTGTTTTTGCTGTTAGTGAAAATATGGTATTATGTATCTATTGCAGTTAGAGGGAAAAGAAGAATTACTTCATAGGCTATTCTTCTTTTGGAAAAAAGGAAGAATAAAGGAAAAAAAGAGTTTTGTTCAGCACCTTATTAACGTTTCCAGGGTGTTGATCCTGCCGACTCCAGTGAAGTATAACCATTTATTCACTCATTCATTCATTCATTCATTCATTCATTCATTCATTCCACACACTTCTGAATGCCATCAGTGAACCAAGTACTGAACTCTAGAGTTATGAGACTAAATTTTTTTAAATAAATTATGGCCTATTAGCAAAGCTCAGCTCCCTTGTTGATATTCCCTATACTGGTTCCCTGCTGTTATTCAGTTACTTCTGAACCCGCTGAATCAGACCTGAACTTGCACACCCAACAACATTAAATATCCTTCTCCTGGTTCTCAGAACATGAAACAACTGTAGAAAAATACTCGCCACTGAGGCCAGGTATGGTGGCTCACACCTGTAATCCCAGCACTTTGGGGGGCCAAGGCAGGCAGATCACGAGGTCAGGAGATCAAGACCATCCTGGCTAACACGGTGAAACCCCATCTCTACTAAAGATACAAAAAATTAGCTGGGTGTGGTGGCGGGAGCCTGTAGTCCCAGCTACTTGGGAGGCTGAGGCAGGAGAATGGTGTGAACCCGGGAGGTGGAGCTTGCAGTGAGCCAAGATCACGCCACTGCACTCCAGCCTGGATGACCCAGTGAGACTCTGTCTCAAAAAAAAAAAAAAGAAAGAAAGAAAAAGAAAAATACTTACCACTGAGTTTGGGGGTACGAAAAGGATAGGGGGTATAATTTAAAGAAAATCCCTAAAGGTCACCAAGGTTTCTTCAATGAGCACACTCAAGTTGTAAGTGAGAAGTATTGCCCCCGGAGAACTGAGTTTCCTTCTGCTGTAGGAATTGTATGCCCATCTCTTTCAGCTCGGTGGTTATTTTATTGTTTTTGTTTTTTGTTGGTTTTTTTTTTTTTTTGAGATGGAGTCTCACCTTCTTGCCCAGGCTGGAGTGCAGTGGCGCGATCTTGGTTCACTGCAACCTCCACCTCCCAGGTTCAAGTGATTCTCCTGCCTCAGCCTCCCGAGTAGCTGGGATTACAGGCATCTGCCACCATGCCTGGCTAATTTTTTTTTTGTATTTTTAGTAGAGACGGGGTTTCACCATGTTGGCCAGGCTGGTCTTGAACTCCTGACCTCAGGTGATCCGCTCGCCTTGGCATCCCAAAGTGCTGGGATTACAAGTGTGAGCCACCGTGCCCGGCCTCAGCTCAGCAGTATTTTTGACTTAACAGCTGAGTATGCTCGCTGAAGAACATCTAATGGCCTTCAGTCCTTTTCTTTAACTTTACACTCCTCATCCTTTTTTACTCCCAAAACAGACTTCCAGTATAAGCTCCCCATGGATTCTTCAAGGCACCTCTATTTCCCAGCCTGCCAGCAAGCATCAGTGTTCTCCTGTGTCTATTGGGCCGCCTTAAGCATGCCATTATCCTGTGACCCTCCCCGCCACAGGTCTGTGTTATTAGACATCCTTGTAGCACCCTGCTATCCATGCATGTGACTCCTTTTTTTCTGCTCTTCTTTGTTTCTTTTGCCTATAATCAGGCTCAGACCATGTTTATACCTATTAAGCCAACACTGGATCCTCTGTCACCTCTGTTTCCCCTCTTTCTCTCTTTTGAATATTTGTTCTGTATTCACCATGTAAACTTTTACTGGGAGGCAGTATAGCAGAATGGAGTCCCAGTTCCGCTGTTAACTGTGTAAACTTGGACAAGCTTCCTCATTTGTAAAATGGGAGTCATGATATTACATATTTCATTTATGGCATTGTGGAAAGTTCATTAGCAGTGCATAGCGTGAATTGTAACTTCATATATACAGCCATTCTAGAAAATGTGGTACAGTAGAATGTTACTATTTACCCTGTGCTAGTTGGAGATGAGGGGGATATGTGGTGGGCCTTGTAGCAGTTCTAGGACATCTGAACAGAAAGGGATTTAATGCAGCTACTTTTTACCCTTTTGGAAAAAAGGAAGCATGAAGGCAAGAAAAGCAGAGTTTCGTTCAGCACCTTCTTTAACCCTTCCAGGGGGTTGATCCTGCCTGCTCCAGTGAAGCATAACGATCCATTCATTTGTCCATTCATTCCACAAACTTCTGAGTGCCATCAGTGTAGCGAGTACTGAACTCTGGAGATCCACGTATCTCACTGGGAGATCAGTATGAGGGCTGGAGGTGCTGACTCCAGACCAACTCCAGGAACAACTCCTAGAAAACAGCCACCGAAGTGGGCCACTGCTGAGGAAGGGGTGGGACTGGGGACCTGTATTTCAAATGTTGGCTTAAAAGAACTGAAATTCATCTAGGCTTGTTAGGAACTGTTTCACGAGTGTGCAGTGTAATACAAAATTGAGGATTTTGATAGATTTCCCATCTTTGTTACTCTTAACGTTAAAATCATAGTTCACAGAGTGAAGTTGGTGGGATTCTTTCATTTGTTTCTAATTAAAAAAAAAAAATAACTTCTTACTCTAATTCCTTGTACCCAGTGAAGAAACTCCCTCTGCCTTCCAGGTGGGTCTATTCCTTGGTTGTTGGGAGAGAGTGTCCCGCCCTTTACTGTCCCCACTCTATGGCTCCCCTGCCCTCTTAGGTGTTGGTTGGCAGAATGCCAGCCTTCTAGTCCCCTCTTCATTGTTTGAAGTCATATATCACCAGCAGGTGTCTTTTATCCGTGAAATTGTTCTAGTCTCTAACTTGCTGCTTATTGTCTAGAAGCTGTATCCCCAGAGTCATGCTGTGGCATTGCCGACGTCTGGAGATGGTGGAGATGCATATGTGGCCTGCAGGTGACATCAGGATCAGCCACCAGTGCTCTGCCTTACGCTAGCTCTGCCAGAGTCCTGGGGCGGGGGTGACCTGGGGATAAATCTCGAGCAAGGTTGGTAGAACCAGACCCACCTCCTGCATTTTAATGGAAACAAGAAGGCTAACTTACTTGGAAGATGAATGAAGTGTATTTTTTTAATCACGTAGAACAATATATATGTATATTTACGTGTACACACACACACATACACACACACACCAGAACCAAACCAGTCTCAAGAATAGGTTAACACAAAGACAATAATAATAACAATTATTATTATTTTAATTGAGATAGAGTCTCACTCTGTTGTCCAGGCTGGAGTGCAGTGGTGTGATCTTGACTTACTGCAGCTGTGACCTTCTAGGCTCAAGTGATCCTCCCGCCTCAGCCGCTCAAGTAGCCAGGACCAGAGACACATCCTACCACACCTGGATCAGTTTCGTATTTATTTTTTATAGAGACAGGACCTCTCACTATGTTGTCCAGGCTGGTTCCAAATTCCTGGCCTCAAGCAGTCCTCTTGCCTCAGTTTCCCAAAGTTCTAGGGTGTGATCCACTGCACCTGGCCTCATACTATAATTTCCTTAGTGGTCTCCCTGCTATTAGATATTGAGGTAATTTCTAATTCTTGTGATTCTGAAGCTACATTGAACATTTTTATGTCAAAGTCTTTCTTTCTTTCAAAAAGAAGTTTTAGGACAAACTCAAGAAACAAGGTCGCAAGTGAGTGACCATAAGCATGCCAATGACTGCCTGTAGATCATTACTGCCAGAGCACTTTCATGCACCAAATGTGAGCATGACCATTTGGCTGCCGTCTCTTCAGTGATGGGAAAAGGAGGGAAATGTGACTTCCTTTATTGTTTTGTGTTTCTTCCCTGGTTAGGAAAGTTGGCGTGTTCTTCATTTTGTTAATTATGTTAGTACCTCTCACCCAAGTTTTTCCTGTTGGTTCTAGTTCTCGTAAAATCCCTCTGTGGAGGAAGTCTGTACCGTGTATGGACAAAACAAAACCTAGAAAAAGCAGAAATTGCCTGAGATGCCAGAGATGGCATCAGAGTTTTGTTTGTTTGTTTGTTTTTTGCTTTAAGTTCTGGGATACATGTGCAGAATGTGCAGGTTAGGTAAATGTGTGTCATGGTGGTTTGCTGCACCTATTAATCCGTCACTTGGGTATTAAGCCCTACATGCATTAGCTGTTTGTTCTGATGCTCTCCCTCCCCTTTTCCCTTCTCTGACAGGCCCCAGTGTGTGTTATTCCCCTCCCTGTGTCCATGTGTTCTCATTGTTGAGCTCCTACTTGTGAGTGAGAACTTGTGGTGTTTGGTTTTCTCTTTCTGTGTTAGTTTGCTGAGGATGATGGTGTCCAGCTTCATCCATGTGCCTGCAAAGGACATGAACTCATTCCTTTTTATGGCCGCATAGTATTACATGGTGTATATATGCCACATTTTCTTTATCCAGTCTATCATTAATGGGCATTTGGATTGATTCCATGTCTTTGCCATTGTGAATAGTGGTGCAATAAACATATGTGTGCACTTTTTTTGTATTTTTAGTAGAGACAGGGTTTCACCATGTTGGCCAGGCTGGTCTCAAACTCCTGACCTCAGGTGATCCGCCTGCCTCGGCCTCCCAAAGTGCTGGGATTACAGGCGTGAGCCACCATGCCTGGCTTATTTTTGTACTAATTCTACTCATTGTCCTCTACTCTCCTTGTTGGTATTCCAGCAAACATGGCATCAGTGCTCTGTTTGGTTTCTCTTGGTGCTATATATAGGGTTAGATGCTCAGAGAACCTATGAGGACAACAAATTGTTTTTATCCTCCAAGAATGGGAGGGGGAAGTAGCTAAATAGGCCTGGTCCATGTAGCTCTAATGCAGAGAAATACTTATCTAGGTAATGCAAAATACAAAACCCAGTTGTGTCTAATTTACACAGGTGATACTGACACTGTACATCTGGTGGTAGTAAACTTATAAAATAAATTATATAGCACATGCCTTGCCCTGAAGCACATGTGTACACACACACACACACACACACACACACACACACACACCCTGCACGTTTGAAGCTGGTAAATGGGCTGTTGTTAGTCTCCTCGTAGACTAAGTTCACACATACACGTATTTGTGAATGCAGAGTACATGGAAGGATTCCTGAGTCGTCTTGCATCCTTGAAGGAGGTTAACAAGTTCGTGTTTCTAGTTTGCAAGGAATGATCACTTCATGCATAGTGAAGAGAGATTCGTATTATTTGTATTATTGAACTGACTGTTCCTTATAATGAAAGGCTAAGAGAGGGGTGTCCCAGGCAAGTGTAGAGAGGAAAGAAGATGGTGTGTCGGCAAACTGCGAGTAATTCCATATTTCACAGATGACTGTCACCTCTTAGACTATCCATTGATTCAGTAAATATTTGCCTGGTTCTCATTCTCTTCCAGGCATTGTGCATCATTATCCAAATAAGCAGGAAATGTACTTTTGATTGGGTTCAGCTTAATGTATTACTGTTTGATCAGTTCTAAAATACACATTTTAACACTTCTGAAATTGGGATGTATACTACCATCAGCGGGGTCTTAGATTCATTTAAAAAGGCTATTAGTCATTGTTGTATTTGGCGGTGCTTTAACACACACGAGAAGTCCAGGCTCACAGGTCAAGAAAACCCGAGTGGTTATGCCCTAATCAATATAACAGGTAATTTTAGTGAGTGATACATTTAAGTTTTACTTTGTTGTTTTTATTTCTTTTAACCCTACTCTGAATTAAATGCTGTATTTATTGGTAGGTTTTAAAAATTAGTTATCTTGCTTTAAAAATCACTGTCCTGCTCTAGCTAGATCTTGTCTTGTTCTTGTTCTTCCCTTTTCTGGGAATTTTTCCATGCATGGATAATTGGCCTGCATAACCATATTTTGAAATACTAGGAGAGGTAAAATTAATAGTTAGCATTAATAGTAATGATCCAGATACTACATTTCTGTCTGTCTCCATACATCCCTGAACAAGCTGTTGATTGATTTGAAAGGGCATATGTATATGTGCTGGTGCCCATCACATGTGCTAAGCCCATCATGAAAGAGCCGTGATTACTATCATTAAAAATAATGTAAATGAAAAATTATTCCAAAATAAAAGTTTATTTAAAAAACCCATCAGGTCAGATAAATATGCTTTATGAAGTCTGTGTGTCATCCATTAGATTAGAGGATTGATGCTTTTTTTTTCTTTTCCAAGACAGAGTCTTGCTCCGTCACCCAGGCTCCGTCACTGCGTCACACAGTGCTGCAATCTTGGCTCACTGCAACCTCTGCCTCCCGGGTTCAAGCAATTCTTCTGCCTCAGCCTCCCAAGTAGCTGGGATTACAGGTGCACGCCACCATGCCTGGCTAATTTTTGTATTTTTAGTAGAGACGGGGTTTTGCCATGTTGGCCAGGCTGGTTTCGAACTCCTGACCTCGTGATTCGCCTGCCTCAGCCTCCCAAAGTACTGGGATTACAGGTGTGAGCCACTGCACCTCGCCGAGGAGTGACCTTTTGTCACCTTATCTTACTTACAAGGAAGATATATCAGCAATAATTTAACTTACTTTTACAAGGCCTGACAATGGCTCATTAGCAGCTGTGGGAGGGTGAGGATGACTGGCTGCAGCTCTCCTATTCCCATCAGAGGCCACCTGATGTCTCCTGTACCTGTGATGGGACCCTCCTGTCAGCTGTCAGTTTCTCCTCTTCTTCCCTCTTTCCTCTCCCCTCCCGTCTTCTTCTCTTTCCTTCCCTCCCTTCCCTTTCTCCATTTTAGCCACAAGTCTCATTTTAAAGGCGTGCGTTTAAAATTCCTCTTACAGCCTAGACTTTGCATCTTCAAACTTGTCAGTTTCAGGATAATCGCTGGTGTTTTTTTGTACTGAAAACTCAGCAACAAGTCTTCAGTCTATTCAGACAAAATGCGGAAAGTGTTTTGTGTCTTTAAACACATGCTTAAATATCATATAGACATAACTGAGATTCCTAAGCGGTAACGATGTGAACATTTGGGTTGCAGAAGTACTGAAACCTCGTTTTAAAATCCTGTCATTGAGATCACTGCCGGAGCAAAGCGCAGAGCAGGAGGTTTGGGGAGGAGGGTTCTGCAGAGTTGGCCAAGGATAAATCTCCCAACCATTTTTTGGTAAGTGTGACACGGTGGCCGTGTTAGCTGGGGATGCCAGTGAACTGAATGAATAAGTGAATGAACGGATGTCTAGCAATTGTAGTCAACCCACTCTTCCACATCTTCTTGGCAGTGGTTCAATAAAACCTTGAAAGATGCTTGTTTTTTCTGTTCTTCCTAATTCTCGTGTGCTCCTACTATACACAAAAAACAGAGGGGAAGAGCAGGGAGATGAAGGCAGATCTGCCCAAGGCACGATCCCCTGGACACAGTGGCCAGCTCAGCCCTCACTGTGGCCCCCTGCCCAAGGTGGTGTCAGCTCGGGGTGAAAGAAATTCGCCGTCACCCAAGTGGACTGTCTCCCAGTCCCCAGTCCTTGGCTGAGGAAATAAACAGGAGGACGATGCTGTCAGATGAACACGTGGTTCCTTCCACCCTTTTTGACATGAGAATCAGGCCTCCCACGCACTCATTGGTTTGTCTTTTTACACCCTCTTGCCGGGCACCCTCACGTCCCAGGCGCTAGGGCTGGCACTAGTCCAGACCATGAAGTCGCCTCCCAGTCTGCACTCAGCATCCTACTTTCTGGTTTATATTTCCCCTCCACGGGGTCACCACCCACGGAGCTGACTTCTGGTTTTTCCGTGCTTTTGGGGTCATCGAAAAGACAAAAGCTATCCAGCCCCAAGAAATGCTTCAGGTTGTCCTTGACTTGAAGATGGAGCTTCACCAGGGACGTCCCACTTTCTGCCCAGGAGCCTGTCTGCCTTCTGCAGCCATCAACCTGACATCCACGGTGCCCACAGCACCCAGGCTGTTCATGCTGAAGGGCGCGTACAGGCCTGTGCCAAACTGCCCTCAGCGCCCCCTTGGCATCCCAGAAGCCTGTGCTTGTTGGTGCCCAAAGTCCAGTGGGGACTGAGGCAGCAGGGGGCTGGCATGTCAGCGCCGCCCTGAGCATGTGCACACCTGGCTGGGTCATGACAGTGCCTGGGCTTGGCCACAACTTTGCTCTGAAATCAGAGTGGGTGCCGGGAGCAGGGACAGGCCCTGCAGCAGGAGCAGGCACTTCTGAGCCTGTGGGGGAGGGGGGCTTCCTGGGGCCTCTGACAGCGCGAGGAATCCCAGTCGGCGGCCCGGCCGTGGCTGGGCAGCAGCAGCTGCGCCTGGGAGAGTGGGGCTCCAGCCCCTTCAACTCGGAAGGGGGCGTGGCTCTCACCTGTTCCCAGTTCCTGCCAGCTCTGTAGAGGTGCAGCCTCAACCATGCCTCCTCCGCTGCAGCTGGCACGGGGCCTCACTATCACTACCTGCCCCCTAGTCCCCAACTCATGGGAAGGGGCTGCCAGGCCACTGCTCCCTGGGCCCTGCCCCTTCCTTTGCCTCATTCCCGATGGCCAAGGACCCACCTTCTCACTGAGGGAGGGGTGCTGGTTGGTGGTCATCTCCATGGGTCGCACAGCCTGGCTTTTGGTGGGACCCTGACATGGCGTGAGTCTGGTTTATTTTTGCTGCCCTGTGAGTGCACTTTATCTGGCTTAGGTAGGATGGCTCTTTTTTATTTATTCATAAAATCCTTGACCCTATCATTTAACAAGCATTTTTACTTTAAGCTTGAGGGAACTTGCAATCTTTCAGATGTGCAACTTCTTAGTTATTTTTCTTTCTTTTAGATACATGGTATTATGTTTTCCCCTGCACTGTTTCTTTATGGGAAAGTGGAAAGAGTATGGATTTGGGAGCCCAGCAGACCTCAATTTAATCCTCTCAGTGGTGGCTGCTAGCTGTGTGGCCTTTAACACCTGACTCGCCCTCTCTGAGCCTCAGTTGTTCTGTCTGTAAAACAAAGATGCCACCTGCCCAAAGGATTGTGAGGATTAGAGATAGTGTGTGTGTAAAACAGATGCTGTATTAGAAGCTTTCCGTAAATGATACTGTCCGTATCATAGCTTGATTATTACAATGTTCAGATATAGCAGAGTTTAGACTGATAACACTGTTTATAGTAGGATTGATGACCCTACAAAGAAGTGGTAGATGCTGATGTGAAAACGAAAGGTCAGAGGAAGTATTACTTTCAGATTTTTTCAGTGTAATATTCGATTCATACAGAAGAGTAAATGCAGCACAGGTGTTCATTATGAAGCGTGGAAACAAAGTGGGCAGGATCATACATCCCTCGTGCTCCTCTCTCATCCTCCCATGCCCACACCCCTCTGGGGAACCCTTCTGCTGGACCTGATGTTTAGCACTGAGGATCAACTTTTGCAAAACTTCAGCCCATTAAGTTGCTATAAATGTCCTGAGTCCAGGTGGCAATCTGAGTCTACTTATTCTCTCTTTAATTCATTCATTTAACAAACACACCATGTGGATTCCCTCCAGTTTCTAGGTGTGCTTCTGTCTTTGTGTTTTCATCTTTCGGAGCCTCCTAAGCTGCTGCTTCCTGCCAGTTCTGTAGGGGCTCAAGCATTTCGTCCTTGGTGTTTCTGGCGTTAGCATCGACGTTGCTTTATAATTTGTCGCAGTCAGTCTTGAGGGCCATCCAGCCATACCCTGTGCTGTTAACAGAGACTCAAAACTAACTCGTCAAGGTGTAATTTCCAGTCAATATTAGGCCCACCGCTATGAACTGTCTTCTGGAGATGGTTTCAGATTTTCGCCTGTAAGGATAGCTGCAGTAAATGCCTGTATAAATGCTCAGCCCCGACTCCATCTTGATAAATGGCTAAATTATCTCTTAATTGAGTACAAGCAAAATACAATGAGAGAAAAAGAGAAGTGTTCAAATACCGCCGCTCCTCCAAGGGAAATTAAGTGCTCTTTCATGTCTGTTTTTTAAAAGTGGGTTTAATGACACCGTTGTGTGGCTAATGCTGGGGAAACACATCCTCCCCCAGCGTAGGCACATAATAACGCTATTTAAGCTCGCTTGTGAAAAAGGCCTTCCCTTGCCGTTTCATGTAGTGTTTCTCATGTGATTACTTGGACAACCTAATGTAAAAATATTTTGGCTGCAGGTGTCACAAGTGACACACTGGCCCCTCTCTCCCCAGTGTGTAGGGACAAAAGCGGGTTCTTTAAGACCTGCACTTTTAATGAACCGTCTTATTTTAGACACTCAGAATCTAATAGTGTGCCTTTTGGTGAAGTTGTTGAGAATTTTAATGCATTTTAGTTCTCATTCATCACGGCCTATGTGCTCCTCGCGGGAGGGTCTTTAGAAATAGGATTAACTTCTAGAGGAATGCATTAGCCATGCCACAGAAGTAGGCAATGTGCTAACTAGTCTGATAGATTGCTCCAACCTTCAAATCCTTCTGGCCGCCCCCCTCACCGACTTTTTTCCCTTTATTGACAGCTTCTCATTGAATGGCTAGAAGCATTAGTGTATTTAGGAGTTAGATGTTTTGTATGATCCTAGGCTGATCTCATATTCCCTTTCTGAAATTAATTCGACACTGCTTTACATGTTAATCCGCAAAGGATTGATTTGGAGAAGGTCAGAGCAGTGCAGCCTCAGAAAATGGAAGAAAAGCTCCACTTAGAACAGCTCATTTCAGTTCCCAGACCTAAGCCTGGCTGCCTTTTCATTGTGACCCTTAGCCAGCTGTAGGCGGCTTGGACATCTCGCAGAATACATCAAACAGTAGGGTTTGATGTGTAGGATCGTTGGACTAATTAAGTTTAGCTTGGTTAACCAATTGCAGTTTGCAAATTGAACAATTGCACTTTGAAAGCGTCTGACACAATAGAACACAGAATCTTCTTTTTTAGGCATAAACATTCCCAATAATGGAGTAGTACTTTTTGAAAGAAGCTTATACCAAATCCACACAGTTTGGATGTCTCTAACGTAAAGTTCGTTTCACTGGTAACAGAACTCCAGTCTCCTTTATTCCAGGAATTGCATGATGTCAAAGGCAAGAAGCCCCAGTGCAGTGGGTGAAGAAGCAGGCGGAGGAGCAGGGTGAGGGAGAGAAATGCCGGTGGGTGGAGGATAGGTGAGTGTTGGAGAATTAGGAGATCTCACATCTTAGAAGAAAATGTTTTTTAATCTTGAGCCATAGTCAGACAAATGTTGGAGAACTGATCACAACTATGGCATAAGATCTGTGATGACTTTTAAAAGACGAAAACCCAGAAAATCAAATTAAGGTGAATGCAGGGTCATTTGGTGGAAAGACTCAGTTTTACAGGGAAGAACAGAGAAACCGATTAAATCCAGACTGAGCAAAGACGTAAATGGTTACAACCAAAGTAATTCCAAGTGCGAGTAAAAAGAAAAAATACCGATGTTTATAATCTACCTTTATATTGAAGGATTGCATGTTAGTTGCTTTTTCATTTTGAAAAGAGTATGGTATGTAATGCATCCGTTATCTGCTGCTTCCATCTTCCACTCTAATCGAGTCTACATCTTCATCGAACGCTTACTCTTCGCTCTGAAAAGTTCCTGCAGCAGCCTGCTGTACTGTAGCCAGGCTGGGTTGCTTGGCGTGGCAGAGGGAAGCCAGCTTTAATCTTGGCCACTGAAAGTCTTACTGGGATCTGAGCAGTGCTCACAGCTGACTCCTCTGATCCTTTGCTGAAGTACTTAGTATATCATCACAAGGCTTTTCTCAGAAGCTTACGAGTCATGGGAAAGGAAATTTTTACCACCAATTTCCCTCACACCTGTGGATGTAAGGCAAGAAGCAGGGAGGACTTACTAGATTCGTGGTGGCTATGAGCTTCTTGCCTTTGGAGCTGTGCCATGTATCTCCACTTCCTGAAGTCAGCGTTTCCGATAGCTCATTTTCTATATCTACAACACATTTCATTGGCTGCATTGGCTTACCCATACAACTGTGTGTCCTGGGACCTCAGTAGAGGCTTAGCTTGATTACTAGAATGGCTGAGTGGCAGAAGGCAATCCAGAGAAGGATGGTTAGTCCCCAGCTTCAGGGTAACACTGAGCAATTCAGAGCTTCATGCAAAGTAGCAAAGAAACAGTAACTACAGTGACAAGGTATTAACAGGCAACGTTACTGAACTCCTCCTGTGTATTTCCTAGACATACGTTATTAAGTTTATCCCCTACAGCAGCCTAGTGACAGTCACATTTTTTTTTTTTTTGAGATAGGGTCTTCCTTTGTCACCCAGGCTGGAGTGCAGTGGTGTGATCACAGCTCACTGCAGCCTTGACCTCCCAGGCTCAAGTGATCCTCCCACCCCAGCCTCCTGAGGAGCTGGGACTACAGGCATGCACCATGTCTGGCCTGGCTAATTTTTAAAATTTTTTATAGAGATGGGGTCTCACTATGTTGCCCCAGTCAGACATTCTTTTATTGATCCCTTTTTATGGATGTAAAAACTGAGGCTAAGAGTAGTATGGAACCCAGGGAGACAGTGTTGGAGCCAGAATTCAGCACAAGTAGTCTGACTCTGGTACTCTTAGCCATTGTACTTTAGAGTCCCCTGAGTTAAAGAAAAACAGTTTCCCACAAGTTAAAACCCAGACCAGTGTCCACATTTGACTAGATGACTAGTGGAGGCATCCTATTCCATGTAATCAATTAATTGAGTAGTGGAATTTCCTGGGTGGGAGAATTGTAGGCTTCTATGAATGACAAGAATAATTACCATTTTCCTAATGACTTTTTTTCTGTCTTGAGTCAAAGGTATCCAGGAACCGGTAAAAATCTCATGTATTTGCCCTGGAGTCTCAGTTGACCATCCTTGGTCTATGTAAACACTCTGAACTAGAACAACTTTTCTCCAGATAACTTTTGGAAAGTGAAGCGAGTGCCTGTTTTGGTGTGTATATAGGTACACACATCACTAAGGGTCAAACCATGGCCAGGTCCCGAAATCTCAATTCACTTTTTAGGGGCACCAATTTGATGAATTCTACACAACCTATCCCCCGTCTTTACTCATTTGTCCAAATGTGACAAGGCATTTGTGTTGGATTCTTAAGCGTACTGCTCTGTTTCTCAGTAATAATATGAGAAGCATGAATGTCTAAAACTGTTTGCTGCTTTTGCTGTGTGTGCATTTTTTGTTGTTGCTATTGTTGCTCAAAACTCATGTCTTAGTGTGGATGACAGTAGTGGTTATTTCTCACAGTGCAGAATTAGAAGAAACCTCAGAAGAGACCAAATCTTTGTATTTCACCTTCACTGTTAGAAAAGCTTCATTGAGGCCAGGTGCAGTGGCTCACGCCTGCAATCCCAGCACTTTGGGGGGCCAAGGCAGGTGGATCATTTGAGGTCTGGAGTTCGAGACCAGCATGACCAACATGGTGAAACCCCGTCTCTACTAAAAATACAAAAAAATTAGTGGGATGTGGTGGCATATGCCTGTAATCCCAGCTACTCAGGAGCCTGAAGCAGGAGAATTGCTTGAACCCAGGAGGCGGAGGTTGCAGAGAGCCGAGATTGCACCACTGCATCCCAGCCTGGGTGACAGAGTGAGACTCCATCAAAAAAAAAAAAAAAAAAAGCAAAGCTTCATTGATCCCTGGCCTCCTTTCCCTCAGCCACACATCCACACACTCACATGGCCTTCCCTGGCCCTCACAGGGCCCCCACTCCTCCACCTGCTTCTCCACCCATTGCACCGGGTCTTCTTGCCTTTGACCCCATGCAATTCCTGGAATAAAGGAGGCTGGAATTCTGTTACCAGTGAAACGAATTTTGAACCAGCAGTATCAGCATTGCCTGGAGAGGGATTAGAAATGGAGAATTCCAGACTCCACGACCCTATCCAATCAGAACCCACATGTTAAATTAACAATGTCCCTGGGTGATTTGTATGCACGTTAAAGTTTGTAAAGGACCACATGGAATTCTACCAAAATAAGGAAGGCTTTATTTTCTCTTTACATTTTCCCTTTTCTCACCTCTACCCCTTCTTAGAGCTGCCTTTTCTCTACTTCCTGGACTACCAGAAAGAGGTAACTGTGTTAATTTCTCATTCCCCATATTATGAATGTTTTGCATAAATTTGCCAGATAAAATCCGGGATGCCCTGTTCATTTTGAGTTTCAGATAAACAACAGATAGCTTTTTAGTGTAAGTATATCCCATGCATGATTTGAGACATACTAAGAAATTATCTGTTGTTTATCTGAAATTCACATTTAAATGGGCATTCTGTATTTTTCTTTGTGAAATCTGACAGCCCTAGTTGGAAGAAAATGATAGTATAGCCCTTTTGGGGAGACAGTGACCATAGACAAAGTATACAAATGATTTTGGAGGAGGAAACCTGCAGAGTCCACCATTTACCTCCCTGGCAAGTACCTTGAAAGGGGTGGGATTGGGGGTTTTGAATAAGATGTCAGTAGGGTCTTTCTCCTTACCTAGGTTGTAGTGTGTTTGGGGGAGAGCAGGAGGAGGTGAGGACAGTGACCATCAAGAGAAAACTCTATTCTATTCTTTCTGAGCCTCCAAAGACCACCACATGAATTAAGCCCTACTCTGGGAAACCCACACTGACCTAGCACTGGGGGCACATTTTTCCACCAGGTGGCTTTAGGGGAGGGACCTGGCAGAATCGAAAATTTGGAGGAGAAAATGCTCTCCATGTGAGTGTTTCCATTTCTACAGGGTTTGAGTTTGGGCTTATTATGTCAGATTTGACTATTAAGTTTTCTTATTTGATGAGGAACACGAAGCTCTCGTTTATTGGCCTCATTAGGTGAAGGTATTACAGGTGTTTCTAAAACAGCTTGTGACCTAATATTTCTTATTGTTAGGTACTTCCAGATGATGGAGTTTGACGAAAATGCCCCAAAGCAATGAAACTCAGATTTAAGGTTTCAACATTTGCCGTGACTCTTTGCTTTTTATGTCATTTAATAAGTTGTGCATACATATTCTAAGGGAAATTATGAGCCGCCTGATTCATTACACATTTTTCCAACTTGTAATTATGTTGGCATCAGATGTTGGCATCCTTTGAAAGAACTGGCATATTACTTGATCATTGTAAATCTCTCAGTACTTTTAACAAAATGGCATTAGAACCATTTTCTTCAAAATTTCCTTTCTCCCATGATCCCTGCTTGGGAAATAGGCAGTGTGGTAGAATTCTTTCAGGACTCATTTGAAAAACTCAACCTTTCAAGAACAAGTCTTCTTGCTATTGGCATACTGACCTGAAAAACATAAATAAGAATGTCTGTGGAGTTCAGGCATGAGTGAGATTATTACAGGAAATTATGACGTGGAAGAAATAGAAGCTAGAATATTAAAACACCAGTTGTTTGGCTGCATGTTTGCGTTGCTTAGTATCATGAGCAAGTTTGTTCAGAGGAATGCTGATTAAAGTTGTAGTCTGGTAAAGTGACATTCCTCGTTACAGCAAAATTATCCATGCAGTTTACATATTTGCAAATATGCATAGCATATTGCCAGAAAACAGGGACCCAAGGCTTCTGGTAGATCTTTTCTTTTCTTCTCTTTTTGAGACAGAATCTCGCTCTGTTGCTCAGGATGAAGTGTAGTGGCATGATCACAGCTCACTGCAACCTTGAACTCCTAGGCTCAGGCAATCCTTCCACCTCAGCTTCCCAAGTAGCTGGGACCATAGGCATGTAGCACCATGCCCGGCTAATTTTTTTATTTTTAATAGAGGCAGGGTCTCACTTTGTTGCCCAGGTTGGTCTTGAAATCCTGGACTCAAGCCATCCTCGCACCTCGGCCTCCCAAAGTGCTGGGATTACAGGTGGGAGCCACCGCGCCAGCCCTGATTTTTTTCTTTTTAAAAGGAGGAAAAGTCAGAGGTGAAAAATTTAGTATTTTTTTCCTCTATTTTTTCTGTATATTGGTATGTTGTCTCTGGCTTGCTCTTTCATATGTAATTTCTTATTTTCAGTTTTCAACATACTAAATTTGGTGAAGAGTACAGTGTCTGTTTTTTGAGGAAATAATTTTCTTAGCAATTTAAACAAACTAAGTCAAAATAATGAGAGCTATATTTTTGAGCTTACAAAGACTCATAAAAATGATTTTCAAACTTATTTTTAAAACTAACATTCTAAGACATAATTTGCTAGATTTCAGTGATAATTTAGGCATATTCATTCTGCGACTAACAGTTGATCAAAAATCAAAGGATAAAGCGTACCGTAAGTGACAGAAAGGATAGGGGGCATTAAAGCTTTAGCTAACATACTCTGTGTGTTAGAAAAATTACAGATAATTCCATAGTAGGTAGATATTTTCCTCCCTCTCCTTGAGATTTGTTGAGAATCTGTTACCTCCCAGTTTGATCAGACTCTGAGAAGGATAGAGAGAGAAGATTTGATACAGAGTTGATTCCGCAAAACCTCAGTAGCTTTCACCTTGACCTGGCTATACACACACCTCAAGCCTCTCGCTTTGTAGAAGGATGCGCTTCCTCATGTTTGTGAGGCAGGTCTGTGGCTCCTGCAAGTTCTTGTTGAGCAGAATGATCATGTGGGGTGGAAGGAGCCACCCAGTGTCCTAGGGGTCCCAGCTAGCCCAGGACAATAAAGACTCACAGGATGCCAAAGCAGGAGGGGGGCTTGGCGAGCTTTTCCCCAACCCCTGGGTTTCACAGGTTAAGAAGCCGAGACCCAGAGAGACACAGTGTCTCTCCCTGATCCTTCAGCAAGTGAGTGGCTGGTCACAGCAGCCGCTGCAGCCCCCGCTGCCAGTCCTCCACCCTTTGGCCACCTCACACCATCTGCAGGCATCGTGTTCAATAGCAGGTGAGGTCACTGAAGCAGGCATTTTGAAAGGTTAGAGACTAATTATGACCAGAGCATTGTTTCATGGGTGTCTTACATGGGAAAGAGGTCTTTTAAAATTATTTGACTTCTGAACCACATTTCTCCAAGGAGCACTACTAAATGAATTTATTTTCATACTTAGTTCTGTAACAAGCAAACTGTGCCATCTGCCAAGTTCCACTGTATCAAGCTGAAGCTTGTTTTCTAACATTGCAGATGGGACATGCATTAGAACAGCAGCAGGGAGGGCATTCGGGCTCTGTACAGGCAGTGGTCGAACTCCCCTCGTTCTTTGGTTCTTGAGGCACAGAGTAGCCTCCTGGAGGCAGAGGTGTCCGCCTCCCTGGCCTCACCTGTCCTGCAGTAGGTTATAGTTTTTGAAGATCAGTTTCTAGAAATGAAGTGATATATATTGTTCATGATCCTAAAAGATAAATAGGTCACTGCTAGCTTGTACTGTAATAGTCTAGAATAATAACATTGTGAAGAGCATGGCAGCTGTACCATGAAAGGGTGAAAGTGTGCTGTTTCTGGGTAGAATCCAGTGAATGAGGAATAGATACGTTATCAGTCCAATAAATGAGAGATACGTCATCAGTTAAAAATGTAACAAATGGTAACAGTGTGAGGTAATACATATGTTAATTAGCTAGATTTAGTAATTTCATAATGTGTAGGTACTTCAAAACGTGTTGTACATGACAAATACATTCAGTTTTATCTGCCAATTAAATGAGTAATATGCTTCTCTTCCTTTTCCTCTCAATCAGCACTGTGGACTATTAAGTCTCTCTTTTCTTCAGAATTTTATTATTAATTATGATCCTTATTCTCTTTGCTCAAATTATCCCAGATTTGGTTTGAAAAGTAGGCTCCCATCTCCTTTTGACAGGGCCTCTTGGATCTTTGATCACTTCCTCACTCTCTGGCATAATAAGGTATTCCAGGCGTAACCTTGTACCCAGCTCTGGAATGAGCTGTTTTTATATTTTACTTTCTACATTTTTAGAAGGAACTCTGGTTCCTTTTAGTGGGGAATGGTATTTAGATACAAAGGTCTGGGAACTTCTTCTTCTGAGAATGGCAGATCAAGATCTTACCAGACAGATCCTCCCACCTCCATCCCTCCCACCCCCACATACAGAAAATAACTATGAAAACTGGGTATAATTCAGAAAGCAGCTGCCTGAAGCCATTGAGAGTGAGCAGAAGCAGGCAAGTTTATGGTGGGAGAACCTCGTTGGGACAAGGTGGGTCTTGAGCTGCACTCTTGAGCTGCACCAAGTAAGCTCAGGGCCAAGGGCAGGTGGTGCAGTGAGAGGGACTCCTAGAAGAAAAGGGCTGGAGAGGGGATCCCCAAATTCTGTTTATATACATCTTTGATCGCTGAACCATACATGCATAGAATAGACTCAGATCACAATAATGACAAAAAAATCTGTGCTTGCTGCCGAAAGGGTCAGAGTTTGCAGTTCAGGTTCAGCTAATTGCCAACCAAAAGAACTAACAGTCATCCAAGAAAAATCGCAAAATCCCAAACCTCTACAGTTTAACCTTCCTCACATCTGGGATACAAAGCTAAAATAACCAACATTTGAAGAACCAAGGAAATAGAATACTGTCTCAAATCAAGAAAAAGAGAAATCAAATGAAGTTCAACCCCAAGGGGAAGCAGATATGGAGAGTCACACAAGGTTTTCCAGTGGCTGTTATAACTATACTAAATGGCTGGGTGCCACGGCTCACGCCTGTAATCCCGACACTTTGGGAAGCTGGGGTGGGCATATTGCTTGAGCCCACCTCAGAGTCTGAGACCAGCCTGGGCAACACAGGGAAACCCCATGTCTACAAAAAATACAAAAATTAGCTGGGCATGGTAGTGTGCCCTTGTAGTCCCAGCTACTGGGGAGGCTCAGGTGGGAGGATTGCTTGGGCCCAGGAGGTCATGGCTGCAGTGAGCCATGATCACACCACTGCACTCCAGCCTGGGTGACAGAGTAAGACCTTGTCTCAAAGCAAAGCAAAACAAAACTATCCTAAATGAAATAACATGATATATGCTCACTATGAATGAAAAGATAAGATAGCTCAGCAGAGAAATAGAATGATAAAAAGAAGAACCAAATGGAAATTCTAGAACTGAAAATAGTTATCTCAAATAAAAATTTACTGAGTGGACTTAACAGCTGAAGGCAGAGAGGGGGAAAATGACAGAGGAAAAAGAGAAAATGGAGCAGAAAAAAATAGTAGAAGAAATAATAGCTAAAAAATTTCAGAATTCAGTGACAAGTAGAAATTTACAGATATAAGATCATATGCTCAAGAAACACCAATAAGAATAAATATTTAAAAATCCCACGCTGGTTCTTGCAAACTTTTGAAAACCAAAGTTGAAGAGCAAATCTTGAAAGCAACAAGAGAAAAGCCATACAGTAATAATCCAGTTAATGGCTGACTTCTCACTGGAAACCTTGCAGACCAGAACGGCATGGAATAACATTTTCAAGGTACTGAAAGAGAATCAGAAAATTCTAACCCAGAATTTTTTTTTTTTTAAGTTGAGGTCTCGCTCTGTTGCCCAGGTTGGAGTGCAGTGGCATGATGTCGGCTCACTGCAATCTCTGCCTCCTGGGTTTGAGCAGTTCTCCTGCCTCAGCCTCCTGAGTAGCTGGGACTACAGGTGCGAACCACCACACCCAGCTATTTTTTGTCTTTTTAGTAGAGACAGGGTCTCACCATGTGGTCCAAGCTAGTCTTGAGCTCCTGCCCTCAAGTGATCCGCTTGCCTCAGCCTCCCAAAGTGCTGGGATTACAGGTGTGAGCCACCACGCCTGCCCTAACCCAGAATTTTATATCTTGTAGAAATATCCTTCTAAGATTGAAGGGAAATAAAGGCATTTTTCGATAAAAGAAAAAAGAATTTATCACCAGCAGACCTGCACTGTAAGAAATGCTGCAGGAACTTCTTTCAGTTAAAGGGAAATAATACCAGTTGGGAACTCAGGTCCTTGGAAAAGAGTAAAGACTACTGGACTGGTAAATATTTGGATCAACACAAAATACTAGTTTTCTTTCTGCTTTTTTCTTCTTAATTTCATTGTTAATCATATAAGAATTTTAAGCAAAAATTATAACACTGTCTTGCGAGGCTTATAACATCTATAGATGAGATACATGTAACAGCTGTAAGGTAAAGACCAGGGGTAGATACGGACCTCGATGGTGAGAAGAGTTCTTTATTATAGAGGTTGTACAGTACTGACTGTAGGCAGACTGTGAAAACTTATATTTCTAACTTGCAGCCAACTTAAAAATGTAAATAAATATGTGTTAAGCCAATAGAAGAACTGAAATGGATATTCAAATAATTTTTTAAAGACAGGAAATGGGGAACAGAGGAAAAAAATTTGATTTTTTTGACTAAATGAGTAAAAGGAAATAGTTTTTTAAAATTAGGTTGTAATAATATGATGAGCTATTCAGTAACCATTTAACCTTGGGTTTTTGAAGAACATGAGCATGGGAAAATGCTCCCAATGTTACATTAAGTGAAAAAAGCAAGATGCTCAGCTAGTGTAGTATGACAACAATTTTTTAAAATACAATGATATAGTCACCCATGTAACATAGAAAAATGCATCAAAGAAAATATACCAAAATGTCTTTTGGTAAAGTCATGAGTGACTTAATGCCTTAGTCTTACTTTTTTTTTTTTTTATTTTCTAGATTTTCTACAATGAACATGAGTTATCACAAAACTTACTTTTTAGCTATTGCCAGAGTCCTAAAGTGGCACGGTAGTGTTTCATTTTATACACTTCACTAAGTTTTTCTAATAGTTTTTAGCTGATTCTTTTAGATTTTCTAAGTGAACAGTTGTGCAATGTGCCCATAATATAACAATTCAGTTATATATTGAGTCATGAGACCTGTTAATGTCTAACTGTCTGCTTTAATGAAGGGGAGTGTCCCTGAGAACATTCAGGCACTGATCAGTGCCCAGACCACAGGGACTCCCACCTCTGGATGCGTCCAGCCGGATCCACAGAACAGGGTCGTGGTGAGGATGAAACGCGGTGATGAACATAAAGTGCCAGACTCTGTACTTGACCATCACATGCTGTCACTCAGTGTTAGCGGTTATTATTGTGAGGACGAACCTCTGGCAGCACATGTTTCTCAGGGCAGGGGACAGAGCTGAACAGTGGCAGCAGCCACACCAGGCAGTGGGCGGATCATCAGAAAGGATGAGTTATTAACAGTGGGCCCCTTAGGGTGGTCAGTTCTGAGCAGCTGTGCCTAAGCATGAATTCTATCTGGCCTGCTTTCCTGATTTTAAAATCCACACCCGTATGGAGATGCTCTCGCTTTTGTGGGCCCTGAATGAATGATGAACAGTAATAATGCTGACATGTGGCCTAGCATGTGGCCTCCCTCCGTAGCTTCTATCATTTCAGGAGGCTCGCCTTGGGAGAATCGGGCTCCAGGTTTATTCCATGAATAAAGAGTGTCTCTGTGGTCCACAGCCTTTGTTGGTCCTGGTGGTCTCTGTCCTCAGGTTTTCATGCTCTTGCGTAAGCCTCTCCCCTTGCAGGTGGGTCGGACCTACTGGATCACTTCTAACAAATCAAATATGGCAAAAGTAATGGGATGGCAACTCCTTTTTTGCACTTCTGGGTGACTTCTGTCTTGCTTGCTTTTCCTCTTCTCCCTACCCCCAGCTCTGAGGGAAGCAAGCTGACGTGCTATGAGTAGCCCCATGGCAAAAGATTAGCAGCTACTGGGGCACCGAGGCCTGTGGCAGACTACAGATGAGGTTGGGAAGGGACAAAGTGGAGGCGGAGCCACCCCCCCAGGCAAGCCTTGAGATGACCACAGTGCCCGCTGACACCTTGAGTGCAGCCTTGTGAGAGACCCTGAGCTAAAGGCATCCTGCTGAGCCAACCCAGACTCCAGGCACACGGAAATCGTGGGTTTCTTAAGTTGTCTCGGGCTGCTTAGTTTTGCGTTCATTTGTTACACAGCAATAGATAAGTAATACGCTCTCTTAAACAACTTAGAGTCTCTGCTGACTTCCCCTACCTCGTCCCATTCCTCCCACATTTAGTCTTCTGGGAATTGCTCTAGTTTCACCATGGGACCCTTTTATTTTTGAAATTTTTCATCAAGGCACCAAATGCCTTTTCTGCCCATTTCTTCATCTTTCCATCTTGCTTCTAGCCCGGCAACCACTTTTTTGCTGTGCGGTCAAAAGATAGCACACTGACCGTCACCTTTCATTTCACTTGGTTTTTTTTTCGGAAACCTCACCTGCTTCTTTCAAAAGTTGTAGAAAGATGTGGCTTCATTGTGATCTAGAGTCCAGAGCAGGGACTCTCAGCCTGCTTTTTGTCTCTGTCATATCTCAAAGATGATGTCACACAGGGAACCACACTGTGGGCCAGGGCAGTGAGGTGGCTTCTGACCACACACAGTTCCCAGTCTCCTAGCTCCAAGCCCTCCCCCTTACCAGCTGTGTGTGTTGGCTTCCTGAGATGAATGGTGGAAAAGGCTCTGGTCCTGACTGTGCTGAACTCAATGGCGATACCTCTGGACTCGAGCAGCATGTCAGTACAGCTTAGCCATGTGACCCAGAACATGTCTGTCTACCAAGTTTCTGTATGTGGGAGGCCTGGACAATGACGGCCGCAATTTCCCTCTCCTTAAATAGAGCTTCAGGGAAAGAATCCCTCTGTAAGTGATAGAAGATGAGCATTTAATATTTTAAACCTGAGCGGAATGATTGTACCATTTGCAAACTGTAATAGGAGCCACCATTGTCCCTGGGCCCATGAAGAGTTATGGAGAAAAGTAGGTCATCACACCTCCTGAAAATATTTGTCAATTGAAAATTAGTTTCTCATAAATTACCTCTTTATTCTTTTAACTCCTACTTCATGAAGTGGACGTCTAGTGATGGACGCCTCTATGCTGTCCCTGTGGCTAGTGGTCTGTTCACACCATTCCTGGCTACGTTAGGTGTCCCCAGTGCAGAGAATTAAGTCATAGTAAAAGTATACTCTGGATTTTACCAAGAGGTCACGGAGAGCCCCTCTTCCCTTGGCAGTCAGCGGCATTCTTATTACACTTCATTTATCTACTTGGGAGGACTCGGGAGGACCAGCTGGGCCCCTGTCTGCACTCATCAAGAGTTAATTTCTGAGCGAGGTGCAGTGGTCATGAACAAGTGCAGAAGGTACCCTGGTGGCCCTGCCAGACAAGAGGGGCCCTTAATTAGCAGCCACGTTCAATCAGGCTGCTTAACCTGCCGCAGAGCTGGGGAGGTCATGTCCTTCCTGCCGCCCTGCCTGTAAACACAGCGCCCGGAGCCGGGCCCGGGACTCCGTGCGGCCTGGGAGGAGGAAGGTACCTGGAAGCAAGGAAGACAGTGCAGACCCGAACCTGACCCACTTCCAGGGGATACCTGGACTCTGCTGTTACTCTTGATGGAGTAGTGAGGGTTAACCGAGAGAGAAATTTTTTTTTCTTTAAAATTTGGAGGCATCTTTTGTCCTTGCCAACTTCATATTTCCCAAGCTGGACATCTTACTGGCTTGCTTTCTTTGCTATTAAAAAAAGTATTACTTATGTCGTCATGTTTCTGGCATCGCCTAGGGCTAGCCATGCACTGAGACCTCTTGCTGTAGTGGAAAGTCGGAATCCTTCACCGATTTTGTAGCCTTGCTTAATCTCTCCACAATGTCCTTTGCTCAGATACAAAACAAGGATGATTGTACTGGCCCTGCCACCTCATGGAGCTGTTAAGAGGGAACCATGGAGAGACAGTTTGTCAACTGTCAAACCCTGTGTCAAATATCAGCTGATAGAATTGGACGCCAGGATTGGAGTGCTTTTACTTGGCTCATTCATTATAGGTAGCCAAGGTCCATTTTTATTTTAACAGTCACATATAGAATACCAAAAACCTGATGTTGTTGGTAGATGTTTTATACCGTTTTAGAAACGCCATCTACTATGGCAGCAGTTAGTAAATAGCAAATAAATACAAGCACTTGCCCACGTTCTGGCCAGGAAACTCAAATCTTAAATGCCCTTTGAGGACCACAGAGGGTCAGAGAGATGGGGATGGCAGGAGGAGGAAGGGATAGGAGGGTTATTTTTAGCTCCATAGGACATCTTGCTTAGTCATGAGACACTCCAGGTGTTTGCCTGGGGAAACTTCAGGTGGGCTGTGGCATTTAGTCAGCTACCTAGGTCATGGTGGGTAATTCTGGGACAACCTGCTGTAGGGTTCTTGAGCAGCCTCTTCAGTGTCCTCTGGAGAAGCTCAGCTTCTGATGGTATATGGAGGAACCCAGCGGCTTCTGGGATCCCAGCCTATGAGTAATTCGAGTTACTTAGCACAGTGGCTCGAAATTCCTTCTGGTGATCAAAGAACCCACAAAACAGAATAGGAGGCAGCGCCCCATGCCCTTGTCAGTGAGGCAGAGTGTAACTTGGGAGTTTCAGATGAGTGGCAGTTACCGTACCTGCTGGGAGCGTTGCATTGAACCCAGGGACCAGCCAAGAGGAACTAATGGACCCCGTGGAAGATCATTTGAGCCTCAGCTACGGGAAGAGCTGGATGCAGGCCGGGGAAGCGGATTGGTGGACTGCACATTCATTTAAGGTTGAAATGCTTAGCATTGTAAAGGTGACTGTGAATTTTAAGCTTCATTCTTTATTGACCTGGCAGATGGGAGAGTGCTGTGTCTTGGTGTAATGAAGCATTATGTTGGTACAGTGAAAAGGAAACTGCCTTCCTGGCTGGAATTCGGTCTCCCTAAAAGCTCATGGTCTGGTGAGGTGGATGGCTTGGGAGTGAATGTGTGTATGTGTGTGTGCACAGACGTTGTTCCTGATGGGGAAATTGAGACCCAATTGCCCATCAAATTGCCCGATTCTACCTGGTGGTTTCCTGAAATGGATGTTTGATAGCAAATCCATTCCTGTATTGCAGGCTTTTTTTTTTTTTCAATAAAAAAACAAACAAAACAAAACAAAACACTTTGGAAGTTTTTTTCACCTTATGAGTTTTTTTTTCTTTCTTTCTACTTCTGCTTTGGAAACATGGAAATGATTCATGTAGAGAAAAAAATAATTGAAATTGAGGAATAAATCAGTTGCGGGATACTTCTTACAGCCAAAACCTGTCGGGGCTCTGAGCTCTGTAAGGGAATGCCAAAAGCAAGCTGCTGCCTCCAGAAGCCTCGCTGTGCGCCTCGTGGGCATAAACTGGAACCTTGGCAATAAACTTCTGCACACAAGGTCGCCCTGTGCGAGCGTTTCTGGAATCCAGATTTAATACTGCATACAACACCTTGTTTTGAAAAGAGAAGATCACTGCTTTCAATGTTATGGAAGTCTATTCCATGCTGAACATCGAAATACTGATGCTCTCTAGGCAGAGACCATGGAGAAGGAAGCTGGGGACGTTTTGTCCTCCCTGCTGCCTGCCTGCAGGAGTGGACTCAGCTGAGACTGTGCCATGAGCCTCCTTCTCATCACAAAGGCCGGCTTGTCAATGGAAGAAGATGTGCCAGACAGCCACTTCACACCCAGCTCAGTGACGCCTTGGGCTTTGTGGACCTAGTAGTGTGTTCTGACCTGTCTTCAAACTCCATCCACCCGGTTGTCACCATGACAATGAGTATTCCACATGGGTTTCATGTCTAGTTAAGGGGACAGGGTTAGGAACTGGACCCTGATCGCCCAGAGTTTTTCTTCACATCCATAATTTTGATTTAATCATGTTCACCCATATCTACACCCATCTCTTTGACCTCTAAAATAAGAATTAGAAGTCTTATTTTGAGATTATCAGGATATTAACTTCTATTTCAGTTTTGAAACACTCCCTGTACTGGCTCATATATGACTATGGACTGGTGAAAGCCTGCTCTCAGGCTGTTCCGTTGAATTGTGTGGGGATCGTGCCTTTTTTATGGAACTACACAACACTGGATCCCATTGGGAGTGAAAAGGTAACCCTACTTCTGTCATAAATCTGTTTTATCACAGGATCTCTGTTCTTCTTGAAGTTCAGTACGACGCAAAGAAAAGTGGAAAGGGCTTGAGATTTGGATGCGGAGGTCAGGGAATGAAGCCTTGGCTGTGCCACTCATCTGCTTGGATGCTAAATGACTTCTCCAAGCCGCAGTTTCTTCACCTGGAAAATGGCAATAACAATAGCAACTTTTCAACTTTTTTTATTGACTAAATTTTCTGAATGAATAAATAAGACATAGTGAAAAGTGCCGTGTAAACATCTGTAAAGTACAAGGCAGATGTTAATTGTCCACGGAGAGAATGTTTATGACACAGAAAACAGTGATTCCCAACCCTATTTCATTTTTCTCCTGGGCGCATAGTCCCCTTTCAGTTGGGCTGGCGTTGCCTGGACAACCAACAGACAGATGGACATGAAGTACGCTTCTTCCAGGCCTGGCCCATGAGATTCTCCCACTGTCCCTTTCCCCTTATGCTGCAATCTTGGAGGCCTTGTGGGAAAATGGCGGCATCCCAAGTTGCAAGAGGCCTGTGGCCCTCAGTCACTGCTTGGAGGAGAGCTGCCTGACTAGCCCTGGACTTGGGCCACTGCAGTTGGACTTGTTTCAGCTAATGTTAGCCTGCCTCGATGAATCACAATTTTGAAAGAGAATATTATTTGCTACTGTTAGTGTATAAAATAGTTGTATTCTTGTATACCTTATGTCATATACATTATGAATATTGTTATTAAAGAATATTATATATATCATATTGCTGCTAAAATTGCAAATGAAAATAAGATCAATGCTGAATGCAGTGGCTCACACCTGTAGTCCCAATACTTTGGGAGGCCAAGGCATGAGGATTGCTTGAGACCAGGAGTTTGAGACCAGCTTGGGCAACATAGTTAGATAACTGTCTCTATAAAAGAAATTAAAAAATTTAAAAAAAAAAAAGAAAGGAAATCAATCTGTTTGCAATTTTTATAAATAGAACATAACTACTCACAGTGAAGCAAATTAATATCTGAAGTTTTGCTAAATTTTTGTGCATCCCTTGACTAGGAAGGAAAGTTAATAGACTCTCTGAGATCCATTCATGCTAGAAACATTAATAATAATAAAAAGATGAACTGCCACTGATTAAGTACTTACTGTGCACCAGACATGCTATGCCAAAAGCTTTGTAGACAGGATGGGCATGTGCCTTGCAATGAGATGGCAGATGTGGCCTTGATCTATGTATTTGTTCTTTCTTTCAAATTATTTTTATTCCTGTTAAAATTGAACTATGAGACAGATGCCTGTGTTTTTTTCCTTTTCTTGATTGTCATAACCTCTCCGATTGTTATAATAGAATGTGGCACAGATGATTTGGGCTGGAGAGCTAATTATGCATGATAACCTGATTTCTAAAATATCACAGGATAGAGGCAACTACTAAAATCAATTTCTAGCGGTCAGTTGCAGGTTGAAAAGTTACTTGCGTCTCTATTGTGAACTGGGTGTGTTTTGGCTGGCACGAATGACAAGGGTAATCATTGAGGGGGCATTGACGGCTTACCAGTGATTGACCAGTCTGGTCTTTAATTTTCCTACATAAATATGTTCAGCTGCATATTTATGTAGGAAATACATAAATTTCCGGCATGTCCCATGTCATCAGCCTCAGGCATCCCAGAACAATGTCCATAATACAATCTCCATTCAGGCGAATGTTGCCATGGATGACACAGCTACATATCACAGCCATGGATGCTTTGTGATGAAGCCACTTCAGACTTGTCATCTCATCTCTTTCCTTCAACACCTCTCTCCGCCCCTCAACTAAGTGGAGGGAATTAACACTGTCCACTTAGAAATGGCAGCCAACACTGAACTTGCTATTCTTGGTGGGTTCCATAATACCTGGGCTTGCGTTGTGAAGTTTTGTGAGTTAGGCTGTTTTAAGGTAACAGATGATGGAAAGAGAATTTTTAGTTACTGTCTTTTACTTGAAGTGAAGCAAACATTCTGAAGATGGGAGAGAATATCGCGTAGTATTATAGCTGAGCCATAGTCCGTGGAACCCCATAGCCTGATGACCTAGGTTCAAGTCCCAGCCCTGCCATTTTGGTGGGTTTTAGTTTCCTTAACCTATGAAGTGGGAGTAATTCTAGTACCTTCCTGCCTCTGTTTCCTCACTGGTACAACGGGGTTAATAATAGTGCTGCTCCATAGGATGAATAATTTCCCATAAACTGCCAAGAGCGGTACCGGCAGGGAGCCACCCTCAGCTTTCCTTGTGACTGTTATCATTCCTGTGACTGCATCTGTTCCATACCTGATGGAGAGCTTGGTCACAGAGTCTCTGTTTTCTCAGCTGATTGTTCAAATGACTGCTGTTTCTTTGTGTCTCTTTGTTCACCAAGTAGTTACGGAGTACCCACTGTGTGCCAGGAGTGCATTCTAAGTGTGCCCACATCTGTGTCTTCTGTTTTCAGCATGAAAACATATGTTTCTGCTGATCCCTGCCAGCATCAACAAGTAGTGCCTCATCCCTCAGGCTCTCACCATGGTCCTCTTTGATGATGGAGTGGTGGGGTCAAGCTGGCCACAGAGTCTGCGGGGTCATTTGAGCTCACAGTGATTTGTCCAGAAGTTGTTTTCCTGTGTTTTCAGTGTCTAATGTTGATCACGGTTCATAAATGTGGAAATGGTGGAAATGGGTCATAGGAAACTCACACCACCCTGATTAGAAAGAGGGACGGCTGGATTTTCCTCACGGGGCTTGCGTGTCTAAATGTTTACATTTTATTCTTATTAGTTGTCCACAAACAACCCTATGATTTTGGCTAGTTACTGAATTTCTATTTTTCCAAATTTGAGAACTGAGGCTTAGAAAACTGGAGCAACTTTCTGAGCCTCTGGGCTGAATTCGGGACTCTGATTTGTAGGGTCAAGTTTTCGGCTCCTTGGAAATCTGGCAGATCCAAATTGGATGGAACTGTGTTGGACGTTGTTGGCACTGCTTACAGATGAGAGAGGCTGGGGAGACCCAGCACTTCGTTAACACAGGCCGACGAAAGTATGTGAGTGAGCATGCAGGTGGGGTGTTCAGGCCGCAGCCCCTTCCCTTCTCTATGTCTGTGTCCTACAGAGTGTCCCTTAGTCCCCTGCCTTAAGAATCATCTCTAAATTGATGGTTTCCAAGGTGGTATCTCTGATCTCTTCCCTCACCTCCAGATTCTCACATTTATTTGCTGCCTGGATATATAAATAAACTGTAGTTCAACTCAGATATAATTTTTACATATCCAGGAGACATCTTAAAATTAACTTGCCCTAGTATTCAAGACTATGCGTGTTGGTGTAAGGATAGAGATATACAGATGAATGGAACAGGGTAAGTGTCCAGAAGTAGACTCACCTGTGTGTGGCCAGTTGATGTTTGATAAAAGTGCCAAGGTCATTCAGTGGAGAAAAGATAGCCATTTCAATAAATGGTACTTGAACCATTGAATATCTGCCTGCATAGGAAAAAAATCTCAACTGTTACATGACACCATATGGAAAAATTAAGTCAAAACGGATCATAGACCTAAATTTAGTTGCAAAAACTGTTAAGCTTCTCAGAGAATATATTTGTGACATTGGAGTAGGGAAAGATTTCTTAAATGAGACACAAAAAGCATGAACTATAAAAGAAAAAATGATTAAAATGGACTTTGATCTAAAAAAACTTCTTTTTTTTATAAAACACAGTTTAAAAATGGAAAAGGTAAGCCACAGACTGGGAGAAAATATTTGCAAGACATATATCTGACAAAGGACATATAGCCAGAATATATAAAGAACCTTACGACTCAATATTAAGACAACTCAATTTTTTTAAAAGGCAAAAATTTGAAAAGACACTTCAGCAAAGAAAATTTATAAATTCCTAAAGGCACATGAGAAAATGCTCAGTGTCACCAGTCTTCAGAGAAATGCAAATTAACACTATGATAAGATACCACTTCACATGCATTAGTAGGGCTGAACTTAAAAAAGACTGACAATACCAAATGTTGACAAGAATGTGGAGAAACTGGAACTCTCATGTGTTACTGGTGGGAATGCAGAATGATAACAGCCACTTTTGAAAACAGTCTGGAATTTATCTTGGGTAAATCCCTAGGAATGGCATTACTGGATGATACATAGTGAGCAGATCAATCAGTCAGTCAATCAGTTGATAGATGGATGCCTTTCCAAGATAAATGAAAACATTTGTCCATACAAAGACTGTATGTAGATATTCATAGCAGCTTTATTTGAATAACCCCAAACTGGAAACAACATAAATAGTCATCATTTGGTGAACGGATAAACAAATTACTAGAATACAACTAGGAATCCAAGCAATATAAAAGAACAAAATATTAATTTGTGTGACAGCATGGGTGAATCTTGAAAATATTATGCTAAGTGAAAATTCATAGTCCTCACCTCCCTGGAAGCCCTGTGTGATTGCCTCCCTTCCTCCCCCAAATACCTGCACACACACATACACACACTGTGCACACACTTCATCCAGTGGTCTGGGCCTCCTCGTTGGGCCTCAGGTCAAGCACACGCTACTACCTCCATCCTTTGTGTTTACTCTTCTCCCTGCCCGGATCGTTCCTTGCCAAGGTAGCTTCCCGAGTCTCTCACTTCCTTCAAGTCTCTGCTCACGTGTTAGCTTATCAGAGAGGGCTTCTCCCCACCATCCTTAGCTCTCACTACTTCTTCTCTAACCCCACAACCCAATATTTGTGTCTGTATTTGCATATTTGTTGAGTGTCTGACTCCTCCTGCCAGAACGTAAGCCTACTTGGTCTACTGCTGTATTTCTCGGTCTCTAGAACAGTGTTACATAGTAAATGCTCAATAAACCAGTGTTAAGTCAACATGTGAATGCACAGAATTAGGAATGCAGGCGTCAGGGCAGGGTGAGGCTTCAGACCGTGTGTGCCCACCAAGTTGCAAACCATTGCATCCTACGCTAACGGCTCTCTCCATTAGCCTTCTCAATTTTTCTTCTGCTGAGCAGGCTCTGGCTCAGTTCAGCTTTGAGAAACAGTTGAAATCCACACCAAGAATAAGTGCAGATGCATTTAATTCCTCATTAATCTGATATGTTTAAATGGATTATTGGGAAATTCTTCCTAATGGTTTTGCAAAGATGTTAACTTAGAGCTTTTTACACAGGGAACTTCCCAAGTGATGCACAGCCCATTGATTAATCATTAGTTCTCCCCTCTACTATTTATGAAAACACAAACATAAGCAAAGCTAGGAGAAAAATTATATTTTTATTATATTAATTTTAATGTTAATAAAAAATAAATATTATTTCTAATAATATTTATAAAATGTTGGTCTTAAATGCTATTAAAACAACTGTGGATATGGGAGCCAATACTCTTTTCTGACATTATCACTCTATTATGTTGCTGAATATTTGTTTTAAGGCCAGATTGGAAGGTTTTCAGACATAGCACAAAATACTGTCTTTGGATGGTACAGCCATGAGTTATGTCAGGGCAGTGTTAAGAGAGATCGTGATAGGCTGGGAGCTGTGGCTCACCCCTGTAATCCCAGCACTTTGAGAGGCCGAGGCGGGTGGATCACTTGAGGTCAGGAGTTTGAGATACGCCTGGCCAACATGGTAAAACCCCGTCTCTACTAAAAATACAAAAATTAGCCGGGTGTGGTTGTGTGCACCTATAGTCCCAGCTACTTGGGAGGCTGAGGCTGGAGAATTGCTTGAACCTGGGAGGTGGAGGTTGCAGTGAGCCGAGATCACTCCACTGTACTCTAGCCTGGGCAATAGAGTGAGACTCCATTGCAGGAAAAAAAAAAAAAGATCATGATAAAAAGTCACTTTAATAAACTTGTGGATTTAGGTCTGATTATTTTTGTTTCTGTAGGTGCTGCATTGCTTGTCTCTCCTGAATTTTTATTTCTGGAAGTTATTATTCATAAACATGGGTCCCCCACATATCCCTCAGTAGAAGAGTCAAAGGGAGAGCTAACATTGAAAGTAGTTTTTCTTCCTTCTTTGTTAGTGGCCCCGATAATGTTTGGTAGAGTCTGTGGGAAGACTGGAAGGCTCAGATGGTGCATGGGATCATTTCCTGGTTTGGGGAAGTCTCCCAACGCCCTGGATTATCCGAGTCCTGGTTCCTCACAGCTCTCGTGGGCCCTGCTTATACATCTAAAACAGATTGCTGTAAAATGCTTAAATAGTAAAAAGAAATATGCTTTTGGGAATTAGAGAATCTAATAAAATCATTAAATTGATCAGACTAATAGATCATTTGGACTGACCTAGGGCTACTGAAATTACCAAATGTCTGTTCTGCATCTATTCAGAAAATCATGTGATTTTCCTCATTTTGCCCACCCATATGTTATGTATTATGTTGATACATTTTTCTGATGTTAAACCATCCTTGCATTTCTAGGATAAACAATATCTGATTATAATACACATAAGATGTAGCATTGAATTCAGTTAACTAGCATTTTATTCATGATTTTCACATCTGTGTGTTTAAGTGTTTGGGGTTTTTTATTTTCTTGTCCACTATCTGGTTGAAGAATTGAGATTATACTAGAATCATGAAGCGAGTCAGGCAACTTTCCCTCATTTTCTAATTCGTGGGACATAATGGGCTGTGTTTAGAGTTACAGATTGCAACTATTTTGAGTCCCAGGTGTGCTTGGTTTACTAAATCCACCAAAATATTTTTTTAAAACCTTGTCCTTAATTAACCTTTTAAATTAAAAAGATGCTTTTCTAGTTTCACTGTTTTTCTTTTTTCCACTGAATGACCTAAATTAACTGTTTGGTTAATTTTTAATGAATATTTATTCGCTCATTCATTTGACATTTATTTAGATGTATTGGGCATTTGCTGTGCACAGGGCACTATCCCAGGCACTGGGGGAGGAATTAATGGCAGGATCTCTGCCCTCAGTTCCTCCAAAAGGGAAACAGAGCTTGTCCACAGTTAGTAATAACTTACTCCCTAAGGCAGGATGTCTCAGGCTATGACAGGACAGGGTTGGACTGCTTGGGGCCTTCAGACATCTGTCTCTCAGGGAATACTAATTTTGCATATTTCTTGAGCTGTAAAGGAGTCATGGCCCCAAATTTCTGGTTTCTGTTAGAAATATAACTATTTGTCAAATGTTTATAAAATGACTACCGTATGCTAGGCAGAGTATGGAGCATAGCAACTATGAAATCTGTTTCAGTAGCTTGGTCCAGAACCCTCAGTATTTGGAAAGTTGCATATTGTCATCATTTACTCCCATTTTGATTATATTAAGAAAGTATGTGAGGGCATGAGCCTCTCAGGAGGGGACCTCAGTGTTTCCGGATCCCTCCTGCCCTCTGTGGGACCTAGATGCTGGCTAGCTGAGCACCGTCAATGTGTCCTCGCAGAAGACGAAGCGCATTTCCTTTCTTCTCTTTTTTGCGGTTCCAGTGTGATGACATGGCTTGGTCACCATGCTTCGTGTTTGCTAAAAAGAAACCAGGGATATGAGTTTCTGAATTCTCAACCTGGTGCCTTTGCCAGAGAACAAAGTCAGGTTAATCAGACGTCTTCCCCTCTCCAGCCCAACTCATTCGCTGGCTGACCTCTCCTGGTCCCATGGTTCTAAGAACCATCTCCACGATAATGATTCCCAAATGAATATCCTAGCCCAGACCTCTCCCTCCCACTCCAGACTTCTGCTTGGATTCCGTGGGCTGTCTCATAGGCATCTTATGCTTGCTACATCTAAGTCCAGCACCAGATTCCACCCTCCAGCCTGCTCAGCCCTTGCCTCCTGCTTTTGGGAAACGGCACATCGCTTTTTCCTTGAGTTGTGTGTGCCAGAAGTCGTGAACTCACCCTTGACTCCATCTTCCTTTCAGGAGCTCAGTTCATCATCAGGTCCTCTTTGTTCCACTTTCAAAATGTGCAGAACACATCTCTTTCTTCCTTCCACCAGGCTGTTTTCCATGTGGCAGCCAGGTGAATTCCTTTAAAATGTAACTTAGTTATCTCATCCCTGTTAGCTTAGAAAGGCTCAGTGTTGCTTCCTACTTCATTCAGTAAAAAATCCAGAGTTCTTACTATGACCTGCACACTTCCAAATCTGTCCCCCAACCAGCATAACCCTTATTCCTATTCCCCCCAACCCCATACGCACAGAGTGTGCTTCAGCCACGTCGGTCACCTTTTTGTTCCTCTCCAATCCCACTGAGGGCCTTTGGCCTTGCCGCTGCCTCTGCCTGGAATAGTCCTCTGTCACATGTCTTCATGGTATGCTCTCACTATCTTCTTTCTGAACAAATGCCTTATTGCAGCAGCCTTCAGGGACCACTTGAACACCCCATCCTTTGTCCTTCCTTGTACCCCTTATCTGCTGTATTTTGTTTTCACTGCATTGACACATTATGCATTTATGTCTCTCTCCCACCGCCTTGCACACACATACTAGAATGCCAGCTCCCTGGGTGCAGAGACAGAGCATTTGTTCACAGAAACAACCCCAGAGCCTGGAGAGGGCCTGGCACAAAGTTGCCGAATCATCTGTATCCTCATGGGTTTGCTCCCAGGAGCTCAGAGATCGCCTCTTTGGAAAAGTTGCGGCAGGGAGGCCAGAATGAGCCAAGCGTAACCCAGTCACACCCGTAGCTCGTCCTTAGTAGAAGCTAAGAATCCAGGGCAGGTCTGAAAGCACATTCACAGGGTGCTCTGAGGCTTCTAAACAGCTGTCCACATAGGCACTAACTTGGTATATCCTCCTGACAACCCTATGACTGAAGCAGCATCTTCATGAGAGATGCTTTCGATGGGAGAGGTTAAGTAACTTGTCTGAGGTCTCTTGGCCGTAAAGGGACAATATTGCACCAGCAGCCACATGCCTGACCATTTATGTAGCTTCTGACTAGCACTAAATTTCTTTAAGGTCTGATTTATCTCTAACATGCTTGTAAATTTTGCATAATTTTTACTCCATAATTCTGGTACATGTTTGTTTTAATATAAAAATAACAGTTGATCCTACCAGCTTACTCACTCCACTTTTTTGCTTCTTGGGCTAAAAGTGACACACCAATAAGATTGCATCCTGGCTGGGCGCGGTGGCTCACACCTGTAACCCCAGCACTTTGGGAGGCCGAGGCGGGTGGATCACAAGGTCCGGAGTTCAAGACCAGCCTGGCCAACATGGAGAAACTCTGTCTCTACTAAAAATACAAAAATTATTTGGGCATGGTGGTGCATGCCTGTAATCCCAGCTACTTGGGAGGCTGAGGAAGGAGAATTGCTTGAACTGGGGCCCAGGAGGCAGAGGTAGAAGTGAGCCAAGATTGCGCCACTGCACTCCAGCCTGGGCAACAGAGCGAGACTCTATCTCAAAAAAAAAAAAAAAAAAGACTGCTTCCTGCTGTCCCGTGTTCTCCGAGCCCTCCGACAGGCACACACCTGTGGATGATCTTAGAACTCATGTAAGCAGCGGGGGTCGTAGAGAAAATGAATCGGTACCTAAGGCAATGTGCAGAAGTGAATGGAGCAATAGAAAGAAGAATTATTTGATGTAAACTAAAGATCTCAACAACTCGAATCAGGTTATTTAATCAGGAATCAAAAGCGCATGAGGGGTTCAAGTCCAACTGCAAAGCTTGGGGTTCTGGAGGACCACAGATGCAGCTGCCCCCAAGGATGCTGAGCATGTGACTACACATGCAAATGAAAGGGAAACAAAACCAAATGGATGGGGTGATGGGCAGAGTTAAGGTCTAGACAGCATTTTGAGATCTTTGCTGTCCTCACCATGAGTCACTCTAGAAAGCCTGGGGGTCACATGACTGAGGGGACACAGCCCTTTCCCCAGAGCCTCTCCCTGCATCCTCTCGTTCTTGCCCCTGGCTGCTGGCTCAGGAGGCACCACGTGTTGTAACAGCTCTGTGGTTCTGGAGTGAGACACAGGTTGTTGGCTTCGTTACTTGGGGATGAATGTTTGTCATAGGTACTGGGCATGCCTCTTGACAGCCATGTGACCCTGGATGAGTAACTTCAGTTCTCTGAGCAGGTGCCTCATCTACAAATGGGGATTGTCATTGCTCCCATCAGTCTAAGGAGGAAATGAAATCATAAGTAGCAGCTCACTCTGGACTGACGTAGCACAATTGGCTGATGATCATGGTCGTCCTCCTCCTCCCCCCGCTCCCTTCCCTTCCATCCCTTCCCTCCCCCTCTCCCTTCCCTCCCCCCCTTCTCCTTTTCTTGTCATCATCAGGGTAAATCGAAGGAAAGAGCCATTTTTGCAGGTCTAAACGGTTGAATGTTAGGGATTTCACATGGTTCCACCTGCTACTTCTGCTCTGACCACTGATAACAGTGACACACAGATGGCAGCCGTCCCTGGTCACACAGATGCCAAAGTGAGCTCATTCTCCTGCTGTGTGACAGAAGAAAAGGCTGACGGTCCCCAGAGCGTAGCGCTGGGAGCCTGCGGGGTAGCCGCCGGGTGATTTACCAGGGTCCCCTTCTAGGTTTCACTATTGGCACCTGGTTAATGGGAAGGGGATTTAGGGACCCGGTGCTGAGATGGTCTTTTACTGTTCTTCAGAGCAAAGTCCTGTGAACGCTGACAGGTAGCGCACTCACCTTCTAGGTTTGAAAGCTCGCTTGTTCCTGTCTGTGTGGCTGGCCCACACCTAACTGCCATGAGGTTTTTTTCCGCTGCCTTTCTGATGGCTTCACAGTGGGAAACCTGCTGTGTCCATCCCAGCCAGCCCTTTCTTTGTGAAAGTGGTAAGAAGATAACCCCATTCTAACTTGGTTGTTCTTTTTTCCTTTCCTTTTGCAAAGAGTGCTTTTGCCGGGGGTGGGGTGGGAGGCTGCAAGGGTTTTGGAGCCATGGAAACTTAATCCTTGTGTGTCCAGCAAACAGGCCCCTTGGAGCAGCCGCATTCCATGCAGCCCCGTGGCACCCGCTTCCGTGGCCCTCGAGGGCCCACCCTCGAGGGTGCTCGGCATTCTGTCTGAGCCCCAGCCTGCCTGTCTGCCATATTCCCCATCACCCCCTATTTCTCTCACATGGTACTAACCCACCTAGAGTAGGTTACATTTAATGGGGTGAGAAAAATCCACACCGTAAGAGAAAAGTCGCAGGTGAGGTCAAACTGCTTCCTCCCAGGAGGGAAAATGATTTTTTCTCCTCTCTGGCTCCCACACTGAAAATTCATACAAAAGGGCTCTTTTTATGTTTGATGTATTGCCTTTAAAAAACAAACCTTTCATGTTTTTTCATTTTTGGTTCATACCTCTTGGCCGACCCAGCAGGAACTTGGCAGTTGGTGAGCAGCTTCTCGCAAATGCTGAAAGCGGTCTCACTGAACAGTCACCGCTGCCCAGAGCCCTGGATGTGTGGGTTGGTGTGTACTCGGCTCCGGCAGGGGTGGGGGTCTGCATGTTGTTGCCCCGGACATCCTATGTGGGGTTTCCTTATGCGATTCTTGCTACTTGGTATGTATTTGAATTGTTTTTACAACAGAGGACGCTTCTTAGGGTTACCTGAGGCACGGTGAGCAGGTTTTATTTTGGACAAGCCTATATGTTGCTGTTTTTTTCTATTATGATTCATGTCCCCAAAGATCTCTGCTGAGGCATATTTAGCCAACTTTAAATACAAGCAAGCTCAAACAAAGGCACCCCTGCATCTATCATTTCATTTTCTTCTGTTTACAAAGCACATTGTCCTACACCCAGGTTCTTTGCCAACACCACTGCCAAATCAACACAGATGGACAAAATGGTGGACGGAATGGCTTAAGAACATTTTGCTGACTTCCTCATTTTTTTTCCACGGAGAGAACACCACAGTTCTGCCATCAGCTGCTCCCAGAACCTGAAGTGCTCTGCAGGCTGACAGAAACACTGCCCTGCCAGAGTGGTTAATAGCAGCTTCTGACCTGCCTTCCTGGGCAGACAGCCTCCTGCCTGTCTGAGCCTTCACAGCCCAGATTGGAGCATTCCTGCGTCCGTTTGCGTTTTTCTCCATGGATGATCAAAAGCATAAGATCGTGGGAAAGGCAGCCATTGAGCCACGGAAGCGTAAGATCATGGGAAAGGCAGCCAGATACAGAATATGTCTATGTGGTTGTTTCCTGTCTTCAATCTGAATGAAGAGCCAAGGAAACACCATAGGTCCCACTTCCTAATCCTCCATGATTTTGGTGTGTTTGTTGGCTGTTTTCACCCTCTACATCAGCCAACAAACACACACACCAAAATGTTTTTTTGTTTGTTTGTTTGTTTGTTTTGAGATGGGGTCCCACTCCATCGCCAGGCTGGAGTGCAGTCGCACGATCTCAGCTCACTGTAACCTTCACCTCCTGGGTTCAAGCAATTCTCCTGCCTCAGCCTCCTGAGTAGCTGGGATTACAGGTGCACCCCACCACACCCAGCTAATTTTTGTATTTTTAGTAGAGACAGGGTTTCACCATGTTGGCTAGGATGGTCTTGATCTCCTGACCTCGTGATGGGCCCACCTTGGCCTCCCAAAGTGCTGGGATTATAGGCATGAGCCACTGCGCCAGGCCCAAAACGGTTTTTAATGATAATACCCAGGGTGGGCAAGGATATAATGAAACAGGTACTTTTAAGCCTTGTTCAAACCCCAGTGGGAGTGTACATTAGAGCAACCTCTTGAAAAGCAGTGTGGCAGTAGGCATCAGGAGTTGTAAAAAGTTAATATCCTTGACCCATTGATACCACTTCTAGTAATCTACCCTTAAGAAATGATCAGATACATCGGAAAGTTCATACTCACAAAGATGTATAGTTAAGTACTCTGTACACACTCACTCAATGGAATATTGTCCATCAGCAGAAAGACTATGGCAAGATACAGAAATGCTCAGACCACTTAAAGTAAAAAGCAGGTTTCAATAAATTATTAATTCGTAGATTAAAATCTTAAAACATGCATCTTTGAGAAAGGACTAGAAAATGCGTAAGGTGGCAATCGTTGTGTTAGTATGTGTGATGAAATCTTTTGTTTCTGTTTTCCAGACTGTCGGGATTACTCTCATAATTTTTAAAATTAATAAACCAAATATCCTGTACACTTCCAACCATGGTAAAGGGAAACATTACTTTGGTCTTCACTAATTTAGAATTTGTGATTGTCTTGATACAGATTACATGGAAATTTCCTAGTTTATGGACACAAACAAAATTATAGGGAAAATGTATAAATTACTTGAGTAGATCAAGCCCAAAGCCATATTCTGGTATAATTTTAGTTAATTAAATGTATTTAAAATAAGTAGAACTACATTTAAAAAGAATGTTTTTCACCACATCACTCTACAGTTTTCTGACTTACTGATTTCATTGTGTTTGTAACATTAAATGGATGAGGTGGTATGTACTGTTTAAGAAGTCGAACAACCAGCCTGGGCAACATAGCAAGACCCTGTCTCTAGAAAAAATTTAAAAATTAGCCAGGCATGGTGGCACACACCTGTGGTCCCAGTTACTTGGGAGGCTGAGGTGGGAGGATGGCTTGAGCCCGGGAGGTCAAGCCTGCAGTGAGCTATGATTGCACCACTGCACTTTAGCCTGGGCAACAGAATGAGAGTCTGTCTGAAAACAAACAAACAAACAAAATTAAAAGAAGTAGAGCAAAAAAAATCAGGTGGCTGTTATGGCCATAGGAGATGCGTCTTCTTATTGCCTTTTTCTAGTAGGATAATCAAGATTCTCAGTTACTAACTAGAGGGACTTTCTCTTACCCACTAGAACTTTCCTAATCAAAGAATGTATTCCTAATCTTTCTGCCCCTTCCCCCGCAAAAAAGTGCCCCACAAAAACAACGAAATCCAACTACTAGCAATTAAAGAGCTCTGGCACGTGACTGCACCTCAGTGTCTAGGACGTGAGAGTCATTCATCTTTACCAAAGAAGTTATTCATCCTCAGTAAAAGTTCCTTTGAGTTTTTATAACTTCAGGATCCTTTTAATAACACACTCATTTTATATAATAATATCCAACTGTAATGCAGTACATAAACCTCTCTCCCAGACCCTACCCAGAGCTCCTCCTCCCACACTCATTACTGCTCTGGTCTGTAGCAGGAACTTTAATCTTCCTCTTTGCATTTTAATGCTTATCATAAAAAACGTTATGAGAAGTTCCAGGCAGTTTCATTTTGTGAAAGCACACACAGCAATCTTGATTTCGTTAGAATGTTAAGCTCTGTTTACTGTTCTTGGGTTTATGAGGGTCATTCCGTGGGCCAGTGTGTAACAGTAGGTCTGGAGGCCCGTCAGCCCTAAGTTCCGATGGAGAAGCCACTGAGGTCCCCACCATTGACAAAGGGTCGCTGTGCGGTGTTGGTGTTTGCCTCACTCTTGGGCGGGCCCTGCACAGCTGAGTCATGAGCTCGGCACAGCATGTGTGGGAGTGAGGTGTGCCCATCAGCTCTGCCAGTGGCACGTGCCCCTTAGGGACATTCAGGAAGACGCTTCACCGAGCATTTGGCATGAGTGTGGAGAGGACCTGTGCACAGAACAGCTTCAGGAAGACAAAATGCCACCTCTAGGAAACATCTTGGTTTTAATCTTTTGTGGGGAGTGGTGGCCCCACAGTTTTGTAGAAGCTTGAGGGAGTGGAGGGAATCTAGCAAAATGGAAATGGAATAAACCCATGATCAGACTCAAGTCAACCCAGAGGGATGCAGAGCAAAGGAAATAAGAACCAAGCTGCAGCGTCTCCCCAGAAAGCCCTGGCAGCCCTGCTGGTGGGTAGGGGGTGGGTCTGGTCATCGGCACAGGTGACCTGGCTATTTTATCAGCCAGGGAACAGTAAATAACAGCAGCCAGTGTCTACGTAACCCTGACAGCTGATCAGGCATCTTCACAGGTCTTTTCCTCTTTTCTTAACTTTCCTTAGGGTCATGTGAGGTAGGAAGGAGAGAGCTGAGTTCTCTTTCTGTAGAATATCCTCATGGTCGAGCGGCTCTGACCAGGAAGCAGCGCCTGGTTGTGAAATGGCTGCATCTGGAATATAGGTGCCGCCTCCTCTCCTAGAAAGACCGCAAAGGAGCTTTCCATCATGTCCATTTGATGATGAAAAGAAACCAGGGGAGAGGAACCAGTGTGGCTAAATAAATGCCACAGAACTCTCCTTGGGCATCCCACGCAGCATGGCACATTTATTCCCTAGGGGCCCTGGGCAGTGAAGGGTTAGGGTCCAGTTTTATCTACAAGGAGATTGAGGCTAAGCCTAGGCAGGTGACCCCTGCGGGTCTTAACCAGCCAAGTGCCTCCATGGGGTCTTCTGTGCCTCCTGGCTGTGGCAGGGAGTCCTTGAACCAGCAGCCCATTGTGGTTAGGAACAGAGGCCGTGCTGGAGTGCAAATGGCCTACCAAAGAGGTGCCTCGTCCCACGGTGGCCCTGGAGGACTGCTCTCGGAGGAACATCCAAAACTGAGCCGGACCTGCACTCAGAGTGGACGTGGCAGTGCTGAGGCACACCGACACCCACAGCCCCATGCTCACGCGTGGCCTGGTGAAAACCTAGGAAGTCCATGCTCTTGCGACGTGTTCAGTGCTTCTTCGCCCTGGAAAGTTCCAATGTTGAAATGTGGCTGCACTCAGTGCTGCCTGTGGATGGAATTATGAACTGTGAAGGCCAGCTTCATTCTCCCTACATGGTCGCATCTTTCAGTGCACTTGGGGGTGTGCTGGGCCCCGACCACCCCTGCCGAAGTGAGCCATCCCCGCCTGGACTCTGACACCTCTGTTGTCCCTACTCCTTAAGAGGCCCAAGGCCTCATATCACTCGTTATCCTTCCCATCAATGTCTTTTCTCCCTGGTTGATTACACATTCGGTGAGAATGCAATTTTGCTTACGATTTCCTTGGATCCTCCCATATAGCTAATATGTCATTTAATTCATAGGAATCCAATAAACACATATTTATTATTAAAGACTCCACTGACTCTGTCATTTCAGATGGTTCAAGATGCCTTTCCCTCTCCAGATTTTTTAGGAAAAACCGAAACAAAGAAAATGCATGGAAAAGATTTATGTGTTTGGTTGGGGGAGGGGAAATTAAACTTCTCATAATAGTTTTTAAATTAAATTTTGTGCTCGTCCAAATCCTTTCCTTCTCCACCCCTTCCTCTGATATTCCCTTACTCATTAAAGCCCAGGATTTTGATGGTATTCACAGGGAAGCTGATTTACTGGAATAAAGAAGTTCTTTAAGTTTTAAATTTTGGAACGTTCCCAGTGTGTCTGAACCTGGGTTTCAGATTTTACTGGCATTTTGTTGGCAAAGCAGTCTTTGGAGCCCTTCCTTATTTGAGCGTGTTTCCTGACACCTTTGGCGGTATGGTACTGTGTTTTTTAGATTTAAAAAAAAAAAAAGCTTAAATAGAAAAGCATATATAAACATATACAGAAGATTGATTGTAAGATGTCAAGCAAAATAAAACAGCAGCATACACTCTCAACAATTAACAAATGGGAAGCATTTTCTTTTTAACGGAGCAGGAAGAGGCAAGATGAAGGCAAAGAGACCAGAAGGTTCAGGAAACCCTGGAGAAGGGCAGCTTTACATCTGGGCCCATTCTCCTCTCCTAGCAGAAGTGTCCCTGTTGAAACAGGGTTGAGGATACAGCCCATCCCACCATGCTGAGCCTGTAGTCGATACCTGCAGCTCTCAGGGCCACAGACAGACACAGGATCCAACTCAGAATCCTGTGGAAGGGAAAACACACAATGGAGGGGTCCCCAGAGAGAGGAGTTCTGCCACCTGGGCCTGAAATAGCAAGGGAGGAAATAGTATTTTCCAAAGACTCATAGGTGGGAGGGAGTGGGTGAGATCCAGAGTCCTAAAGCTAGCATCCTGCTTCTTGGGGAAACCTAAGAGCATTTCCACAGAGATCAGGAGGAACAAGGCCAGGATACACCCACTGCCTCCACTTCTATAATACTTAGCATCATCCTGGAGGTATTACCCAATCCAAGTGGACACGGAAGCCAACTGGAGACCTAAGAATCAGAAAAGAAGTAAAACTCTATCTGTGGATGATATTGTAGTATATCTGGGAAACCTTGAGAATAAACGATCAAACTAAACAAACAGTACAAGGATTCAGTAAGAGAACAGGATATAAAATGTCTTGCCAGCACAGAACCCACCCAGAAGCACGAATCCACCCAGGTCTCAAGGGGTCAGCCCCCACAGGCAGAGAGCCGGGAGAGATGGGTAGAAAATGGAATTGGGGGCAAGGGATGGAAAATAACCATTTGAACGAAAATCTGTTGTAGAATTGGATTCCGAACCAGGTTTCGTTCACGGGGGCCATAAACCCAGCGTGTCATGGAGCAAAGCCCTGCCTGAAAGAAAGAGGCCCCTTGTCCCACTGAGTGAAGAGTTAAGCTGGTGCTAAGCATCCCGGCAAACGAGCTCTGGCGTGTTGGTTGATCTCTGGCAGGGCGGGGTGCAGGGAAGGCTCTGAAGAGAGGTGGGAGCCGAGAGAGGGAAAGAGGAAGGTGACACACAGGGCGTCAGGGTGGTGAAAGGCACACTGGTTTTCAGGCCAGCTGGCAGGGCAGGGCATTCTTCCTTGTCATTACCCCGAAGGCGACGGTACCTGGGGTAAAATCAAGGGCCCAAGTGGCCGGGTGGAGCTGCCCTTCTGTAGGAAGGAATTCGTTACCTTCAGGTTCCTTTGTTTGCCCAGGTGTTTCAGATGCCCCTTCACTCTGTAGGTAAAGAAACTTCTTATTAGTATTATAATTTATGTAAATTTCATAAGGGAAAATGAAGTATTTGAAGCAGAATACGTACAGAGCTGGGAAAATAACTGTTCAGACACATAGCACAGAACTGATGAACTTGGCCACCAAGCTGGTAGTATTTACTTTTAGAAAATGTAAGGTGACTCTGTTTCAGTTCTCAGAAAAAAAGATAAAGCAAGAACCCCATTTTGATGTTATTATTTGGAAGTCAATTTCCAGATCTTTCTAGAAAGCCTTATAGCCTCCAGGACTGTTAAACTTACACAAATGCATTTTAAGAGGCTGGCCGGCCGGGCATGGTGGCTCACGCCTGTAATCCTAGCACTTTCGGAAGCTGAGGTGGGTGGATCACCTGAGGTCAGGAGTTCAAGACCAGCCTGGCCAACATGGCAAAACCCGATCTCTACTAAAAATACAAAAATTAGCCAAGCATGGTGGCACATGCCTGTAGTCCCAGCTACTTAGGTGGCTGAGGCACGAGAATTGCTCGAACCTGGGAGGTAGAGGGTTCAGTGAGCTGAGATAGTGCCGCTGCACTCCAGGCTGGGTGAAGAGCAAGACTCTGTCTCATTAAAAAAAAAAAAAAAAAAAAGAGGTGGTATTTCTACCTTGAAATTCTGTTTTGATAAAAGCAAAAGATTCTTTCCTAGTGAGTCAGAAGATGGGCCTCTGAGCCAGGCAAACCTGGTTGACTGTTCTCTGATCTCACCAGGCCACTTCTGCGGTGTAGCTTCCACTTATCAGCAGTAAAATGAGACTACTTGGCAATGATGATGTCTTGAGAGTCACTGGGACATTTAAATGAGAACATGGCTCATACCAAGGGCCCAGCATGTGGATGGGTGCTCAGTCAAAGGAACCACTGGCTTGCTTGCAGTGTAGAATCTTGAGATCTATAGCTGAAGATACCCCTTCCCCATGGCCCGTTCATTCATTCATTTATAAGACCTTGGAGAAATCTTACAGTGAGTGGAAAGATGGTGCCATGTTGGCTGGTGTGCTCACTGTTGGAAGCCTGCCATATTGAGGTGGCAATCAAGTGTGTGTGTGTGTGGATTTGTGCATGTATGTGTGTGTGTGTATGTGCATGTGTGTGTGTGCATGTGCACACATGCTTGTGTGTGTGCGAGACACCAGCCCTTGCTATGCTTCATGGTGCTAAAAACGACATCTGGCAGACCTGACATCTGGTGATCGCGAATGAAGCCACTGTAGGGAGACAGAACACCAACAGGGATTCAGACACACTAAGTGGCTGTCTTGCACGTAATGGCACTTTGTGGTGCACACTTTGTGTCCGAATGCCAGTTCTTTGTTCCTTTCCCCTTTTTCCTTTTCCTCGACTACCTACCACCCTCTGGCTCTAGAAAATGAAATCTCTCCATCTGTGGGACTGTTGTTGTGCCGTCCTAGTAAATATCAAAATAATGCGATGCTTCATTTCAATCATTGAAGGAACCAGAAGAGAATTACTGCCTCTTTGATGTTGTAGCTCTGGAAATTTTTTAAAAGAAATGTAGTTTTAAAAAAGTCATTGAAAAATAGCTTTGGGAACAGTGGTTTTAGAACCCCAGTCTTTGGACCAGCTGCATTCTAATCATCTGGGACACACCCAAGCTCTGGCTCTGGAGGTTGGGATTCAGAGGGTATCTGGGGTCTTAGCATCAGTTTGTTTTTGCTTTGTGTTTTAAAACTGCAGGCGATTCTGATGGGCAGCATTGTTTGAGAGCCTAGCTCTGGAGGCAGCTTTGCCTCTGTGACCTTGATGGTATGGCCAGGAACCCATGCTTGTTGAGGTGGGTAGCTCCTAGCAAAGACTGAGGCATTTGTTAAAATTGAGCAAAAAGTATTAATACAATACAAAACATCTAAATATGTTCTCATCTGTTTCTGGAGGTTTTCTTTGTTTTGGTTTTGGTTTTTTTCGGAGACAGAGTCTCACTCTGTCGCCCAGGCTGGAGTGCAGTGGTGTGATCTCGGCAGTCTCTGCCTCCCAAGTTCAAGTGATTCTTGTGCCTCAGCCTCGTGAGTATCTAGGACTACAGGTGCCTGCCACTATGCTCAGCTAATTTTTAGTAGTATTTTAGTAGTATTTTTAGTAGAGATGGGGTTTCACTATGTTGGCCACGTTGGTCTCAAACTCCTGACCTCAGGTGATCCACCTGCCTCGGCCTCCAAAAGTGCTGGGATTACAGGCATGAGCCACTGCACCTGGCCTGTTTCTGAAATTTTAATGGAAATGGTTGAGGAGAGTCTTAAAGTGTTTTCCTTTGCTGTTCGGTAATGCTCCCTATTCTCCTCTACACCCTCTCCATGGAACACGTTTTGTGGAATGTTCAGAGGCCTGGTCATTCTGGGCTGATCTCTACCAGAACTGGTCCAGACCTCTTAAGGAGGTCAGGTCTCCAGCCTGTTTGTCTGGAGTATTAAGGTAAAGCCTCAGTTAAGGTTCTTATATGTAGATTCTTAAATGTAGTCCACATTAATATAAACTCATTGTCTTACTACCCATGTGCTGCAAGTACCTCACATAGACCTGTAGGTGCAAAGATATTTGATTGAGAACAGGAGTTCTGAAAGCTATTTCAAGAAGAAATCAAAAAGGTTTCTTTTGGAATTTTCCTACAGGATCATTGGCAGAAATTTTTTTTTAGTCTTCCTCAGAAGGAGTACTTCAGTGGAAAAAGGATGGGCTCATCAAAAATGAAGGAAAATTTTCAAATTCATTTCAATGAAGTAAATAATATTGATACTTAAATCTGTTAAAGACAGTATAAAAATTACAGGCCAGTATCACTAATGAGCATCAATGCAGAAATTCTAAATAAATATTAACTAACAGAATCTAACATTAAGACAAATGTGATTTTTTTTTCTAGGAATGCAAGATTGGTTTAATATTAAAAAAATTAATAGATCTCTTAACTCATTAATATGTTAATAGATCAAAAAAGAAAAATGTATGATTATTTCCATAGATACTGAGAAAACACTTTATAAAATTCAACACCCTGTCCTGATTTTTAAAAATTCCAAAAATAGGACTTAGTGGATAATTTACTGACTTGTAAGTGTCTGTGAGTCCTAGATAGCATCTTATATAGCAGGGAAACACTAAGAAACATGGCAAGGAGGCCCACTGTCTCCACCTCTGTTTGGCATTGTACTAAAGGTATTAGCCAATCCAAACAGACAAGAGAAGTCAATTAAAGGTATCATTGAAAAAGAAGTAAAACTATCTGTTTGCAGAGGAAATGAGAAACCTTAAAGAATCAGTGATTCTCTAACTCAAACAATAAGAGAATTCAGTAATAGAGCAGGATATAAAATTATTATACAGAAATCAATAGTTTTTATATACAACAAGCAATAACTAGTTAAAGGAAATTATGGGATATATTCATAATAGCAACAAATAAGATAAAATACGTAAGATAGTGCATAAGAAATATGCACAATCAACACAAGATCACTTTAAAACAATCTGAAAGACACAAAAGTATATTTGAACAAATGTAAGTCATCCTTTGCTCATAGGTAGGACAACTCAAAATCACAAAGATGGTCAGTTCTCCCCAAGTTAATTTATACATTTAATGCACTTAGACTAAAAATACCATCAAGGCTTTTTTTTTTTTTTTTTTGAGACAGAGTTTCACGCTCCTGTTGTCTAGGCTGGAGTGCAATGGCATGATCTCAGCTCACTGCAACCTCCGCCTCAGCTCCACCTCAGATCATCAGGCCTTAGATTCTCATAAGGAGTATGCAACCTAGATCCCTTGCATGCGCAGTTCACAGTAGGGCTCCTATGAGAATCTAATGCTGCCGCTGATCTGACAGGAAGTGGAGCTCAGGTGGTAACGTGAGCTGTGGGGAGCGGCTGTAAATACAGAGGAAGCTTTTCTAGCTTTCTTACTCACCTGCCTGCCTGCTTCTCACCTCCTGCTGTGCAGCCTGGGGGGTGGGGGGGTGGGGCAGAGCTGGGGACTCTGCCCTAATATATAAGAAACTCTTAACTTTTGAGTTAACTCAAAAGACATTAACTGGTCATTGACTGTGTATACACACGCACATGCACAGACACACGCCACTGTCCATTGGTTAGGCTGTAGGGAAACAGGTATCTCTGCGCGGCTGTGTGCAGTAGTGGGGGTTCTGGCAGAATCTGATAAAGCTACCAGTGTGTTTACCTTCTGGCTCAGCATCCCACTTCCAGCAATTTACCCTGAAGATATACCTCCAGCAATATAAAAATCCATGCGAATAAGAGTGTTCATTATACTGTCCTTTTAGGAACTACCTAAATGCCTATACATAAAAGAGTGGTTGAAGAGGCTGTGCTACATCCACAGAATGGAGTCTGCTCAGCTTTAAGAAGAAATGAGGAGCCGGGTGCGGTGGCTTATGCCTGTAATCCCAGCACTTTGGGAGGCTGAGGCAGGCGGATCACGAGGTCAGGAGATCGAGACCATCCTGGCTAACATGGTGAAACCCCATCTCTACTAAAAATACAAAAAAAAAGCCAGGCGTGGTGGTGGGCACCTGTAGTTCCAGCTACTTGGGAGGCTGAGGCAGGAGAATGGTGTGAACCTGGGATCGCGCCACTGCACTCCAGCCTGGGCAACAGAGTGAGACTCCGTCTGAAAAAAAGAAAAAATGAGGAAAAGCTCTATGAACTTATTTGCAGCTGCTCCCCAGCACTAGCAACACCGCCTCAGCTCCACCTCAGATCATCAGGCCTTAGATTCTCATAAGGAGTATGCAACCTAGTGGTTCCCGGGTATATTAATTGTGTGGGGTAGGTGGATGGGGGAGACAAAAGAGCATCTACAAAATGGTAACTTTCTGTAAGGAAGACAAGGAAATAAGAAAATATGCATGTATCCATTCATTTGTGCAAAAAGGAACACAGGAAGAATAAACCAGAAATGAATGAGATTTTGATTTGTGGTTTACAGAAAGGAGGTGGAGTGGGAGACCTAGGTAGAAGGAATGGGTAGGGGAGTGTGACACTTCTCGGAGTATACTTGTCTGTGTACAGTTCCGACTCTGAACCAGGTTAAACAATGAAAAAGAAAGAAGGATTGGTGGGGTTTGGGTGTGGGGGTAAAATGTAATATAGAAGTACAGTTAAACCTAACCTGATTTCAGACAAATAAAATAACCACACTAAAGTAAAGGGGAAAAAAAAAAGAACAAATCCAAGGAAATGTTCAATACAATATTTGAATCTATACCCTCAGGCTAAGGGCAAAAAAAACTGTAAACAAATATTGAACTCTAGTTAGTAAGTGTGATTTCGCAGTAATATGGATCAGCACTGCTGAGACCACTTCCCCCTGTGTATTATGGCATTGAGCAAATGAATAAATAGTGTAGATAATGCAAGCCAGATTTCCCACTATTGGAGAAAGAATTTATGAATATAGAAAAGGAGGGGCTAGAATGAACCTTGTGGTATTGGATTGGATTGGAGTTTATGATGAACTTATGGTTTTCAAACTGGATGGATGGATGGGTGGTAGATGGATAGATTAGATAGAGAAAGAAGATGAGAATCTAGAGGAAGGAAGAAAGAAAGAAGGAAGGAGGGAAGGAAGGAAGGAGGGAGGGATGGATGGACGGAAGGAAATACAGTTGACCTTTGATTCATCAGGGGTATGAACTGCAGGGGTCTACTACACATGGAATTTTTTCAACCAAAGCAGATTATTCATGGGATGTGAAACCCATGTATATGGAGGCCAATTTTTTGTGTACTCAGGTTCCACAGAGCTCACTGTGGGACTTGGGAGGCAGTCTGGAACAAATCCTCCATGAATACCAAGGGACAATTGTAATGCATATATACACCCTAGACACACATGCACACATTTTCTATCTCTTTCTTAGCCCCAGTTTTTTTAAAAGACCGTTTTTCACCAAAAGGAACCAGAGCTCCTTGGAGAAATCGCTGATTCCAGGGCAGGGGCTGAGAAAGTTCAAGATGAGCCTAGAACCTCTTATGCCTGAAAGTAGAGACCTCTTATGCTGAAAGATGACTGGGACACACCAGTAAGACCCAGGAGCCAGACTGAAGGAGCATTCACTTGCCAGATATGTGGCTATTTGAGTATCAAAATAAAAAATGATAGGAAGGCATACAATCTACTGAAATAATAAGAATCTATAAGTCTACTCTGATATAAATAAATTAAAAGATAAATAATAAGTGGAGGGGAGAAGAAAAAGTTACTCCTTACAGTAGAACCTCACAAGTGAATATGGAAGAAATGATGGTTCAGAAAAATCTGTTTGGCAACCATCAAGTAAATAATTGATTCAAGGCCAGGCACGGTGGCTCACACCTGTAATCTCAGCACTTTGGGAGGCCGAGGCGGGTGAATCGCCTGAGGTCGGGAGTTAGAGACCAGCCTGGTCAACATGGAGAAACCCTGTCTGTACTAAAATACAAAAATTAGCTGGGTATGGTGGTGCACACCTGTAATCCCAGCTACTCGGGAGGCTGTGGCAGGAGAATCGCCTGAACCCAGGAGGCAGGGGTTGCAGTGAGTGGAGGCTGCACCACTGCATTCCAGCCTGGGTGATAGAGTGAGACTCTGTCTCAAAAAATAATAATAATAATTGATTCAAGCAGCCAGGCACAGTGGCTCACGCCTGTAATCCCAGCACTTTGGGAGGCAGAGGTGGGCGGATCACAAGGGCAGGAGATCAAGACCATCCTGGCTAACATGGTGAAACCCCATCTCTACTAAAAATACAAAAAAATTAGCCGGGCGTGGTGGCGGGCGCCTGTAGTCCCAGCTACTTGGGAGGCTGAGGCAGGAGAATGGTGTGAACCCGGGAGGTGGAGCTTGCAGTGAGCTGAGATCGTGCCACTGCACTCCAGCCTGGGCGACAGAGCGAGACTGTGTCTCCAAAAAAATAAAAAATAAATAAAAATAATAATTGATTCAAGCAAGAATCATTCATGGATACTAAAACTAATAGATTAAATTTCATGAGAAATAGATTTATCTCCCCATAAGTGCTTATTAATTACAAAGGCAATTTAGTGGGAAAACCCAGCACAAACCACATAACCCTGTGGGTCAAAGTTAACATCCCTGATGTCAGGAGACAGCACTGCCTGCCTCCCGATGTCAGGCCCTGAGGTCACAATATCGCTTCCATGTATTCCTGCTAGAAATGCACCCCTGAGTCTTATAACGGGGGTATCTGATTATCTAAATTGAGGGACATAGGACAAAATAACTGCCCCTGCTCTTCCAAAAATGTCTGGATCATGAAAAACAAAAAGACTAAGAAACTGAACCAGATTAAAGGAGACGAAGAAGCCGTGACAGCTCAATGCATCAGATGATCCTGGATTTGATCTTAGACCAGAAAAAAAGAGCATTATTACTAGGACAATGGACACAATTTGAATACACTCTATAGATGAGATCTGGGGTTGGCAAAGTTTGGCCCTTGGGCCGAGTCTGGCCTGCTGCCAGTTTTCGTGCCGCATGAGAGCTAAGCATGTTTTTTTACATTTTAAAGGGTCAGAAAAAATTTTAAAGAATAAAATTTATATGACACTTTGGGAAAGGCAAAACTATAGAGAGAGTAAAAATACCGGTGGTTGCCAAAGGGTTCGGGGAGGGGAAGGGATGAGGGATGAATAAGTGAAGCACAGGGGAATTTTTAGGGCAGGGAAACTGTTCTGTGTAATGCTGACATGGTGGCCACAAGATGCGATGCATTTATCAAAACCCACAGAATGTACAGCACAAAGCACGAACCCTAACAGAAGCAGTGAGCTGTGGTTAATAGTCCTATACCAAGACTGCTTCAGAAATCGTAACAAATGACCACACCACAGCAAGATGTGAATGATAAGGAAACTGTTGGGGAAGGGGACATATGGGAACTCTTTCTGCACAATTTTTCTGTAAACCTAAAGTTGCTCTAAAAAAAATAAAAAAGCCTATTAGTTAAAAGGAATATATTGTGATACACAAACATTATGTAAAATTCAAATTTTTATGTCCGTAAATGTTGAGACACAGGCATGGCTGCCTTTGCCCTCGGACGGCAGGTTTGAGCAATTGAGCACAGAAACCATACGGCTGCAGAGCCTACAGTATTTACTCTCTGACCTTTTATAGAGAATTCTGCTGACCTCTGGATTAGATAATAGTGCCATATCAGCCGGGTGCGGTGGCTCACGCCTGTAATCCCAGCACTTTGGGGGGCTGAGATGGGTGGATCACAAGGTCAGGAGTTCGAGACCAGCCCAACCAACGTGGTGAAACCCCATCTCTACTAAAAATACAAAAATTAGCCGGGCATGGTGGTGCACGCCTGTAATCCCAGCTACTCAGGAGGCTGAGGCAGGAGAATCGCTTAAACCTGGGAGGCGGAGGTTGCAGTGAGCTTAGATTGTGCCACTGCACTCTAACCTGGGTGACAGAGTGAAACTCCATCTCAAAAGAAAAAAAAAAGCATAAAATAGTGTTGTAACAAGGCTGTTGATTTCCGTGATTGTACTATAATCAGGTAAGATAAACCCTGGGTTTTAGGAAGCTACACAGACGCATATAGGAATACAGAGACATTAGGGCTGCAGCTCACTCTCAACTGGTTCAGAAAATAATGATGGATAGACAGATGGACAAAACATATATGGTAAAAAGTGAACCTTTAGGAAATCTGGGTGCTGTGTGAAGGGCATGTAGGAATGCTTTGTACTCTTCCTGTAACTTTTCTTTAAGTCTGATATTATTTCGAAGTAAAAGGTTAAAAAGAAAAAAGTATTATAGACCTTACAACCAACCAGAACATGATTTGAATTTCTGGTTTGCTTGCTATGTGGCTTTATAGCAGTGGTTTTGCCTTTCTGAGACTGTGTCCTCTTGTCTGTGAGGAAGGACTTCTTCTCAGCTTTGGAAGGCTTGGATGAGATCACGAACCTAAAATGCCACTCATAGCACAAAAAATTGGTGTGAATTCCAGGTGACCAGTTGAAACATCTACCTGGTGCCTGCAGAAACACTGTTCGCAGACATCTGCTTGCTGTGTCGTCCACGTGAGTCGGTGTCCATCCTCTGAAATAGCGGCAGCACTTCCCAGTAGCAGACCCTCTTTAGGGGCAGGTGACTTATGGTCAAGGCTGTGGACACTCTCCACCAAGAGCCGCTCCACACCCAGTTGTAGAAAAATGGACATATTTATGAGATCTGAACAGCCTGAAAAGGGGGGTGAGAAGATCTTGTGGAGGATCCGGAGACTCCTGGCGGAGGAGTGGGGACAGATAGTCTGAGTACTGGTGTGCAGTGGCGCAGTGAAGGCTCGCCGTCAGAGGCAGGGATCTGCCATCAGGGCTACCGCTGAGGTACAGCCACAGAGGTGGCTGTGGGCACCATGAATATTTCTCTCTATGCAAGCTTCTTTGCTCATCTGTAAATTCTGTAATAGCACCAGTTTAAGATAGAAGGCAGTGGATGCGCAGGCATCTAGTATTTATGGTGAAGTGTCAGGGTAAGAAACAGTGGCTTGTATTCACTTTGATTGGATAATACAGACCAACATTAGTAAATGCTTGACTTACCAAAAAGGAGCCTCATTCTGAAAGCTGAATCCACTGGGCTCCTTGGGAGCCATGAAATGATTTATTTAGCAGCAATGTGGACGCTCTTATGCTGGACGTGGGGAAGATTAGCCAAAAACGTAAGAAGGGCAGGTATGCCAGGAGCTACGGAAATGAAGCGGGTGTCTCTAACAGAGGGCCTGACCCACAGGCATCTCTCTGCTTCTGGGGAGCTCCAGTGGGAGGATTGTGATGGCTCTGCTCTTTGAACAGTCCCGATTCCCGTGTTGCCTCCTACTGAAACATTCATCCTGTTCTACACCAAGAGCGGAAAGGGGATATGATTTAAAGCATACCAACAGAGTGCATTGAGGAAAGGGCAGGCCGTAGTGTCAAATCCAGAATAGAATGGAAGAATATATCAATAAAACTGTTCTATTATCTGCCTGGGCACACCTCTGACCAACAGTGTTTCTAAGCAGTCACCTAAACAAAGTCAGCCGAAGAGCCAGTTCAACCAACTATGTGTAGCTTTGCTGAGTAGGTTCAGAGACCCTAGAACTGGAAGTGAAGATTCTGCATCCCCCATTGCTAGTGTCACTTACAAGGTTTTTAGCCCAGATAGAGATCACCTTAGTGTGTGTAGGTAGAAGTGATGAGGGATGGGTACAGAGAGGAGAGGCATCACGTATAGAATTTTTGAGGAGTCGTAAAACACACACATTTGTCCCCACCATTCCATTCCTTCCCTCTGTCTCCCTGACTTCCCTCCTTATCCCCAAGAGGAGGAGGTAAGGGGAGGCGCTGCTTGTCTTCTGGCAGCAAGAAGTTCTAGGATCGACATGACAGGGACCACTTTGCAAATTCCATCATATTTCATTTTTACTGACACTGCACAAAATGTTCCATTTTATAGGTGACTGGAGAGACTGAGAGAGATGGATTCCCTTACTCCATGTTCATATCAACACTGGGATTCGAGTCCAGATCTGTCCCGTTCCCTGTCTGAGTCTCCACTCTGCTGTGATGTTTCTAAAGTTCCTTGGGAACCTTCCTGTAGCTGCCAGGAATAATATCCCCAGGGTCCCTGGCTAGGACCCTGCAGTGTCCTGGGGCAGCCACCTCAGCTTTGTGCCGTGGACCCTGCCGCCAGTTCAGAAGTCACCTGTCAGAAGTCGGGCCTCTTCTGCCCCTGACTGTGTCCCCATGCGTTGCACAGCTGTCTCATGGGCCTCACTCCATTTTACGGTGGAGGCGTTTTTTAGCAGAAACCACTGTTCATTTCCTTTCAAAAAACAATCTTGTGCATTCCTGCCTAGAAAGTAGCTTAAAAAAAATCAATCGTATTGTTAAAGTGTGACTTTAACAAAAATGAAATATCTTGATATTTTAGCGTTTTAACTTTTTAGAAAGTGCTACTCAGATGTAATGGTTGGTTTTTACAATGTAATATGTGTTAAAAGTAGTTCTGAAATGAAGTTCGGCACTGCTTCCTTTGAACTAAGCAGAGGGCAGCAGGGTTATGAACAGTGGGAATTCATCTTCCAGTCAGCTTTTTTAAAATGAAAAATAACTTATGAACCTTCAATGTGTGACTGCCTGGGGCCCCCTTCTCCCTCTTCCTCGCCACCTCCCATTGGCTTTCTTTTTCACTCATGAGAGTGTGTGTCTCTCTGTAAGCTAAGAACAGGGTCAGAGCTGAGAAAACTGGGGGGTAAAGAAGATAGCAAAGAGAAGCACAGACTGGTGTCAGGCCAGGACCATGAGCTGAGGAAGCCCTCCAGGCCCGAGGGAGACTTCGAGGTCGCCTCACACCCACCCCATGCCAGACTGCTGCAGGGCACGATGCCTCAGACTTAGGAGGGTTTGGGGTGTGTTTTCCAGAGAAAGACTTTACAACATCTTTTAGAAAGGGAGGCCAGTCTGAGGTACAGCCCAGCTTCCAGAGGCCAGCTGCTCCCAGTGGCAGACTGCCAGCCCTCCGTGGCCTTGGCCTGTGCGGCAGGGAATGAGCCACGGGACAGGTATGGCAGCCTGGGAAAGCTGCCTGCACTTGGCCGCCCTTTCTTTGCCAATCTGTGCTGGAAAGGAGATTGCTCCACCAACTAGTGAACTGGCAGCTGCAAGCTTAATCCACTGATAGGTTGGGCTTAAATAAATCTTTTTTTAATAGGATTTATAAAATGAATGCACTACAATTATAAAAATATTGGAAAATTCAGTAAAGTATAAGAGAGAAATAAAAATCACTTGAAATCTTACCACCCAGAGATTATATAGAACAACATAAAGGAGACATTTAAATCATCATATAATTCTACTTCCACACTTCCACCTTTTTTTTTTTTTTTTTGAGATGGAGTCTTGTTCTGTCACCTGGCTGGAGTGCAGTGGGACAATCTTGGCTCACTGCAACCTCTGCCTCCCAGGTTCAAGCCATTTTCCTGCCTCAGCCTCTCGAGTAGCTGGGACTACAGGTGCGCGCCACCATGCCCAGCTAATTTCTGTATTTTTAGTGAGACAGGTTTCACTCTGTTGGCCAGGATGGTCTCGATCTCTTGACCTCGTGATCTGCCCGCCTTGGCCTCCCAAAGTGTTGGGATTACAGGCGTGAACCAACACGCCCGGCCTCTTCCACCTTCTTGAGATAACCACTGTTAATATGTGTCCTTCTTTTTTTTTTTTTTTTTTTTTGAGACAGTGTCTTGCTCTGTTGCCCAGGCTGGAGTGCAGTGGCATGATCTTTGCTCACTGCAGCCTTGAACTCCCTGCCTCAAGTGATCCTCCCATCTCAGCCTCCCAAGTAGCTGGAACCACAGGCATGTACCTCCATGCCTGGCTAAATTTTTGTATTTTTTGATAGACATGGGGTTTTGCCATGTGGCCTAAGCTGCTCTTGAACTCCTGGGCTCAAGTGATCCACCCACCTCAGCCTCCCAAAGTGCTGGGATTACAAGCATGAGCCACTGAGCCTGGCCCCTGTATTTTTCTATAAATACATATCGTATATAAAGAGAATCATTCTACGATACTGTTTTTAACCTTCTTTTTCACTTTTTAACAATATAATGTCTATAATTATATATCTACATCATTGTAAGAGCTCCAAAATAAAAAATTTTTAATTATCAGAAAAATACTTTGTAAAATATATCTGTGTTTTCTAAAAAGAGAGAAATTCTAAAAGAATATACACTTTTAATGAGAAGTGGGACTTACCTAGATGACTTATGTTCTACTTAATATTTTTCTATATTTTTCAAATATGTTCACTCCCCAAGGTAACTGCAGCTATTATTTTGGTATATTTCCTAATAATTTTTGTTTTTTTTTTTTGAGTTGGAGTCTCTATGTTGCCTAGGCTGGAGTGCAGTGGTGTGATCTCAGCTGACTGCAGCCTCCGCCCCCTGGGTTCAAGTGATTCTCCTGCCTCAATCTCCCACATAGCTGGGATTACAGGCACCCGCCACCACACCCGGCTAATTTTTTGTATTTTTAATAGAGATGGGGTTTCACCATGTTGGCCAGCTGGTCCCGAACTCCTGACCTCAAGTGATCTGCCCGTCTCGGCCTCCCAAAGTGCTGGGATTATAGGCGTGAGCCACCGCGCCCGGCCATAATTTTTAAAAGCATACTTCAAAACATGATTGGACTCACGCTGTCTGTAGGATTTTGCATCCTGATTAAATCACCTAAAAGTGTCCGGTGGTCATCTGCCCACATTACTGATGACCACATGATGGGCTTTCATGTGGGACTGCTGTGGGTTTTTTAATTCTTCAACAGTGGGCTGTTTGGATTATTTCTGATTTTTCACACTGCATCAGTAATGCTGTGGTGAACAGTTGAGCCCCTGAATTATTTTGTGTCCCTGTCTGAGTCCTCCTCAGGCTTCAATTCTGTAGAAATACAGTCCCCGGGTCAGGAAGTAAACCATGTTTAAGGCTATCACTGGGTCTGAACAGACTGGTTTCAAGAATTTCTGCTCACTTGTTAGTATCAGATAAGCTGCTCACTAGTTATAATGAAATGGGTACTGCAAATAACTATTGTTGATTGTCTTGTTTCTTTTTATTTTATTTTATATTTATTTATTTATTTATTTATTTATTTGAGACGGAGTCTCGCTCTGTCGCCCAGGCTGGAGTGCAGTGGTGCAACCTTGGCTCACTGCAATCTCTGCCTCCCGGGTTCACGCCATTCTCCTGCCTCAGCCTCCCGAGTAGCTGGGATTACAGGCACCCGCCACCATGCCCAGCTAATTTTTTTGTATTTTTAGTAGAGACGGGGTTTCACCGTGTTAGCCAGGATGGTCTTGATCTCCTGACCTCGTGATCCGCCTGCCTCGGCCTCGCAAAGTGCTGGGATTACAGGCGGGAACCACCACGCCCGGCCAATTGTCTTATTTCTTTTTAAAACGGACCTTTTGGTCTTATACTTAGAAGTTCTGTATTTATGAATAGTCAATTACAATATTATATCTAAATGTAAAAATATGCTTTTTTCCAAAAAAAATTCAAAATAAATTTTAAATCAAAAGGTTACCCAGCCTGGGCTCTACCAAACCCTGTCTCTACCAAAAAATACAAAAATTAGCCAGGTGTGGTGGTATGAACCCATAGTGGTCCCAGCTATTCAGGAAGTTGAGGTGGGAGGATCCCTTGAGCCCTGGAGGTCCAGGCTATAGTGAGTCACTGCACTCTAGCTGAGATGACAGAATAAGACCCCATCTCAAACGAAAAAAAAAAAGAAAGGTTACCCATCATATTAAAGTTTTAAAATAAAAGAAAAAAAATCTTAATATAGCCATCATTAACATTTTGTCTAATCTCCTTCCTGCCCTTTTTGAATTTTACATACTTGGAATAAAAGTATATGTAGTTTTTGGCCAGGCGTGGTGGCTTACACCTGTAATCCCAGCACTTTGGGAGGCTGAAGCAGGAGGATCGCTTGAGGCCAGGAGTTCAAGACCAGCCTGGCCAACATGATGAAACCTCGTCTCTACTAAAAATACAAAAATTTGTTGGGCATGGTGGTGCACACCTGTAATCCCAGCTATTCGGGAGGCTGAGGCAGGAGAATTGCTTAAACCTTGGAGATGGAGGTTGCAGTGACCCGAGATTCATGCCACTGCACTCTAGCCTGGGCGACAGAGTGAGACTGCATCTCAAAAAAAAAAAAAAAAAAAAAAGCATCTATAGTTTTGTATGCTGCTTTTTAATTTGACATACCAATGCAAGCCTTTCTTCCACGTTGCTATATAGTCTTCAGAACTATAATGATTTGATTACAAATTATTCCATTGACTTAATTTATCAGAATTTATTTAACCATTTGTTTATTAACAGTGAGGTTGTTTCCATATTTTTACCTTTATAACACTGTTGTGAATGTGGACTATTTTCTTAGGTTCAGATCCCCGAAGTGGATGGACTTGGTCTGAATTTACGTTTTTGTTCATTCGGATTTTTCATTAATTCATGCTGGCCTGTCTTAGGTTATTCCCAATCATTAAAGCTTAATCTTAAAGGACCATGTGACAATCAGGACAGTTCCATTGGCAGAGCCTCCGTGGCTACTGGGCTGTCCTTAGTAACCAAAGTGGTCAGGAGGCTGTCTCATTTGCAGAGTGACCCTTAGGAGGCTCCAAATGTTTCAGACTCAACACAAGAGTACAAAACAGAGCGCTTTTCCTGAGTGCCGCTTTGGTTCCACAGTGAATGCACTCGGCTGCCACTCACAGAAAGCTTTTATTCCACAACCTTTGCCAGCAAGGAAGGAAAATATACAGAAGCAGGGAGGTAATCATTATGGAACCCCCCTCCTTTTTGTTTTTCCTTTTTCTTTTTGTAAGGACATCATCCGCTAAGGATGGAAATGCATTTATGGTTTCTCCTTTCTGCTAAAGCAAACTCAAGCAGCTTCATTTTCAGAAATGCAGAATTGACAAGGTTTATAAATGCTGCTTTGTTGACTGTGAGCCATGCGGTTTGGCCCCAGAGTTATCTCAGATAGCACAAATAAATCTGGCGGCCTCCAGTTGTCTCAAACTGAGCATTAGCTCCTTCCCCGGTTGTCTCCCTCCTTGCAGAATTTCCTCTTGGCCTTCAGCACAGACTCCCTCTTCTCATTAATATGCCCTGTTAACTGCTGCCAAACCTCTAGCAGTTTAGTGCATATGTTCCCTTAATCATTTCTCTTTGTTCTAGAAGTCTGTGTTTGGTTTCTGAACCAACCTTTTTCCTGCCCCTCCCATCACTGTCCCTGGCTATAGCCCATGACTGTCTACCGTCTACATGTTTATTTACAGAACATCCTAGATTGCTTTTGCGATCTGCTCACAACACGCTAAATCATCCCCTCGGCCCCTGCCCCATCACCTCGAGAGCCCTGGGCCTTAGGAAGCCAGGTGGAGGGTTGCTGGACCCTCTAGAAAACAGAGGTGCCTGAAAGACAATGTTAACTCCCTGCACAGACAAAGACTCCTTCTTAGATTTTCTGCTGGTCCAACACAAGAAAAGGACGCTTTCTTCTTGGACCCAGTGGCATACAGCACACTCGATCTCAATGAGTTATTCATGGCGTCCAAGAGAAATACTTCTGAGCTGTATTTCATGTGAGATGGAGTGGGCCTGGCACATGGGCGGCGAGGCCAGCCTGCTCGCCGAAAGCGTCCTGTGCCTGTTCCAGCAGCCGTGTGGGAAGACAGCTATCTCAGCAGCTGAGCCCCTGCCCTGTGTGTCCTGAGGTCTTTTTAACACGTGAAGGGTCTTCTGGGCTCCTTCTGTCCCAACTGAGGCCTGCATGCGCCGTCAGACGGAGCTCTGTGAGCCATGGGTGCACAGTGGACACAGTGTTGTTTCTCTCTGCTTTTAAGTATTTTTCTTCTCTTACCGAGTTCCAGCCATTTGTAAAGTTCCACCCAGTTTCTGTAGCTGGGAGGGGAGGATGATAAGCTTCTCAGCGTGGTCTTTCTCTAGCGCTCCTTTGTCCTCAGCAGGACCACTGTGGAAGCCTGGAGACTTATTATTAGAAACTTTATGTTATTACAAAATGCCATCCCTTCCGCATCCCTGTCCTGGCTGCTCCCCTCCTTCCAAGAAAGAAAAGAAAAGAAAAAAATCAAAGAGGCCCCCTCATCTGCACTGACAAAGTGGCCAAACCTGATCTTTGCTCTGTTGATGAATCCTACCTCGAACCGCGCCTGCGCAGCACCTGATCGGCAATTCCTGGGCACGTAGAGAGGAACTGTCCTACCACGGGGTTAAAATAGGGAGAGCGCAGCTTGCAGGAAATTCTCAGAGTGGGAGTTTTTGTGTGATTTTTTTTTCTTTCCTTTTTTTGAAAAAAAGTTAATATCGACTCATTTGGTGGGGATGTAATGCCCTTTTCTACCTATCCCCCAAAGGAAAGTTTGTATTCTTTTCAATGAAACCATTTTAAAAGCAGGACTGAAGCCGAAAACGATGCAGAGTTCTCCTGCGTCCTCAGAAGGTGTGGATTTATTTACCATAGTTAAATCATAATTAGTTCTCAGGGGATAGTGTGTCTTTTAAACGGCTTTATTGCCACCATATTGGTTTTCTGAATAATCAGAAACTTCTGTTATGATTGTGTTCTAGTGTTCAAACAGAAGTGCACCCTAAGTAGGAACAAATGTCAGGAATTGCTAGTTGTCACTTGAAGAAGGTACATACATTGGGGGTGGGGGGAGAAAGAACTTGGCAGGATATTCTGATGAAATAGAATCTAACCAAGTCTTTAATAAATGGAGTAACGGCTCAGGCAGGTACACACGCCCCCTCGCATGCTCTTTTTTTGATGTTAAAAGGTGCTTTCTTCATCTCTTTCATTCTCACGACCCAGGTTAGAAAGGAGGGTGATATCCCTCATGGCTCCACATTCCTGAAGGCCAGTGGAACCAAAGTTGGCCCTTCCATGGCCACACACCCCCAGATGCATGCAAACCCTGTCCCTCCTGTGTGAGCCATTGGTGCCGCGGGCGTGTCCATGTCTGGCCTAACCGGTCTTTCCCCCTCTTCGGCAGGCTGATGTTTCAGACACCGCAGGAAATGGGCTTAATAGTGATCGCGGCCCGGCAGACCGAGGGCAAAGGTCAGTCATCTTTTGTGATCATTGCTGTTACTTCTGTTTTCTAAACTCTGCAACTCTTGTGGCCCAGGAGCCCATTGAATGTGTGTGCTGATCATCTGGGGGACTCAAGTTAGTAGATTCTGTTTTCATAACCGCCTGGAATGGAGGAAGAGGAAGAGGGAAGCAGTGATCAGAAGGTTCACCCTTAGTAGAACTAAAGCATTCTGTCAAATCATAATGCTTATGAATCACTGGACATTTGCCTGTGATGGCAAATGTGACCTACATGAATTCCGGGCTTTCCAATTTGGGGATCGTCACTGTGCTCTAGAGACGTTTATTTTCCTGAAGGTTCTCCATAAGGAGCCTTCTGTGTCTGTACTGAGCGTCATGTGGGAGGCCTTTTGCATGCCAGTTCTCACCCCAGCTGGCCCTGGGCTGGGCTTGCATGTACATGGTGGGCTCTGCATCAGTGCCCATTCACACAGTGACCACAGAGAAGCAGAGCGCTGCCCAGGGCTCCACCACCTGCAGATCCCGGAGACGAGAGCCCACATCCTCCCAGACCCATCTGGGGTCTGACCCTGTACAGGGGCTGCTCCACGGGGCTTGGCCCCTCCCTGCTCCAGCCAGTGCCAGGCTCACCCACATGTGCTTCTCACTCTCACAGCCTCTTATGACTTTTTCATAAGAACCAAAGAAATAAGAAATCTGCTGTTCTCCACTTCTTTCTCCTGAACCATGTCTTTCAAATATAATTCAAATGGAAAAAAAAAATGTTTTTGTCAAAAGCTATGGATCTCAATATGTGGATTTTTTTTTTGTTTTTTGAAAAAGACATTCAAGAAGAACTTTGATGAACTCTACCTCTCATTTGGATTCTTCTATTTTTCTAACTTCAATTTTAAGAAAAGTAGGCCAGGCATAGTGGCTCATGCCTATAATCCCACCACTTTGAGAGGCCAAGGCAGAAGATCACTTGAGCCCAGGAGTTCAAGACCAGCTGGGACAACTTAGCAAGACCCATCTCTTAAAAAAAATACAAAAATCAGCCGGGCATGGTGGTACTCACCTGTAGTCCCAACTACTTGGGAGCCTGAGGTGGGAGCATCACTTGAGCCCAGTGAGCTGTAATCACGCCACTGCATTCCAGCCTAGGCAACAGAGCAAGACCCTGTCTCAAAAATAAAAAGGAAGAAAGAAAGGAAGTAAAGAAAAATAACAACTCAGTTAATATCAGGAATCCCTTTTTAAACAGCTTTATTGAAATATAATTCCTCCATTTAAAGTGTGGCTGGGCGTGGTGGCTCATGCCTGTAATCCCAACACTTTGGGAGGCCGAGGCGGGCAGATAACTTGAAGTCAGGAGTTCAAGACCAGCCTGACCAACATGGTGAAACCCTGTCTCTACTAAAAATACAAAACTTACCTGGGAATGGTGGCGGGCACCTTAATCCCAGTTACTTGGGAGGCTGAGGCAGGAGAATCACTTGAACCCAGGAGGCAGAGGTTGCAGTGAGCTGAGATCACACGCACTGCACTCCAACCTGGGTGGCATAGTGAGACTCCATCTTAAAAAATAATAATAAAAATAAATAAAGTACACAGTTCTGTGGCTCTTATTTAATGGCATATTTGCTGGGCTGAGCAACCATCGCCACAATAGGAATTGCTTCTAAACAGTGGCTTCCAGGACCTCTCATGGATCAGTATAGATTCAGTTCAGTTTCCCAATGTCTGTGTTTGCCTTCATGACCATATGCTGGGAATTAAACCTATAGTCATATAGTCATGTTCAGACGCTGTAAGACTCTGAGTCATCAAGGCACAAATGATATGCTCACAGAAGCAGAACATTATGCTAATTATTGGAAACTTTTTCAGCAACAGAGCTTCAGATTTTAAAAAGCTTTTCTTTTATTAAGCCCAGAATATAATAAGCGTTGTAATACAATAAGCATTGTAATAAGTTCAGATTTATTTGAGTGTGTGGCCCTGGCATGACGTGTGTCTGCGTCTGTCCACGTGGCAAGGTAGCATGTTTCCCACTGTGGCCTGTGTTCCAGGACGGGGAGGGAATGTGTGGCTGAGCCCTGTGGGATGTGCTCTTTCTACTCTGCTCATCTCCATTCCACTGAGATCCCAGCTGGGACAGAGGATCCCGTTTGTCCAGCATCTGATGTCCGTGGCTGTCGTGGAAGCAGTGAGGTCCATTCCCGAGTATCAGGTAGGTACAGTTCAGTCTCCTTCTATGTCCCTGGGATGCATGCAGAATCTGGCTTATTCTTGTTTATAGCATGTGCTTGCATAATTGGTGGCTGTAGAACCTCAGCCTACCCTTTGCACAGCTGGCAGCAAAGTGCTCTCGGAGTTTTCAGAGCACCACCAGGTGCTAATGCTGCTTCAGGCTTGCCTGAATGCATTCATTCCCCAGAACTCCCTTTCTACCCAGTTTTTCAGATTTCTCAAACAGCCTGATGAGGGCAACGCTTTAGTTTTTGGTTTTTGTTGTTGTTTATTTATTTATTTTAATTGAGACAGGGTCTCACTCTGTCACCCACGCTGGAGTGCAGTGGCACTATCTCGGCTCACTGCAACCTCCACCTTCCAGTCTTAAGCAATCCTCACACCTCAGCCTCCCGAGTAGCTGGGACCATAGGTACACACCACCACCCCTGGCTCTTTTGTTGTATTTTTAGTAGAGATGGGGTTTCACCATGTGGCCCAGGCTGGTCTTGAAGTCCTGAGCTCAAGCAGTCTGCCTGCTTCAGCTTCCCAAAGTTCTGGGATTATAGGCATGAGCCACTGCACCTGGTCATGTTTACTTATGTATTTATTTTTTTGAGACAGAGTCTCACTTTGTCACCAAGCTGGAGTGCAGTGGCGCCATCTCGGCTCACTGCAATCTCCGCCTCCAGGGTTCAAGCAATTCCCCTGCCTCAGCCTCCTGAGTAGCTGGGACTACAGGTGTGCACCATCACACACAGCTAGTTTTTGTGTTGTTAGTAGAGATGGAGTTTCACCATGTTGGCCAGGATGGTCTCAATCTCTTGACCTTGTGATCCGCCCGCCTCAGCCTCCCAAAGTGTTGGGATTACAGGCGTGAGCCACCACGCCCAGCTGCATGTTTGTTTTTTGTTTGAAGCACTGGATGAGATTTGATTGTTGGACTGGATTGAAGTTGTTCATCTGCATTTTCTGTTGAAAAGGGTTATTTGGGGACCTAAAAACCTTTCTCATTTCCTACTTCTGTTTACCAGACTCTGTGCTCTAACAGAACTATCCTTTATCCACTGTTGACCACATACAATGTGCAGATCCACTTGGGGCCATCTTCCCCCAGCTATTAGGACCCGTGTGCCTGCTTCCTTATTACTGTTGGATGTTTTGTTGTCAGTTATTAAAAAGACAAGCAACAGGGAACAATTAGCTCAGTGACCGAAGCATTTTCTTCCCTACTTGGGCTTCACTTCCCATAGCCCCCTCCCAAATGTTCCTGGAAGAATTTCATATGGGTATAAATAGGAGATTCCTGCCTCCCTCCCCCAGCAGCTCCTATGTCAGGCTAAAGAGAAATGATTGGATTGATTCCTGAAGCAAGATGTTAAGAGCGTGACTCTCAAAGGAGACTTGGAGGTCCTGTCATCATTTCATTGAAGAAAAGGTCCTTCTCACTGCCCCTTAAATCCCTCTGTGATGTATTTGCTGTGTATGAATTTTTGGTATTCCACAGATGTAGTTAATGCTGACGTCTCTGTTTCCTGTATTACATCACATCGCTGAAACGGACGCTTACTACCAGGCACCCAGCATCCTTGCATATCTGATGGTTTGGGGGCATCACACCATTACAGGGCTTCAGGTGCCCGGCCTTGAGCACCTGAGCTGTGCATTCTGTCTAGCAGGAAGCAATCAAAATAGAAAGTCCTGGCCAGGCGCGGTGGCTCATGCCTGTAATCCCAGCACTTTGGGAGGTTGAGGAGGGCAGGAGTTTGAGACCAGCCTGGCCAACATGGTGAAACCCCATCTCTACTAAAAACACAAAAAGTAGCCAGACATGGTGATGGGTGCCTGTAATCTCAGCTACTCGGGAGGCTGAGGCACAAGAATCGCTTGAACTCGGGAGGCAGAGGTTGCGGTGAGCCGAGATTGTGCCATTGCACTCCAGCCTGGACGACAGAGTGAGACTCGTATCAAAAAAAGGAAGAAAGAAAGTCCTGTCATGGGAGAAATTAACTCTAGCAACAAGTTAGTCTTAGGAAAATAACTAAAACAAACACTAAGCCGAGAACATTAAATGAGTCTGTTTGGTCTGTTTAGCTTTTTCATGGCTCTGACTTTGACCTTGGAGCCCCACTAGTTCCCTTAGCGAGCATTCTTTGAGGGCCTGCTGTGCTCAGAGGCTGCGTGCGCCAGGCGCTGGAGGCCAGGATGGAAGTGGGAAGCTTGCCTTCAGCGGTGAACGGGGTCGGGGGAATTTGTGTTCCCGTTCTCCTTAAGAAGCTTGTACCAATGTTCTTTCCCTCTTCTGCAGTCAGCTACCCAGCCTCACCTGTGTGATGGGACATTTGATTTTGAATTGGGTTTCTTTTTTAACATAGTCAAGTTAGCTGACACAGTGCAGCTACTTTGATTGAAATAGGCCCCTGTTGTTTGGATTTCACTTTTTGTGTGGCCTTCACTAGGACCCCAACTGGTCCCTAACCAGATGTCACCGTCAGCACACAAATCATGACCACCCTCCCCAGACCCAAGGCGGCCTCGCTGGGATGCAGGCATTCCTTCCGGAACTCGCCTTGGGCCGCCCATTCTCACTCCTGCTCTTTCTTCTGTCCATGAAGTCCCCCCGGGCCCCGCACCCTCCCTCCACCCACACACCCCTACCCCTGCTCTCTTCTCTGCTTCTTAAAATTCTGTTCATCCTTAAGGCCCAGCTCCAGTGCCATTCTCAGACCCTCCAGCTACTTCCAGCTCTTTCCTCCAGCACTGTCCAGCACTTGCCATGTTGAAGCCTCTTTTAGGGTATCCACCACGTGTGGCTTTGAAGAGGAGTGATGTGTGCACCTGTTCCGTCTCCCATGATGTTAGCAGCTCTTCAAAAGCAGGATTTGTTTCATTTTGGTCTTTTTTTATGTGGGAGGATCACAGCAGCTGTTGGAATAAATGATTGAGAAAATGAAAAATGAGCACACAGTCCTCCTCTTCATGTGGAAATGCTGGTCCTGTTTACCTGCGTGAGAACCCAGAGTTTCATGAGCTGCTTCATGAGCCGAGGAGATCTGAAGCCATGAAGGCGAGCTGGAGCCCAAGTGCAGGGCCCGCCCAGGCACCAGCTGCCACGCACGTGGCGGAGGAGCTTGACAGCTCTGGGAACTCTGCAGGTGTCCTCCCGCCGGCGAGGCAGGGGCTCATTCCCCTGGCCATGTGGTGGGCACAGGGGGATGTGGGAAGGCGAGAGAGGGGAAGGAAAGGGAACTGGGGGCAGTGATGAAGAGCAGAGCCTCCTAGACACAGGTTTCCTAGAGGAGACTTTCTCAGCCCAGTGCTATTGATATGTGGGCCCTGGCATGTTTGTCGTGGGGATGTCCTGTGCCTTAAAGGATGTGTGTCAGCATTGCGGCCTCTACTCTCTAGACGCCGGTAGCACTCCCTCAGGCTGTGACAACCAGGGAAGTCTCCCAGTATCGCCAAATCCACCCCTCTCCCACTGAGAACCCCCGTTCTAGAGAGAAAAGAAACGTGAAGCTGTTGATCAGTTCTGGGTCATTGCGCACCCCCCATGCTTGGTTTACTTAGACTTTTTGTTCTCCTGTGCTCCTATTCCTGTATTTTTTCTCTCAGCCTAAACTACTGTTTTAGGGCAGATGAGCTTCCAATATGCTCTAACGGGCCGAAGTCAAAAGAAGGCCTGTTGGAAGGAGGAAGGGATTTCATGGAAGCAACAGGCCGCGTAGCATAGGATTCCTCACCCAGGCCTGGTGGCAGAAAGGTTTGAATTTTAGCTCCGTGGCTTTCAAGTGCTATAACCTCAGGCAAGCCACATAATTTCTCTAAGCTTCCGTTTCTCCCTCTGTTCCCTGGGGATGCGCTAGCACCAACACATAGGCTGGGTGTGAGTAACACGTAGACTAATGCTGAGAAGGTGCTTGGTGCCATGCCCGGCCTGCAACGTGGGAAGACCAGCCCCGTGGCCCTTGGAGGCCATCAGCTACTCTCTGCTCCCTTAGCTTTATTTTGCTGAATGTTCTCTTCCAGCCTTGCATCTCCAGACAGGCTTCCTTTACCCACACATGGCACAGCCTGGCTGCCAGCCCGAGGTCTAAAAGACCTGGTGGTTCTGACACCCACTCGGCTAGCCCCGTCTCTGTGTCCCAACTTCAGAGTCACAGTGGATAGGCAGAGGCCTGGGTGGCCTTGTTCGAGACACTGTCCAGTGTTGGTCCATTCTGTAAGCTGATGACAGGGAGAGCCCCCCCACCCCCAGGCCACACCATTCAAGACGCAGAGGCAATAGGCCACATGACAAGTCCAGTTCCATTACCCAAGATGACCATTAGCAGTTCTGCGAGGCTTTCGCTAAGGTGAATTTCTCCTCTGCATCTTCACAGCATTCTTTTTTTTTTTTTTTTGAGACAGAGTCTCGCCCTGTCACCTGGGCTGGAGTGCAGTGGCACGATCTCGGCTCGCTGCAACCTCCGCCTCCCGGGTTCGCACAATTCTCCTGCCTCAGCCTCTCAAGTAGCTGGGATTACAGATGCACACCACCACACCCAGCTAATTTTTTGTATTTTTAGCAGAGATGGGGTTTCACTATGTTGGCCAGACTGGTCTCGAACTCCTGACCTTGTGATCCGCCCGCCTCAGCCTCCCAAAGTGCTGGGATTACAGGTGTGAGCCAGCGCGCCTGGCCACTGCCTGCTACTCAAGACATTTCTACCTGCCTTTTGTGACCTTGGTTAATTCAGGGCCATCTTTGTCTCTCAAGCATGGGTTCCTGAAGGGAGACGCCCCCTGAGATTACTATTCTCTCCCCACCCTCTGGCCCTAGCACGTTAGTTAGCTACTCCATGGTGGTGGTGGTGGTGGATACTGACATAATGAACTTCATTTACAAGGTAAGCATCTTCAGAAAGGGTTTTGGATGATGAGAAACAGTGCTGGGGGATGGGGAAGAATGCTGGGGTTTATGTCAACTGTGTTCTTCAGGGCTTTTACCTCCTGGCCCCAAGAGGCACTTCAATATCGGATTGTCCCAAAGAAGTGATTAGCTGCCTGAAAAAGAGGAGAGGACGAGGCCCATGTTACCTTGGTTTCTGCTTATCTTCCCTTAGCTCAGTGACTTGCCTGGGCCCCTTGTGTCCTGTGACGGCTTAATTAATGTGCAGATTTCCCTTTAGGATATCAACTTACGAGTGAAGTGGCCCAACGATATTTATTACAGTGACCTCATGAAGATCGGCGGAGTTCTGGTTAACTCAACACTCATGGGAGAAACATTTTATATACTTATTGGTAAGTTTCAAAAACCTTTCCCCCAGCATTTTTAGATTAATAAAACAATAAAAATAAAGACGGTTTATGCATGCCTACATTGGCAGGAGCAGATTATCATATGAGGTTACTTTGAGTCTTGTAGTTTTGGAGCAGGGTATAGATGCAGAGAGATTGGTCGAAAGCACTTCACAGGGTTTAGCATTTTCTGTGTGTGACCACGGGAACCACCAAAGTGGTATCACATCAAACAGGTATGTTCCTACATCCTTCCACACTCCTGCTACTCATTGAATTTGAAATGGTGAAAATAAACATTTAACGTTCTATTCTGTAATAAGAAAAAGAAAAGTTAATTTCCTAAATAGTTCTCCTGGTGTCTTGCATTCTTATCGTGACCTTCCTGGGCCATGAAAGAGCTGGCATCATTTTAACCTTCAGAAGAAGCTCCATGCTGGTCAAGGCGGGGTAAAGAATCCCTGTTTCACCTTAGCACATCCAAATCAGGCAAGAAGATGGATTCAGAGGCAATCTCAGAAGTCCTTAGGTTCCTGGCCGTCCAGTCATCAGCCTCACTCTGTGGCAGTAGAACCTAATCTGTGTTCAGAAACCAGCAATGGTCAAAAAACATGTAACCATGTGTTTCAAGTGCCAGCCAGGGAATACAAGGCCTGTGTTACCAGCTCTGCCACCAAGGGGCAATATTATTCTAGGCAAGCTACTTCATACCCTTAAAGCTCCATTTCCTATCTTTTTTTTTTTTTGAAATGGAGTCCAGCACTGTTGCCCGGGCTGGAATGCAGTGGTGCAATCTCGGCTCACTGCAGCCTCCGCCTCCCAGGTTCAAGTGATTCTCCTTGCCTCAGCCTCCCAAGTAGCTGGGAGAACAGGTGCCCGCCACCACACCCAGCTAATTTTTTTGTATTTTTAGTAGACACAGGGTTTCACTATGTTGGCCAGGCTGGTATCAAACTCCTGAACTCATGATCCGCCCGCCTCGGCCTCCCAGAGTGCTGGCATTACAGACGTGAGCCACTTGCCCAGTCTCCCCCATTTCCTATCTTTAAGTGAGTAATTGCAGTTGATGCAGAGATTCCTAGGTAGGGGCCACAAGCAGGCTCATGGATGGCTTCAGGGAGCTAACAAATGTTATCAGCGTGGGGTAAGCGAAGGCCAGGCGTAGTGGCTTGAGCTCATAATCCCAGCTACTTGCGAGACTGAGGCAGGTAGATCACTTGAGCCCAGGAGTTCAAGGCTACAGTGAGCTTTGATCGAGCCACTCCACTCCATTCTGGATGACAGAGTGAGACCCTGTTTCAAAAATAAAACATAAAAAATAGGCCAGGTGTGGTGGCTCAATGCCTGTAATCCCAGCACTTCAGGAGCCTGAGGTGGGTGGATTGCTTGAGTCCAGGAGATCGAGACCAGCCTGAGTGACATGGCGAAACCCTGTCTCCACTAAAAATACAAAAAATTAGCTGGGCGTGGTGGTGCCTGCCTGTAGTCCTAGCTACTCAGGAGGCTGAGATGGGAAAATCACCTGAGCTCAGGAGGTTGAGGCTGCAGTGCGCTATGAGGGCTCCACTGCACTCCAGTCTGGGCAACTGGAGTGAGACCCCGTCTCCAAAAAATAAATAAATAAAAATAAAAAATAAAGTAGGGGAATGAAACATTTTCCTATGGTGAGAACCCATAGCTTTTATTGAATTCTGAAGGCCATAGGATGGGGTCTCTGACTTTGGGGATTCAGAGCAGCCAGCAGGGTGCTCACCGGTCCTTAGAAGGACATAGCCTAAGTGGCCAGTAGTGAGTGTTGCTACTCCTCCTAGGAATTCCAGTTTTCTGAACACGGGAGAATTTTCAGTGCTGTACAGCACTTGATTTAATGCCTTACGAACGTTCAGTAGGTGCTTCAGATCCTGTATGTATTGAATGAATGAATACGTGAGCAACTGCAAGTCCTGCCCCTGTTGCTGTAGTTACTTGTTTTTTTTCCAGAGGTAATTGACAATTGCTTTGTATTTTAATAGCCAGTATATTGTTTTAAAATCTGAGACCAGTCAATCCTTCCCTTCACACTGGAAACGGCAGGACACTTGCCGGGAAGGCTGTTGTTACAAATGGCATTGTTCTGCCTGTGGCGAATGTTTTGGGGATTTTTTTTCTTAAAGTCACTGAAAACATGGTAGTTTTCTTACTGCTTAGTTTTTGCAGTATTTCATTTCTTACTGAAGACCTCTCGCAGGCCGATTCAGGGCCCTGCTGAACACTGAAGTCCAGCTTTTCTGAAGACACCGCCCTCTGCCTGGAGAGGATAGTGGTGTTAAGTAACTGCACAGATAAGCCTATTCAGACACCATCCCTGGTAACTCTCATGAAGCCTTGGTTTAGGACCCTGCAAAAAGCCACTGAACATGAGTCGGCGTCTTGCCAACAGCGTAACCTTAGCACCAAAGACTTCCAAGAATAAAGTATTAAAAGATGCATTTCTAGGGTTATGCCATGACCAAGGTTTGAAATCTCTGAGTCCAGAGTTTACTTCCCAAGTCCTGAATAAAACTCTATTTTCAAGCGTGGGATCTGTTATTCAAGCAGGAGAAGAAACCAGAGATTTTATTCTCTCCTGGACTCAGTGCAGAGCTACAATGCTTGGTAGACCACTTATTTCAGAGGCAACACTGATACGTTTTGTCCCATATTTAATAGCTTCTATTGAATTAAATTGAATCAAATGTGGCTTTCTTTTTTCCCACCTTTTTATTTGCAGTAAGGTTGAGATGGTTTTAGCTTGAACAAGAATAATAAAAGAAGGACAAAAAGGAAGATGGACAGAAATACATGTCACTCTTCAAGTGGTTAGAGACACGAAATCTGAAATGAGGACAAGGAAGGAGGAAGTTGACAGTCAAGACTGTAACTTTTTCCATGTGGCAGAGAGGAATGTGTGATGCCATCAACAGGCTGAGCTGCTCAATTGTTTGTTTTTGTCCAGGCTGTGGATTTAATGTGACTAACAGTAACCCTACCATCTGCATCAACGACCTCATCACAGAATACAATAAACAACACAAGGCAGAACTGAAGCCCTTAAGAGCCGATTATCTCATCGCCAGAGTCGTGACTGTGCTGGAGAAACTGATCAAAGAGTTTCAGGACAAAGGGCCCAACAGCGTCCTTCCCCTTTATTACCGATACTGGGTCCACAGGTCAGTGCTGGCTCATCTTCATTCTTTTCAACTCCTTTATTAGTATCTTAGTAGTTCTGTATCTTTTTTTTTTTTTTTTTTTTTTTTTTTTGAGACGGAGTCTCACTCTGTCGCCCAGGCTGGAGTGCAGTGGCACGATCTTGGCTCACTGCAAGCTCCGCCTCCCGGGTTCACGCCATTCTCCTGCCTCAGTCTCTCGTCTCAGTCACCTGAGTAGCTGGGACTACAGGTGCCCGCCGCCACACCCGGCTAATTTTTTGTATTTTTAGTGGAGGTGGGGTTTCACCGTGTTAGCCAGGATGGTCTCGATCTCCTGACCTTGTGATCTGCCCGCCTTGGCCTCCCAAAGTGCTGGGATTACAGGTGTGAGCCACCGCGCCCGGCCGTAGTTCAGTATCTTAAAATGAGGGACCGAGCACTGGTCTGAATGATTATTTTCTGTGTCTCTGTTAGAGAAACTGCAGGGACACCACCTTGACCAAGTTAGCATCACAAGTAATGGAGCAAACGGGCATCTTATGCCTCCTGGTGGGATGCGATGGGAAGAACCGAAATAGTGAGAGAGTTTAACATTGGTTTAATCTGATTCTAATTGTGAGGAAACAATAGACGCATCTAAATTGTCAAACCTTCCAGGTAACAGTGGTTCTCAAAGTGAGATCCCAGGAAGCAGCCTCAGCCTCAACCAGGGGCTACTGCATCAGAAACCCCTGGGCTGGGCCCAGCACCCTGTGTCATAACAGATACTCCAGGGATTCTCATGCAGCTGAAGTCCGAGGACCGCTCACTGATTCCACAACAACAGGCCTGTGCCCTGCAAAAATGTCAGGTCTGCGCACAAACAATTAGACCAAAAGAAGGTGGCAGAATTGTTTGGGATTAGAGAAGACGAAAGAGGCATGACATCTAAATGTAATGTGTGTGATCCTGGATGGAGGGAAATAGCCACAAAGGATATTAAAAGGACAGTGGGAATGACGTGAACATGGACCGTTTGTATCCAGACTTTCTTGAGTGGTCATAGTTAATGCTATTATAATTTTATGGGAGGTTCTTGTTCTCAGGAGATAAAGTATTTAAGCAGAAAGTGTCACAATGCCTGCAGCTTTTAAAAAACTTTTTTTATTTTCACTTTTTTTTTTTTTAGAGAGGGTCTTGCTCTGTCACTGGAGTGCAGTGGTGCCATCATAGCTCACTACTGAAACCTTGAACTCCCGGGCTCAAATGATCCTCCTGCCTCAGCCTCCCAAGTAGCTGAGACAATAGGAGTGTGCCACACGGCCCGCTAATTTAAAAAAAAATTTTTTTGTAGAGGCAGGGTCTCACTATATTGCCCAGGCTGGTCTTGAACTCCTGGCCTCAAGCAATCCTCCCACCTTGGCCTCCCAAAGTGCTAAGGTTACAAACATGAGCTACCACACCCAGCTGCAACTTATCTTTATATGTTGCAGGAAAAAAAAATGTGTGCTTGTGTGTGTTTATGTGTGAAGAAAGAAAGCAAATACAGAAAATATTTTCATTTGGTGTGAGAATGGAAGAGAATATGAGGTTTGTTGCACTATTCTTTCAGCTTTTCTTTAGATTTAAAATTCTTCAAAATAAAAACTTGAGAAAATTCTATACTTCGAAAGCTGTTAAGAAGGACGTGACTTGAGTACATTTGGAAAATATTCAAAAGAAGTAGGATCAGGATGAGTTTCACTTGTGGCTGATATGAGCCAACTTTGTTTTATAAGATAAAACATTGTTTGCCAACTCGGCCTATTTTCCTCCAATCTCAGCCAAAAAACCTAGAGTTGCACAGTGTTTCTTAAAAGCGCTGGGAGGTGAGGAAGTGGTTCCAGCCATCACCGCAGATGACCAGAATTAGGAGGAGTGACGTTGTGTGAAGAAATTTCGACTCCTTGTTGAACTTGCATCCTGCTGGTTATTTGAGCAGTTCTTAAAACCATTCACCAGGGTGGAAGAAAGTCAGAGCTCAGCCCAGGCTGCCTTTTCCCTGCAGCGAGCCTCAGCCCTCTCCCCAGCACGCCCAGCTCTCTCATCATGGATTATTCTTCAGCTCATTGTCTTAAGTCGTCCTGTGACACCTCCCAGTGACCGCACGCTGTTCTTCCTTTTCAGTGGTCAGCAAGTCCATCTGGGCAGCGCAGAGGGACCAAAGGTGTCCATCGTTGGCCTGGACGATTCTGGCTTCCTCCAGGTTCACCAGGAGGGCGGCGAGGTTGTGACTGTGCACCCGGACGGCAACTCCTTCGACATGCTGAGAAACCTCATCCTCCCCAAACGGCGGTAATGCCGGGCGTCCCCGAGACGCGGCTGCCTGTCCGTGCCCATGCATCTGGAAATCTAATTTAGAGTTGTAGGTGAATTTTCTTTTCCTCCAATTCATTTGTTAAGTCTTTGTTCTTTTTCTGTGTTTCTGTTTGTTTTTAGGTTTGTTTTGTTGTCGTTTTCTTTGGTGTTTGAAGAGGCTCTGGGATAGATGGTTAAGAAGTAGAAAATTTAGTTTAGGGAAAGCCCTCCCACAGGTGGGAAATTGCTCTCCCCTCTGTGGCTTGGACTTACGTTTATTGTCAAGGGGAGTTTTTACATGGAAATGACAATGGGAAAATTCAGATATTTTCTTAGTAGTGCAGACCTTTACCCCTAGTCTATGAAAAAACAAACCAAAATATGCTCTTGCGCCCAGGCCAGTGGTGAGTTAGAGGTATGCTATCACTGTTTGTAAGCATCTGGGGAGGTACTGAACTGTAAGAACATGCTTGGACACTTAGTCATTGTTCTGTGTTTTTATTAATGAAGAAAAGGGAAGACAGACTTCCAAGAGTTACTGTCCACCCGGTGGTGTGGCCCCATAGCGAAGTCTAAATGCCTGTAGAGATAGAGCTAGCTGGTGTGGTTGCAGTGACCTTGTAGAGGAAATCAGTTCATTACTTTGACATCATTCAGTGAGCTCTCCTTTCCTAAGGAAGTTTAAATGTCCTTAGTTAGGGACTGACTTTCTTAAGTAAGTTTAAATTTACTACATATTGTGAAGAGACAGGATCAAGTTCAGAATCCTTAAATGTCTGATTAGGCATCACTTGGATGAGGAGGTGGGCGATTTGGCTCTGACAGCTGGAGATGAAGGCACACTCATACCACATACAAGGGAGGATTTGGAGCTTTTAAGCCAGTTTCAGATTTACTCTGAAATGTGGAGCATTCCTGCAAGACTGTGCAGCTCACGGAATATAGAAGACATGGCATTTTACTCAGAAGTCATAAGTTTTTGCCCCCCTCATTTACCTCGTATTACCAAGAAAGAAAATGTTATCGATACTAAACACCATCAGTTCAGAGGGAGGATGTGTGTGTGTGCCCGCATATGTGTGTGCGTGCGTGTGTGCGCACATAGCTTTAAAAGAAGACATTCAAAATTTGATGTGCTACAAGCCTCATGAAAGAACAAAAGAAATGAAGCCTTTTGATATGCATTCGCTATTCCCAGATGTACGCCATGCCTTTTCCATGTCCCTCCTATCTCTGTTGAACTTATGAATCATACTCATTACTTTTCAGCTTTTTAAAAGGCCAATTTTTGTCCAGTTTTCTCTCTTCCAGTCCCAGCTGAAATTAGTGGAAAGAAAGTTTGATGGAGCTTTCAGCTTTGAACAAAATCCCTTCATTGTAAACTAGCACCATCTTTATCCAGGTCTTACCCAGTCAGGCTAATTCCAGAAACTTGTGGTTTTTAGTATAGTCTGTCTACCTTTAGCCAGGCACAGGACAGCCCTATGAAAAAATACCCAATATATATTTTTTGGAAATGAAACATTAAAAGAACTTAAAAAGTAATTTTTGGAAATGAGGCTTCAATTAGAATTATTTTTCTCAAAAAACAAACAAACAAAAAACACAAAAAAAACCACTCTTCTCCAAATGCCCAAGCCTTCTTTCAAAATTAGTTAGAAACTTAAGTAAAATACAAGTCCACACCATCCCCAAATTACAAAATGGACTTACCCTTGAGAGGGCATCTGCAGAATATCATCAGGGACAAAGATCTCGAGGCTAACGATGTAGGTTTCATTTCTCAGACTTTGTAATATAAGGCAAGCCCTCTCTCAGAGCTGCCATCATCACTTTTTGAATTTCTTTGGGGGTTATTTAATGAAAAACATGCTATGTTTTGTTTTAAGCTGAAGTCCTATTCTGGACACTCTGCTTTGGGAAAAAATGTTATCATTTAATTTCCTTTCTGCAAATTAAAACTAATGAAGTGTGGCCTTGTCAAAGGCTATGGAGATGTTCCGGGCATACTGCTGTGCTCTGTGCTTTCCAGCAGGCGCTCCTCCCTCACGCAGGAGACTCAGTTGTCCTGAGAGAGATGAAGCAGCCTTGAAGCAGATGCTGCGTTTTCCATAAACCTGATTTTGCCTCACATGAACCAAAGACTCTCAAAACTCCGCTTCTATAGAATTAGCTGAATAAAGGCATTTTACTGATAGCTGTTCGTGTTAGCGAAACCTGTCTACCTGCTATAGCACACTCTCCGATTTGGGCCATTTATGCACCCCGCAACCTGGGATCTCAAGGAGCTTTAAAGTCTTAATGGGAACTTGGCATTTTCCTGATGATCTTTAAAATGTGGTCACTAAACTCAGGATTGGCGTGTGCTTTTAGAACACTGGAGTAGCCCTTGTTTTAGAGGCTGTGCATTGAGTATCGACCGTATTTTGTAAAAGGCAAGATATCCTCCCTTCCAGGCTGGTAACGGGTTTCAAGGGGACTCTTGAGGAAGTGCCCCCTAAAATAGAACACAGCAATAACTGGGCTTCCTGTCCCCACCCCCACCCCAGCAGTGCTCTCTGGCACTGGGAACTCTGCTAGGGAGTGGTGGAAGTAGGAAGGATTTGTGTGCAAAGGAAAATCGTGGTTGAGTTTCACTGCAGCAGGCTGACGTTGCCTGATGTGAGAGCAAGTGGCCGACTGGGGTGCGGGTGCACAGGTCGGGGGAGCACAGGCCACAGAGCGCAGCCTCTGGGGGTCCCCCAAGGCACAGCATATACAGCATGGTCGCCCCTTGCCCTGGAGTCTGGGAACAAAGAGAGGAGCCAGCCTCCCCGCACTGCTTCAGATGGAAAAGGGAGGCAGGGTGGGCTTCCGTTCTCCAGATCTGTTTGCTCTTAACAGGCAGAACATGGGAGAATCCTTATTCCTGGTTAATCACTATGCATATTTGAAATAAAAGAAAGCGTAAGCCTCTGCAATTTTAACTTCTCAAAGGATGTCTCTGAAAAGAATCACTTTAAACCAATGCCTATAAAAAGCAAGTCTACCAAAATAAACTAAGACTTTCTATGTGGTTTGGGCTCCCTCTTATTTTTACAAGTTTCATTTTTAAAAGTAGGCAACTACTTTGGGTTACAGTATTTTTATTCATATTTAAACATTTTTACAAAATAAATAAAGTGTTTTACATAGTAAGGAATATGTACGTATTTCCAAGTATTAAGAAGCCAAGTGTTTTTTTTTTTGACGTATTATTGACAAATGTATTCAGCGCCATACACAAGAGAAATATTATTACTCCAAAGAACGAAAGTTAACAAAACTCCAAAGCAAAAACCCTTTTAATGGAGGTGAGAAATAAATTTAATGTAACAACAGCTAGATTGTTTTTAGGATTTTTCTTTTCTTTTGTGGAAACTTCTTGACTTGACTTTTCATCTGAACAGTTTTTCCCCCCAAGATTTTAATCTTATATGTCATACTTAAGTTTAGGAACAGCTTGAATAATTAGCATTCTAGATAACACAAGGGCCATGATTCACTAAAATTCCAAGCTACTGTAATTTTATGGCATTTATTTGCAAATGTTCTTTGTATCTCATTTTATCTGTAGCAGTCCCCACTAGTCTACCTTAACCATCTTATAGCTCTGGTAAATTAAAACTTACGTAGACTTTATACAAGATCCATTGGCCGTATTAAACCTCCCCCACTCTTAGGGCTTAGGGCGGAAGGGACGAAGGCAGGGCTGATAGGACTTTTAAAAGGATAAAAGGAGTGGGGGCAAGGGAGGCGGAAAATACAGGCTCTTGCAGATACCCTCCGCGCTGCCCTCCACACCCAGCCCACTGCTCTACAAAGGTATGAATGGAATGGCTTTTCTAGAAAAGGGCTTCCAAGAACATAAAGGAATTCCTTTCCCTGGGAGGCCCCGTGGAGGGCTGAGCCAGCCTTGAATTGGGCTTATTTCTCAAATCCATTTGATCTGGCATTTTTGTCAACATGGTACATGTTAGGGCCTACGATGATTTTTTTTTCTTTTTTGTAAAAGAGAGGCATATGTATTAAAATGCTTCCTCTTCCCCTGCCGGAGCCTCACAGAAGTCAAGAAACGCTATCCCCAGCTTAAATGTGCAGACTCTTCAAGATGGAGGTCACAATATTAGGTTGCCACAGTAACAGCTCTGCTGACTTCACACTCAGCCCTGGCCGTCCTGAAGCCAGCTCGTGTAAGAATCTTCCTTCATGTTCTAGGTTATGAAAACGAAGTTTGTTTAGACAAGGACGTTTTCACTAGTACACATTTTCAAGTACATACACACTCTGTTACGCCTGTCCACGTTGTCACTTGTAAATCTATGATAGGGTCTTTTTTCTCAACAGTAACCTTTGTTATTGAACTGCTCCGATAGCCTTGATTTATTTTTACTAAATACAGCCCCAAAAGTTAATAACAAGGTAGACACAAAAGCATTTTGCAGTACTTTATTGAAAAATGTCGGTGGTATCTCCTAGTAATCAAACCTACACCTTTCAAGAATCACGGTTTAATTACAAGACTCATGAACATAAAAAAATAATACCCTCGGCTTATTTCCTGTGCACACACTCACAAGGAGCTGTGAATGAGGTATAGCTGAGTGCGTGGAGAGGCGGGCACATCCCTTCCTACCATCCAGCCCCTTCGCTGCATGACCCACGGTCCTAAATTTGCAAATTGTGACTCTTACCATGAGGCCCACTGACAGACACCCTGTAGGGATTGTGTCAGGTCCTCACTAAGTGACACAGGGTTGGCAAAAAAAAAAAAAAAAAAGTCAGTTCACATTTTGAGAGCAGTTGGTGTAGGTGCACTTGATTTTAGAACGATGAGTTTAAAACATTTGTGAAAACCTCTTTCCATTCAGAAAGGTGGAAAAAGTTTCCTAAAATAAACCATTTTGATAAAGCAGCAAAATGCTGCAGTGTTGATAGTGTGAAGAAAATTGAAGGACGGCGGTTCAATGCATTGTGCAGTTCAGAGCCATGACAGGATTTTTCCATGTTGAGATCTTTAAGCAAAACCCATAAAAAGTAAAAATTAATGGAAGCTCATTTTTTAAACACTGCTGGTGCTTTATGAAAGGATTTCTGTTTACCTGTTGCACACGTAACATGTTCTTACGAAGTTTTCTCGCTGTGTAGAAAATGCTTAAAATGTCTACATCATTTTCATTACACCCCCTTAAGCATGTTTTTCCTTCACAAGGTGCAGTCCATTGACAGTGTTCCGTATTGCACGTGCAATTTAACTTTATTAGCACTATTTGTAGCAAACACGAGCCTAGTGAATTACAGATCTGTGTGGGCCAGAGGGATTTTGCCACGTAATAATGAAGCTTGACAGGGTCATTCTCATAAACTGTCTGGCTACATATATATTTTTGCATTTAATGCCTATTCAATATATTCTGAAGGTGCTACTCTTGGTGTTATCAAGAGTTCATAGGGGTTAGGGGGAAGTAAGAGCTTGTTAATGTATTTGGGAAGCACACCTATGTTCACAGACACAAAATGGAATTGCATGGTCACCCCCTTAGTCTTGGTTTGTTGGCTTTTTGTATTGAAGAAAGGGTTAAATAAAAACAAAAATAATGAGACTCTTGAATGACTTTTAAAGACAGTGGAGTTGTGTATTCATGGGACTTACAATCATCACTTCTGCCTTCACCTAAGCATCTAAAAGGGCTCGTGACACAGGCGTCCCCTCCCAGGTCTGCCGTCCACTTGGAAGAGCGGACTGTGGTAGGGTGGGTTTTCCCTCCTGAAAGTGGAGGATATTTGCGGAGTGAAACCGCTTCAATCCCCCAGCGGGACTGTTGTGGAACGTTGGGGACAAGGCAAGACGCGTGAAGCCCGATTTCAAGGTGAGGAAACCAAGCCCCCAGCAACTGGGTCGCACCGGCCCTCGCAGGACAGAGGCGGGCGGTCACCTGCCCGGACCCGGGCGCTCCTCGGCCCTCGGCACCGGCGCGCGGGGCCTCCGCGGTGGAAATCCGCAAGTCGGCGGCGGGGTCCAATTCAAACAGCTGTCTCTGCATAAATTAATGTAGGTCGTGCGCATTTGCCGGGCTCGGTGGCGCCGCAGCCCCGGGAGGCCGGGTCCAGGCTCCTGGCGCGGGCGGCCAGCGGGTCACCTCCCGTTGGTGATGATGACCGAGGCGCCCAGGTAGTGCGGCAGGGGCGCGCCGGGCGGGGAGGTGGCGGCGGGGCTCGGGTGCCGGAGCCGCAGCGCGCCGGTCGCCGCCTCGGGGCCGCCGGGAGCGCAGGCCAGGCCGGAGGCGGCGGGTGCGGCGCCCCCCAGCGGTCCGCGCCGGGCCAGCACGCGGTGGTAGTTGAGCAGCACGAAGGGCAGCTGCGCCGGCGCGCCCGGGGCCTCGGGGGTCGGGGGCGCGCAGCACTCGGGTGCCGCGCGGGCCAGCGCCAGCCGCGCCCCGTCCCGGGCGGCCTGGCGGGCGGCTTTGGCCGGGCCCAGCGCGGGCTCCTCGCGGTAGTGGCCGCAGCTCGGGAAGCTCGGGGGCGCGGTGTCCTCGCCGAACCTGCGCACGGCGGCGGCGGGCGCTGCGGGGACAGGCGACACGTTAGAGGGCAGCAAGGGGCGCGGCCGCAGCCACCCCACCCCCAAGCCCCGGGCGCAGCCACCACCCCTCGGCCGCCCACGCGCTGCACCCGCGGGGTCGCTGTCGCCCTCCCCCGCCTTAGTCTAGGCCGTGCTGTCCAATCTCAGGACGCGACCTGAAATGTTCCAGGAGCCGCGTTACAAAGCAGGGAAACAGGTGGAATGCCTGTTAAGTAATACACGTTAATGCAGCATATCCAAAATACTCTCTCAATGGAATCCGTGTGAAACAATTATTGGGATATTTTCTTTTTTTTTTTTTTGGTCCTGAGATGCAGAGCGCAGGTCACACCTGCCTCACTGCACTGGCCACATTTCCATGTTCAAGACCACACGGGGTTGGTGGCTACCTGATTGGACGGCAGAGGTCTAGAGGCCACCAGGGGCCCTGGTGTTGGAGGGCCCCCGTCTGCTCTGATTTCTTCTGCCCGTCCCTTAGTGGAGAGGGGTGGTAACCACCCCGATCGGTTTCGCCGTGTCATAATGAAAAATAACCACTCCCATCTACTCAGTCCGATGCCTGACATTAAGTAGCTCCCTGGCTTGTGGGTTTTTTTTGTCTTTGTTTGTTTGTTTGTTTTTAAACACTATATGGCAAAATTTGTCTTCCTTTAATACCAAAAAGACTAGGAAGCTGATCGCAAATTGCCTCAAATTAGCACCTTTGGTCCACTTTTTATCAAGTGTGTGATAAGGAGATTGTTAACCTCTTTCACTTTTAAAATAGTGGTAAAAGTCAAATACCATGTGACAGCATTAGCCAGCTTCCGACACACAAATTCAAGTCAATCTCAAGTGGGTAATACTTTCAGCTGTTATCAAAACCCTTTGCTTTGTCTTCCTTTGCTTGGATGTTCTGGAGATCCCTTCCTTGGTTATATGAGGGGCCCAAGATGTTCACGGGTATGGCAGATGCAAATCTAAGGGATCCGTGGCTCCTGGGACAGGCCAGGTCAAAAGGCAGGGGTCCTGGCCCTGGTCACCAATGTGGTCTTTTCTAAGTTAGCTACTTCTGAAAAAACATGTCCTAGTGATTTCCAGAAAGGCGGCATTCTCCCGTAATCTATCTCTCTTCTCAGATTTGGGAAGAAATGTTATCTCAGCCTCAAGTCACAATACAGAGCAAGAGATTCCTAGGATTTGCAGAAAAAGCAGGATGAGGCCCAGAAGGAGCAGAGCCCTACCTGCCTCGAGAGAGGCGTGGAGGAACTTCCAAGAGCTGTCTTCTTAAGCAGGGGCTGGTGTGCTGCTTTTCTGAGGCACATCATCCTTTTTCTTTTTCTTTTTTTTTTTTGAGACAGTCTCACTCTGTTACCCAGGCTGGAGTGCAGTGATGTGATCTTAGCTCACTGCAACCTCCACCTCCCGGGTTCAAGTGATCCTCCTATCTCAGCCTCCAGAGTAGCTGGGATTACAGGTGCTCACCACCATGCCCAACTAATTTTTGTATTTTTAGTGGAGATGGGGTTTCAGCTTGTTGGCAGGCTTGTCGCAAACTCCTGACCTCAGGTGATCCGCCCACCTTGGCCTCCCAAAGTGCTGGGATTACAGGTGTGAGCCACTGAGCCCGGCCTGGGGCACATAATCCTGATGTCACCTTCACCCACATTTTAGTGGCACTGCAGGCATCTGCACCATCTCGGTCTACACTCTGAGCGGCAGTTAGGTCTCGGTGCAATGGGAATACATGTCCTGCAGCTAAACCTCTGTTCCCACCTTCCACCTTCTGCCTGGGGTTGGTCCAGCGAGCAAACAGGAGTCAGTCTGCGTCCTGGGGAGCTGGCGGTATCTCCGCAGAGGACATCTGCTTGCCTGCCACCAGGAGAAGGTGAAAGGCCATTCCTTTCTGTTGAACTAGCATGTACAGGGCAGGTCCCTACTGTGTGTCGTGTCCTTGGGAGTAGGCACATCACAGCTTCACCCCATTTTACAGGTGAAGAAACTGAGGCCTGGAGGGTTTGTGTTCTTTGCCCTGGGTTGGTGAGTGGCATTTCTGTCCCCAAGCCCACAAATTTCCACCATAGTTTTCCCCACTTCCAAAACTGGCATGGGAAAATAGCCAATAGGCCGTTTGTCTCAAATATTCACTTCTGGTTGGAGTGGAAAGGAATCTTGCAAAAGAAATGCAGCTGGGGTGTTCTCAGCACATGGGAGCTGGTTTTGAAAATCACTGTCCCCCTTTGGTTGGTGAATGTGGCCAGGATTTACGTGAAGGCCAGATACTCGGTTTTCCTTTGCCCTTTATACTGTCACTAGTGTCCCCGAGGCAGGCAGACTGCCATTTCTCACTCTCGAGGAGCACCTGCATTGAGAGCAAGAAAGCACAGCAAGCCCTACTTAGAAGCAGAAAGAGGGCAAGTTTGCCCAAAGCGTGAGGGTTCTGTCTCCATCTGCCACCCACCGCCATGGCTGCTTCGGCTCCCGGCCGTGCGCAGTCCTCCCACCTTCCCCACGAGCAGACCTGACCCACCTTCGTAGCTTGGCACCAGGCTGTGCCTAGCAGTGTTCGCCGGTGGCTCTGGAGGATTTTTAGCTGGAGACGAGCTGCTAGGCACTAGGGGGTTGGCATAATGCCACTGGCATTCACCGCTGGCTGGCAGTGTGCTCAGGAAAAAGCGTGCCACCTCACAAGGGGATCCTTGGGGCTGCCCGAACTTGGCCGGCAACATTGGCTTTTTGCTGCTGAAGACGTGAGAGTCCAGAGGGAAGTGTCCGTAATGGTAGGAGAAGGGCAGGCTGTAGGATGGCGTGTACAGAAGGTCACTGCTTTCTGAGTGGGGCTGCAGTTCTGGAGGAGCAGCAGCGCTTGCAGGGGGACTGGCTCTCCAGTTTCCGAGCTGGCCGCATTCCAGTTTGTCCATTTGGAACGAGCTGTATTGCTGCATGGCAAAGAAGATGGATGAAGGGCCAGCGAGGGGCCGGCAGGAAGCTGCCTTCCGGCCCTGCAAGAACCGTCCCGACGGGGCCCAACCCCATCCAAGGGCTGCCCCTACCCTCGCCACCACTGCAAGGTCCCACTGGGGACAGGCACACAGCGAGCGATACCCCAGTGACCTGCTCCCAGGGTGGAAAGAGATCCCCCACCCCAAGCTAACAAGACATCAGGCACACATGGACTCTTTCTTTCTTTCTTTCTTTCTCTTTTTCCTTCTTTCTCTTTCTTTCTTTGTTTTTCTTTCTTTCTTTATTTCTTTTTTCTTTTCTTCCTTCCTTCCCTTCCTTCCTTCCTTCCGTCTTTCCTTCCCTCCCTCCCTCCCTTCCTTTC